>NT_187614.1:1278699-1598374 GCF_000001405.40 Homo sapiens | reverse complement strand
GAAAGCAACTTTAAGGTTGGAAGGTAGCTGGGATGCTCAGGATGAGTCCCTAATACCTTTACATCACCTTGAAAACCCTGGAAGTCATATATTTGGGATTTTGTATTCGTTTTCTAGGGCTGTTATAGCAAAGTACCACAAACTGGTGGCTTAAACAACAGAAATGCATTTCCTCAGTTCTGAAGGCTAGAAGTCCAAGATTAAGGTGTCAGCAGTTAGTTTTTTTCTGATATTTTCTCCTTGGTTTGTACATGGCCATGCATGCCCTATGTCTTCATATGTGTGTCTGTGTCCTCGTCGCCTCGTCTTATAAGGACGACAGTCATACTGGATTAGGGCCCACCCTTATGACCTCATTTTAATTTAATTACCTCTATAAAGACTTTGTCTCCAAATATACTCACATTCTGAGGTATTAGGGGTTAGGACTTCAACAAATGAATTTTGGGATACAATTCAGCCCATAACAGACCTCTAGTATCAGCTTCTAGAAATGTACCACTCATCCTTCTCTTCCATTTGTTAGTCTCATATAGTAAGTTCTCTCCACCCTTTGGTTCTCCTCCTCCGCCTCTTACAGACGTAATAGCTTGTGTAGCAATAACTCATGGAGCAGCTCTAAAGAACCTACAGTAGGGATGGGCAGGTTGTGGCATGCACCAAACACCGTAACACTCAGGGGTTGCTGAAATTCCAGTTGTACTGTCTTAAAGACACAGCTCTTTGCTCATTCTCTGCCCAGCTGTCTTAGCATTTGGTGATAACAATTAGATTATTAGATCCTCTGTAAGTGACCTTGGTATCGTAACTCATCCTTCCTTAATTACTTTTTTTTTCACTGTAGCTTCTATTAGGACTTTCTTTGGCCAGTTCTTTAGAAAGCTCAATTATTTAAAATAATCAGTGAAGTCAAAAGCAGGACATGCAGGGGCTGGCTGAAATTTCACATAAGGACAGTTTTTGAGGGTAAATCCCTGGTTTTGCAGAGCTTGTAAAGCTGGTAAACAGCAACACCATTAAGAATCCTGGGGAGACTTGGCGTGGTGGCTCACATTTGCGGCCAGCACTTTGGGAGGCTAAGGTGGGCGGATCACGAGGTCAAGAGATCGAGACCATCCTGGCCAACATGGTGAAACCCCGTCTCTACTAAAAATACAAAAATTAGCTGGACTTGGTGGTTTGTGCCTGGAGTCCCAGCTATTCGGGAGGCTGAGGCAGGAGAATGGCTTGAACCTGGGAGGTGGAGGTTGCAGTGAGCTGAGATTGCACCACGGCACTCCAGCCTGGGCGACAGAGCGAGACTCCATCTCAAAAAAAAAAAAAAAAGAATCCTGGGGAAAGAATTCCTATTACTTAAGAGGATCTAGGAAAGGTAAAAGAAAAGTAAGAGGCAACCGCATGGTTTTTAGTTCTTTTGAAGTCACTCCCTTCATGTCAGCTTCAGAGACTGCTGTTATGGAAAGGCAAGGCTTCCCTCTTCCCAGGCCATTTTTTTCGGTGAGTCAAATCAAACATCTTACTAAACCAGGAAGTCTTGCCCAATTATCTTTTTCCTCCCACTACATTTGTCCAACTGATTGATATATTAGTGATATAATTATTGTGAAATATGAATCCCTGTTCTGTAAAGTCCACATCTTTCCTAAGTTCTCTGCTTCCAATCCCTGTTATTTAATTAACTTATTTATTTAGAGATGGGGTCTTTTTACGTTGCCAGTGCTGGGGTGCAGTGGCTATTCACAGGCGCAGGCACAGTACACTACATATAGACTTGAACTCCTCGCCTCAAGCCATCCACCCACCTCAGCCTTCTGAGTAGGTGGGACTACAGTCCAGGTACGTGCCACTGTGCTTGACCCTATTATTTTAAAAATGGGTTGATAAATTCTTAGGGAAGCCCCACTTAGTGGGATTATGAGGGCTCCTAGATAAATATTGTTCCTTGTTGACCAATCTTTCCCTCTTTCTGCCTCAGCTTCCGCCAAGAACTTCTTACCTGGGCATGTATTTCTATCCTATTCACTTTTTACTCTCTGGCGTGGAACTTCTTCCTACCAAACTGTCATCCTCTGCACCTCTCCTGGCCTTCCTCACAAGTTTGTAAGCATTAAGAAGGTGCGCTGCATGCTTCATTAAATTCCTCCTTGGAAGGGCTGAGTTCACCCTGTTCTTCTCAAGTGCAATTTTCTCCAAGTTTCTTCCCTACGCAATGTTTGTATTGTGTTGGGACCCCTTCCAGTTATTATTAATTTTCAACACACAGCTACCATGAAAGTCTTGCTATGAAGTAACTGGCAAAACTAGAGACACCGACTGGCTTCCTCTCAAAGGCTCGGCGTGCCCACAGTGGAGGACGGGAAGCATTCTCCAATCCGAAAAGTCTGGAACGCTGTGGCAACTATTTTGCTCAGGGCAGGCAGAAGACGGTGGTTCTTTGGTACATTCCCCTTCTTACTGAGCTTCGTTTACTGAGGCTTCTCCTCAACACGCCAGGATCCAGCATGTATAACACCTTTGGAGTGGGCTGTCTCGGGGCTGAGGAGCGAAACGGGGGGCTGGTTATGGAGTTCCAGCATGGGGTTACTTAGCTCGCCCAGACTTGGAAACCAGCCAGCGTGATGAGGACAGGTAGTGGACGCGATTGCCCACCCCTTGTTAATGTGTTAGGATTAAACAGACAAACGGGCCCGCACACCGCCTGCCCCATTCTAGCCCGCCTTAATTCTGGGTTCCCTTTCCCCGCCTCTACAGGCCGGCTAGTCCTGGCCCCTCACTTGGGACGCCTCTGTCCCTGATGCGAGGCGCATGCGGGACCGCTTCCCCCACTCCCCTCTCCGCCAGGAGGAGGAGCCGAGGGGTTGGCCCCGTACCCGGCTGTGGCAGAAGGGGCCGCGAAGGCCGGGCCAGGGGCGCCACGACTGCCCAGGGCCCGCCCGCGGCCCGCCCGCGGCCCGCCCGCCCTCTAGCCGCTGGGCCCCGAATGGCAGATCCGCGCTCGGACCATCGGCATCGCCTCACATCGCTCCGCCCCGCGCCGCCCTCCCATTGGCTGCCGCTGAGCCCTCGGGCCCGCGCCTCGCCCCCCGGCGGCCCTGGCAGCGCCGCAGCCCGGAGCGGGGTCGGAGGTGAACGGCCTGGAGTAACCCCGGACGTAGTCACCTCATGGAGCTCGCCGGCTGAGGTGGGAGACAGGGGCGGGGCGGGGGCGGGTCAGGCCCCTGAAGCCCCGCCCCTTCTCCGTGTGCCGGGCCGGCCTGGTGCTGCACGCCTGTCAGCCATCGCCCGAGCCGCCGGCGTCTCCTCCCGCCCAGCAGTTCCTCCACGCAGGGGCTCCGGAATCGCCCGACCGCACACGTTGCCACCCTGAGGTGAGGTGAGGGCCGGCCCAGAACCTGTGACCGGGGACCTGGAGAAACTGGGGCCAAGGGAGGGGCGGCGGCAGGCAGGGGGCCGCCTCCCAGCCTCCGCTCACCCGCACGCGGCCTGGGCTCCACACTATCCAGATCGGGTGCGGGGCAGCCCAGCCCTTCCCGCAGCTCTGAGGCCTTGAGGTCCCCTCCCTAGAGACATGGAGAGGTCTGGGGTCTCGGGAGGTGGGGATTCAGATCCCGGAACTGGGAGGCGTACAGTTCAGGGCTCCTCTAGGAAGGGGGGCTGGAGTTTCTGCCTGGAGCTCGCCCGCCACCCCTCTTGCCCAGCTCCAGCGTGGTCTGATTCCTTCCAGACCCCTCTCCAATCCGATTCTGGGCTCGGGAGAGGGAGAAGACCACGTGGGAAGGGGGCGTTGCGGGTTGGGTCTGATTGCATTGAAAGTCCTTTCTCTCTTGCAGAGTGAGGTGTGGGGTGCAGACCTCACTTGCTCTCTCCGTGCCTTTGTATCGTGGCGAGAGCCAGGGCCAGGCAGGTTGTATCTGCCAGTTCCTGTTCCCAGGATTTTATTATGTTCTCTGCGAGGGACATAGTAAATGTACATGCCTTTTGTTACTCTCCTCGTTTGCCATGCTGATCAAGGGAAGTTACTGGAAATAGGACGTAGGAAGCTGATGTGAAGCTAATGATTTCACAGGAAAATGTGCGTGAAGGTCCTGCCCGGATCGGGGCCAACATTATTTTGGATTTGAGAGTGGGAGAGTGGACACTAATGGACACTTGAAATCACCTCTAAAAATCAGGGACTTCGTGTAGGCCTTGTGGGTTCTATAGAGACATTTAAGAATATAACTGCTCAGGAGAAATAGTTTAATTTCAGATATTTTTGTTTGGAGGTTTAAGACTGGAATAAAAAAAAAGACCCTAGGCCTTCCTGATTCTGTTTCTACTTAAGCGATGTTTCAGTAATTTCCTAATGTGTGGATAAACCTAATAACCACATCTTCAGTCTCAGAAGTTTATTTCCTTGGATTTTCTCTCTCTTTCCATTCATTTTTTCCCTCCCAATTCGGTAGTATAGATTGAGAAGCATGCTTTCTTTGGTTACATGGTCTTTTCTCACTCAGCAGGGAAGAATACTCATATTTGTCCCTTCTTGAGGGGGATGCCCTGGATGTCTGTGATGAGAAGGATTTCTGTGGTGCTTATTTGACAGGCACTTTTCAGAAAAGCATTGTGGCCTAATAGAGCAGGACCACAGTTTACCTGTCCAGATAGATGCCTGCTTGCTACAAATAGCAAGTTTTTTCCCACTTCTCTTGCCTCAGTTTCTTCATTTCTCAGTAAAACTGAATGCATAACAGGAGGACTGATGTGAACCCAAGAATATTAAACATTTTAAAGTGGGCATATGAAAGATGCCAAAGGTAAAGTATTAATTTATGAAGCCATCTGTGTTTACTAGTGTTGTAGAATTTTGTTGTTGTTGTTTTGTTTGTTTGTTTGAGATGGAGTCTTGCTCTGTCACCCAGACTGGAGTGCAATGGTGCGATCTTGGCTCACTGCAACCTTCGTCTCCTGGTTTCAAGAGATTCTCATGCCTCAGCCTCCCGAGTAGCTGGGATTACACGCGTGCGCCACTACGCCTGGCTAATTTTTGTATTTTCGGTAGAGACAGGGTTTCACCATGTTGGCCAGGCTGGTCTCCAACTCCTGACCTCAGGTGATCCACCCTCCTCGGCCTCCCAAAGTGCTGGGATTATAGGCATGAGCCACCACGCCAGGCTTGTTTTGTTTTGATTTACCAGTGCATAATAGAAATACATCAAGCATAAGATTAAATTGCTTTTTAAAAAGGAAGTCTTGGGAAATGGTGGCATTTATCTTAGTGAATTTATAGTTCAAAAACTAGGTAATGCTGAAGACCTGGTATTGTGAAAGCCAGCCTCAGAGAACGCTCTCTCATCTGATGTTGACCTCTCTAAAGTGCTGTGAACAGGTTCAGGTGTAGATCACTATGTAACATTATTTCCTTTGCAGTCAATGACTAGGAAAATTTTTATACCTGTCACGTGGACTGGTTTAACAGGTTTAGGGCTAGTGTTTTTCTTTCTTTAAAATCTTTTTTTCCTTTAATTGGATGGCTAATATCCTAATAGTCTTAGTTGAGGAAAGAAGTAAATTAAAATACAAACTGTGGAATAATGCATTAGAAATTAGTATTTTCAATTGTGGGAGGAGAAGAGAATCCTTTTGTAATTCAGAAAAAAAAGTTATCTCATTATCTAACATGTTCCTAAAGATTAACAATTATAGAAGCTGCCGGGCGCGGTGGCTCACTCCTGTAATCCTAGCACTTTGAGAGGTCGAGGCTGGCGAATCACAAGGTCTGGAGATCGACACCATCCTGGCTAACACAGTGAAACCCCGTCTCTACTAAAAATACAAAAAATTAGCTGGGTGTGGTGGTAGGCACCTGCAGTCCCAGCTACTCGGAAGGCTGAGGCAGGAGAATGGCATGAACCTGGGAGGCAGAGCTTGCAGTGAGCTGAGATTGCGCCACTGTACTCCAGCCTGGGTGACAGAGTGAGACTCCGTCTCAAAAAAATAATAATAATAATAATTATAGGAGCTATGTGTCAAGTATCTTTCCAAACCCGTAAAACAGTAAGATTACAAAAAAGCGAATAAACAGTAGAGACTCATTGGCTAAAAAATTCCTATTAACTATTGAGATAATTACCATTAATCTTCTACTTTAACAGATTATTAACAGATTATTAACTGGTTTTTTGCTTGTTTCAATTTAATTTTATTTTATTATTTTTTGGAGTCGGAGTCTCGCTCTTTTGCCCAGGCTGGAGTGCAGTGGCACGATCTCGGCTCACTGCAACCTCCACCTCTCAGGTTCTAGCAATCCTGCCTCACCCCCCTGAGTAGCTGAGACTACAAGGTGTGCACCACCATGCCCGGCTAATTTTTTGTATTTTTAGTAGAGATGGGGTTTCGTCATGTCGGCCAGGCTGGTCATAAACTCCTGACCTCAGGTGGTCCGCCCTCCTCATCTTCCCAAAGTGTTGGGATTACAGGCGTGAGCCACCGCATCTGGCCTCCATTTTATTTATTTATTTATTTATTTGAGACAGAGTTTCACTCTTGTTGCCCAGGCTGGAGTGCAATGATACAATCTCGGTTCACCGCAACCTCCGCCTCCCGGGTTCAAGCGATTCTCCTGCCTCAGCCCCTCGAGTAGCTGGGATTACAGGCATGTGCCACCACGCCTGGCTAATTTTTTTGTATTTTTAGTAGAGATGGGGTTTCTCCATGTTGGTCAGGCTGGTCTCGAACTCCCGACCTCGGATAATCTGCCCACCTCAGCCTCCCAAATTGCTGGGATTATGGGCGTGAGCCACCGTGCTTGGCTATTTTATTTTATTTTTTTGAGACAGAGTCTCACTCTGTCACCCAGGCTGGAGTGCAATGGTGTGATCTTGGCTCCCTGTGACCTCCACCTCCCATGTGCAAGCGATTCTCCTGCCTCAGCCTCCCGTGTAGCTCGGATTACAGGCGCCTGCCACCACACCTGGCTGATTTTTGTATTTTTAGTAGAGACGGGGATTCACTGTGTTGGCCAGCCTGGTCTTGAACTCCTGACCTTGTGATCCACCCACTTCGGCCTCCCAAAGTGCTGGGATTACAGGTGTGAGCCACTGCGCCTGGCCACTTTATTTTTTATGTATTTATTTATTTTTTTGGAGATGGAGTCTCACTTTGTCACCCAGGCTGGAGTGCAGTGGTGTGATCTCGGCTCACTGCAACCACCGCCACCCGGGTTCAAGCAATTCTCCTGCCTCAGCCTCCCAAGTAGGTGGGATTACAGGCGCATGCCACCATGCCTGGCTAATTTTTGTATATTAATAGAGATGGGGTTTCACCATATTGGCCAGGTTGTTCTCTAACTGACGTCAGGTAATCTGCCTGCCTTGGCCTCCCAAAGTGCTGGGATTACAGGCATGAGCCACTGTGCCTGGCCTTTATTTTTAAGTGTTTTTGATTTATTATTTTTTTAGAGATTCTCTCGCTGTGTCACCCAGGCCGGATGGAGTGCAGTGACGTGATCATTGCTCATTGCAGCCTCAACCTGGGCTCAAGCAGTCCTCCACCTTACCTTCTGGAGTAGCTGGGACTGCAGGTGTACACCACTGCGCCCAGCTAATTTTAAATTTTTTTTGTGGGGTGGAGTGGGGGTCTCGCTTTACTGCCTAGACTGGTCTCGAACCCCTGGCTTCAAGTGATCCTCCGACTTCAGCCTCCCAAAGTGTTGGGATTATAGGTGTGAGCCATTGCACTCAGCCTGTTTCTTTAATTTTAAAAAACTGTAATGAGTACTGTATTCGCTTGAATCTAATGGACTATTTGAAGGTGATATTAAACAGGTAAGAAACTATGACAAATAGTGTCATAAGGATGTTGCACTTACACTGTATAAATCTGATTGATATGGCATTAATTCTTATGAGTTTAGCTGGCCAATCTCATTTAAGTGTTCTCTAATGATGCAGTTCTCTTACTAATTTGTTACTTTTTCAAGTTACCATTGGGCTGTCTAGTCTTAGGATGTTTAAGGAGGCAAGTGAAAAGTGGCTTCAGCAAGGGCTATTCAGTGCCCTGCCTAAAGGTTGGTGGCCCCAGTTGGTCTTGCCTTTCGATGATGTTGAGACTTAGACTCATTCCATCCTTTTAGCATGCCATACTCATGCTGTTTTATATAAGGAACCACAATAATGTTTACCATTCCATGACATCAGGACTGGAAATTGCATGGCAGTACTATTTATGGAGTGGTTATTTCAGATAGAATAAAATTGTATAAATTATTTTCTTTATTTTGAGACAGGGTCTCTCTCTGTCATCCCGGCTGGAGTGCAGTGGTGCAAACATGGCTCACTACAACCTTGACCTCCTGGAGTCAAGCGATCCTCCCACTTCAGCCTCCTGAGTAGCTGGGATCGCAGGCACATGTCACCATGCCTAGCTAATTTTTTAATTTTCTGTAGAGATGAGGTCTCAGTGTAATGCTCAGGCTGGTTTCGAACTCCTAGGCTCAAGCAATCCTCCTGCCTTGGCCTCCCAGAGTTTTGGGATTACAAGTATGAGCCACCATGCCCAGCAAAGTTGGAAAATTCCGAATGAACTCATGAAGTTTAAAAAAACAGACTCAGTTTTGGGGAGTCTTTCTCAAGAAATATAAGGCCTCATTTATGAATATTTGGTTATCCCCTTTGATAGAAATAGAGTATAATACTCTTAATGAAGTTCCTGTAAAATTATCTTTTTTTTTTTTTTTTTTTTTTTTTTAGACGGAGTCTTGCTCTGTCGCCTAGGCTGGAGTACAGTGACGTGATCTCAGCTCACTGCAACCTCCTTCTCCTGGGTTCAAGTGATTCTCCTGCCTCAGCCTCCTGATTAGCTGGGATTATAGGCGCACACCACCATGCTCGGCTAATTTTTGTATTTTTAGTAGACAGGGCTTCACCGTGTTGGTCAGGCTGGTCTTGAACTCCTGACCTCAAGTGATCCGCCAGCCTTGGCCTCCCAAAGTGCTAGGATTACAGTTGTGAGCCACCGTGCCCAGCCTATCTTCTTTTTTTATAAGCATTTTTCAAATCTGTTCTTAGTTGTGTATATATTTTACACACATGCCAAGATTTGGAATAGTAGGTTGATAGGAGCTTGATTAGTTTTTAAGTTTATTAGGAGTAATATCAGTAGATTAGCAGCAAGAAAATGAATTGCTGGGTCCTGTTTTATGCTTTAGCATTTAGTGGTATTCCTGGCCCTGGCAAGGCAAGCTGTTTAATTTTACTTTGATTCTATCTCAAAATTCAATAACTTAATAGAACATTTAGTACTGGAAAGTACCTAAGGGATTTTCTTTTCCAGTTTTCCACTTAATATGAGAGAATATTTTATCTGATGTACGTTTGAAAGTTTCCAACGATAGGCACATCTGGCTTAAGGCATCACGGGGCAACTGATTTTTGGGAGTTCTTCATAATTTTCAACTTAAAACTGCCTCCCTAAAACTGCATAGGATGTTGTAGCTACAAAGGAATTAGGAATTTTTGCTTTAACCTGTAAATGTCTCCAGCATAGATCTCTGTTAGGTAATATAAAGTATAATGCCTTAACACATCCGTAGGACTTGAAGGCAAAAAAAATAAGCAGTATTTCCTTAAGGAAGAAATTTCTTTTCTTTTTTTTTTTTGATAAGGTCTCACTCTGTCACCCTCACTGGAGTGTGCTGGCACAGTCATGGCTCACTGTAGCCTCACTGCAGCCTCAACCTGTCAGGCTCAAGTGATCCACTCACCTCAGCCTCCCAAGTAGCGGGGACTACAGACACACACCACCATACCTGGCTATTTTTTTTTTTCTTAATTTTGGTAGAGATGGGGTTGCGTCATGTTGCCCAGGCTGGTCTCAAACTCCTGGGCTCAAGCGATCTTCCTGCCTCGGGCTCCCAAAGTGTTGAGATTATACAGCCATGAGCCAGTTCTTTTCCTTGAGACTCTGGTTTTCTCTAAATGCAGCTCTATGAAATAAGATTACGAGCGTAAATTAATTCATCCTAGAACTTTCTGAATTCACAAAATGGCATTTTACCTGGAGGCCTTTAAATGTTTCTAGAGGATAATGTTTGAAATAACGACTTAGTTTATGTCTCCTAGTTTTGTAACTCAAATATTCGTTGCAATTCTGATAAAACATGAAGCCTGGCCAGGCACGGTGGCTCACCCCTGTAATCCCAGCACTTTGGGAGGCTGAGGTGGGCAGATCACAAGGTCAGGAGATCGAGACCATCCTGGGTAACATGGTGAAGCCTTGTCTCTACTAAAAAGACGAATGTGGTGGCAGGCGCCTGTAGTCCCAGCTACTCGGGAGGCTGAGGCAGGAGAATGGCATGAACCCGGGAGGCGGAGCTTGCAGTGAGCCGAGATTGCGCCGCTGCACTCCAGCCTGGGTGACAGAGCAAGACTCTGTCTCAAAAAAAAAAAAAAAAAAAATGCAGCCTGTGAAAGCCTGGTGTTTACACAGCATTGTGAGGCATTGAGGGTGGTGGATCTAAAACAATTAGAAGAGGCTGGGCACGGTGGCTCACATCTGTAATCCTAGCACTTTGGGAGGCCAAGATGGGAGGATTGCTTGAGGCCAGCAGTACAAGACCAGCCTCGTTAACATAGCAAGACCTCCATTTCTCTCCTTTTTGTTGTTTTTGGAAGAGAGGATAACTTTTCCCAGCCTCATCTAGGAGATAACCCAGAGTCAATTACATAGTAACACATATTAAAGAAATAAGTGAATAACATTTCAGTTGTCTGGCTAAATCCTCTGACAGATATGAGATAAGGGATCAGAGTAGCATGGAATTAATTGAGGAAAGCTTTTTATTAAACTTACTTAAAATCTTCAGTTGGCAATACATTCATGTGGTTCAACATTTTATTTTATTTGTTTATTTATTTTTTGAGACAGAGTCTCACTCTTTGTCACCCCAGGCTAGAGTGCAGTGGCAGGATCTTGACTCACTGCAACCTCTGCCTCCTGGGTTCAAGCAATTCTCGTGCCTCAGCCTCCCATGTAGCTGGAATTACAGGCGTGTGCCACCATGCCCAGCTAATTTTTTGTATTTTTAGTAGAGATGGGGTTTTACCATGTTGGCCAGGCTGGTCTTGAACCCCTGACATCAGGTGATCCTCCGGTCTTGGCCTCCCAAAGTGCTGGGATTACAGGCGTGAGCCACCGCACCCAGCCTGTTTCAACATTTTATTTTATATTTTATTTTATTTTATTTTTGAGACAATCTTGCTTTGTTGCCCAGGCTGGAGTGCAGCGGTGCGATCTCAGCGCACTGCAATCTCCACCTCCCAGGTTCAAGCAATTCTCCTGCCTCAGGTTCCCGAGTAGCTGGGATTATGGGCATGCGCCACGCTCCACCACGCCCCTCTAATTTTTGTATTTTTAATAGAGACAGGGTTTTACCATGTTGGCCACGCTGGTCCGGAACTCCCGACCTCAGGTGATCTGCCCACCTCGGCCTCCCAGAGTGTTGGGATTACAGGCGTGGGCCACTGCACCTGGCCTGGTTCAACATTTTAAAAGCACAAAAGGGGGCCATGTACGTTGGAGTACAATGGCCTGATCTTGGCTCACCACAACCTCCGCCTCCCAGGTTCAAGCGATTCTCCTGCCTCAGCCTCCCGAGTAGCTGGGATTACAGGCATGCGCCACCATGCCCGGATAATTTTGTATTTTTAGTAGAGACAGGGTTTCTCCATGTTGGTCAGGCTGTTCTCAAACTCCCAATCTCAGGTGATCTACCTGCCTCGGCCTCCCAAAGTGCTAGGATTACAGGTGCGAACCACCACGCCCAGCCCGAAACACATTTTTTTGTTTGTTCATTGTTTTGTTTTCGAGACAGGGTCTCGCTCTTTTGCCCATGCTGGAATGCAGTGATACAGTCACGGCTCACTGCAGCCTCAACCTCCTGGGCTTAGGTGATCTTCCCACCTAAGGGTCCCAAGTAGCTGGGACTACAGGCATGTGCCACCACACCCAGCTAATTTTTTCTGGGTTTTTTTTTTTGGTTTTTTTTTTCTTTTTTTGAGACGGGTTCACTATGTTGCCCAGGCTGGAGTACAGTGGTGCAATTATGGCTCACTGCAGCCTCGACCTCCTGGAATCAAGCAGTCCGCCCATATCAGCCTTCTGTGTAGCTGGGACCATAGGCACGTGCCATTATGCCTAGCAAATTTTTAATTTTTTTATTTTTTATAGAGACGGAGTCTCACTTTGTTGCCCAGCCTGGTCTTGAACTCCTGAGCAGTCGTAATGCCTCAGCCTCCGAAAGTGTTGGGATTACAGGTGTGAGCCACTGTGCCTAGCCTGTTGTATACTTCTATTGCATCACATCCAGTGATGCACACACAGAGTAAACCACACACACATCATACAAGGATGTCAGTTTTTCCTAATATTGGTGATATTTAGTTTGAATACTTAGTTAAGATGGTATCCATCAGATTTCTCCATTGTAAAGATACTTTTCCCTTTTGTAATTAATATGTAAGAATATGGCCAGGTGCAGTGGCTCATGCCTGTAATCCCAGCACTTTGGGAGGCTGAGGCAGGCGGATCACTTGAGGTCAGAAGTTCGAGACCAGCCTGGCCAACGTGGTGCAATCCTGTCTCTATTGAAAATACAAAAAAACTAGCTGGGTGAAGTGGTGGGTACCTGTAATCCCAGCTACTTGGGATGCTGAGGCAGAAGAATTGTTTGAACCTGGGAGGCGGAGGTTGCAGTGAGCTGAGATCTGGCCATTGCACTCCAGCCTGGGCAACAGAGCGAGACTCTGTCTCAAAAAAAAAAAAAAGCTATATATATATACACACACACACGCGCGCACACACACACACATATGTAAGATATATATATGTAAGATATATCTTATATACGTATATATGTAAAATATATATGTAAGATATATCTTATCTATATGTAAGATATATGTATATATAATATATATTATATATATGTTTTATATATATATATATATGTAAGAATATGTTGTTTTCACTGAGCATGGTGGCTCATGCCTGTAATCCCAGTGCTCTGGGAGGCTGAGGCAGATGGATTGCTTGAGGACAGGAGTTTGAGACCAGCCTGGCCAATGTGGCAAAACCTCATCTCTACTAAAAATATAAAAATTAGCCATGTGTTGGGGCACACGCCTGTAATCCCAGTTACTTGGGAGGCTGAGGCACGATAATTGCTTGAGTCTGGGAGGTGGAGGTTGCAGTGAGCGGCGATCACGCCACTGCACTCACATCTGGGCAACAGAGCGAGACTCCATCTCAAAAAATAATAATAATAATAAATAATAAAGAATATGTTGTTTTCTGAAAACCCTTTATCCAATAGTTTTAACATATATTTACGATATTTGCCAACATCAGTTATTGCATTGGTGTTTTTTTTTTTTTTTTGAGACGGAGTCTCACTCTGTCGCCCAGGCTGGAGTGCAGTGGCGCGATCTCGGCTCACTGTAAGCTCTGCCTCCTGGGTTCACGCCATTCTCCTGCCTCAGCCTCCTGAGTATCTGGGCCTACAGGTGCCCACCACCACCCCCGGCTAATTTTTTGTATTTTTAGTAGAGACGGGGTTTCACCGTGGTCTCAATCTCCTGATCTCGTGATCCGCCCGTCTCTGCCTCCCAAAGTGCTGGAATTACCACGCCCGTATAGCATTGGTGTTTGTAAAATGAATTATGTTTTCTAATTGCATCATTATCGGAGGTAATTATTTTGAGATTTTGCTGTCTGAAAATATGTCCTGTCCTCACAATTGATCAGCAACCTATTGTGTCTAAAATTCTAGATTGAAAATAATTTTCCTTCAGAATTTTGAAGGCATTGTTTAATAACCTTCAAGCTTCTGTTGTTATTTCTGATAAGTCTGAAAGGCATTCAAATTCTTGATCATTTGTATGTGAACTTTTTTCTCTCAGGAAGCTTGTAGGATCTTTTCTTGTGTTCAGTTTCTGAAATTTCAGTGATGTGCCTTGGTGTCTCTTTTTATTCATTATGGTAGGCACTTGTTGGGCCTTTTTAATCTGGCAATGACCATGGCAATCTGGCATGATTATCAGATTAAAATTTTTGCCCTTTGTTTTGTTCTTGCTTTTGGGAGCTTCTGTTACTTAGATATGGACCTTCTGAACAGGTTCTCTCATCTTCTTTTTCTCTCCTGTTGTTCATCACTTTAAATATTTTTTTTTTTTTTGAGAGACAGAGTCTCACTCAGTCACCCAGGTTGGGTACTGCAACCTCTGCCTCCCGGGTTCAAGCAGTTCTGCTGCCTCAGCCTCCCAAGTAGCTGGGATTACAGGCGTGTAGCACCACACCTGGCTAATTTTTGCATTTTTAGTATAGTTGGGGTTTCACCCTGTTGGCCAAGGCTGGTCTTGAACTCCTGACCTCAGGTGATCCTCCCACCTTGCCCTCCCAAAGTGCTAGGATTACAGGCATGAGCCACCGCACCTGGCCCTCTTTGACTTTTTATTCTGATTTGTGAAAGCTTTTCTTTAACCTTATCTTCTGAGTTGTTTCATTGCTGTGATCATATTTTTAGCTTTTAAAAATTCTTTCTTGTTAAAAAATTTTTTTTCTTTCTTTTTTTTTTTTTTTTTTACGTAAGTAGGGATGGCGTTATGCTTTGTTGCTCAGGCTGGTCTGGAACTCCTGGACTCAAGCGACCCTCCTGCCTCAGCCTTCCAAAGTGTTGGGATTACAGGTGCGAGCCGCCGCACCTGGCCTAAAATAGTTATTTTAAAAATATTTCAGACCAGCTGTTGTGACTCACACCTGCAGTCCTAACATTTTGGGAAGTTGAGGCTGGAGGATCGCTTGAGCAGGAGGTTGAGATCAGCCTGGGCAACATAACAAAACCCCGTCTCCACAAAAATCACAAAAAAGCTAGCTGGGTGTGGTAGTGTGTGCGTAGTCCCAGCTACTCAGGAGGCTGAGGTAGGAGGATCACTTGAGCCCTTGTATTAGTCTGTTTTCACACTGCTGATAAAGACATACTCGAGACTGGACAATTTACAAAAGAAAGAGGTTTAATGCACTTACTGTGCTATATGGCCAGGGAGACCTCACAATCATGGCGGAAGGCAAGGAGGAGCACGTCATGTTTTACATGGATGGAAGCAGGCAGAGAGAGAGCTTGTGCAGGGAAACTCCTGTTTTTAAAACCATCAGAACTCGTGAGACTTATTCACTAACACGAGAACAGCATGGGAAAGACCCACCCCCAGGATTCGATTACCTCCCACCAGGTCCCTCCCACAACACGTGGAAATTAAAGAGGAGGTTTGGGTGGGGACACAGCCAGACCATATCATTCAGCCGCTGGCCCTTCCCAGATCTCATGTTCTCACATTTCAAAACCAGTCATGCCTTCCCAACAGTCCCTCAAAGTCTTAACTCATTTCAGCATTAACTCAGAAGTCCACAGTCCAGAGTCTCATCTGAGACAAGGCAAGTCCCTTCTGCCTATGAGCCTGTAAAATCAAAAGCAAGTTATTTACTTCCTAGATACAATGGAAATACAGGCATTGGGTAAATGTAGCCATTCCAAATGGGAGAAATTGTCCAAAACAAAGGGGCTACAGGCTCCATGCAATTCCATAATCTAGCAGGGCAATCAAATCTTTTTTTTTTTTTAGATGGAGTCTTGCTCTGTCGCCTAGGCTGGAGTGCAGTGGTGTGATCTCGGCTCACTGCAAGCTCCACCTTTCAGGTTCACGCCATTCTCCTGCCTCAGCCTCCTGAGTAGCTGAGACTACAGGCGCCCGCCACCACGCCCGGCTAATTTTTTTGTATTTTTAGTAGAGACTGGGTTTCACCGTGTTAGCCAGGATGGTCTCGATCTCCTGACCTCGTGATTTACCTGCCTTGGCCTCCCAAAGTGCTGGGATTACAGGAGTGAGCCACCACGCCTGGTCTCAATAGATATTTTTTCTTATCGTTTCCCTCCCATCTGCTACCCTCAAGTAGGCAATTGTTAATATCTTACATAGCCATAATACTTTTTTTTTTTTTTTTTGAGAGAGAGTCTTGCTCTGTTGGTCAGGCTGGAGTGCAGTGGCATGATCTCGGCTCACTGCAACCTCCGCCTCCTGGGTTCAAGTGATTCTCCTGCCTCAGCCTCCCAAGTAGCTGAGATTACAGGTGCATGCCTCCATGCCCGGCTAACCATAATACTTTAGTCAAAACTATGAAATTAACATTGGTACAATAGTAACTAAACTATAAAACTGTATTTCCTGGGTTTTTTTTCCTCTAGAGATAGGGTCCCTCTCTGTCGCCCAGGCCAGAGTGCAGGGGCTCCATTATAGCTCATTGTAATGTGAAACTCCTAACCTCAAGTGATCCTCCTGCCTAAGCTTCCCAAAGTGTTGAGATTACAGGCATGAGCCACCATGCTGGCCTTCTGTAGCTTTTCTTTTTTAGTGATGTGTTTTTCTATTCCAGTATTTAATGTAGGATACCACATTGTATTTAGTGGTCATGTCTCATTAATCTCCCCTGATCTGTGATAGTTTCTTAGTCTTTCCATTTTTGTAATGGCTTGATGATTTTGAATAGTACTCATCAAGTATTTTATAGAATGTCCCTCAATTCAAATTTGTCTGATATTTTCTCATGATTAAACTAGGGTTATGGGTTTTTTGGGAAAATACCGCAGAGGTGAAGTTGCTTTCCCCTCCCCTCGACCCCTGTAGTTTTTAATGGTTTCTTGTTCCCTGTAATCTCTTTTCTTCAAGTTGCATTTTTTTAATCTACAGGTAGTTATTTGTTTTTAGTCTTTCATGTTGAAGTTTTTCTCAGACATCTGGTAATCTTTATTGTCTGTTTATATTTAAGAGGAAGTGTTGAAAGCTGATTAGAGGTGGTTAGCTTACTACAGTGTAATCTGGTTGGGCAACTCAATTAGGGACGTTGATGTTAGTAACTTTAGTTATTTTTCTCTCCTTGAGCTGGTCAGATTCTCCGAAGAAGGATCCTCTAGGCTGGGCACGGTGGCTCACACCTATAATCCCAGCACTTTGGGAGGCCGAGGCAGGTGGATCACGAGGTCAGGAGTTCGAGGCCAGCCTGGCCAATATGGTGAGACCCCGTCTCTGCTAAAAATACAAAAATCAGCCGGGAATGGTGGTGCGGGCCTGTAGTCCCAGCTACTCGGGAGGCTGAGGCAGAAGAATCTCTTGAACCTGGGAGGCAGAGGTTGTGGTGAGCCGAGATCATGCCACTGGACTCCAGCCTGGGCAAGAAGGATCCTCTAATCTCTCTCCGGGAAGGTGACGATTAGGGAAAGAGGACCGGAAAATCTTACTCAATATATTGACTTAATTTATTTATTTTCAGTATTGTACCCTGCCCCTTACTGTTGCTGGTATCCCCCAATCTAGAAACCCTCTGTTTAACCCTCTCTAGAGAATAAACCTAAAGTCTCAGGATGGTAGAGCAGCAGGCACCTGACTTCACTAGTTGGGGAGAAAATGTAATGATCTGAAGCTTCGGAAACAATTTCAACCAATCCTCCTTATTTTCTTTAGCTCTCTTTCACCTCCACTTTCTGAACATTTTGGGGAACGTATGACATAAATTGTGTTGATCGTAAGTTTACCACAGTTGGGCTATGATTCAGTTTTCTTGGGCTTGCCTAGTCATTTATTGCTCTTCTGTCTGCTTTCCAAGAAAATTGTCTTGTTGTCTACCCAGACTTTTTAATTTCTTTTTTGGTCTTTTTGTGGGTTATGCCTTTTTAGTTTATTTATTTATTTATTTTTATTTATTTTTTTGAGAAGGAGTCTCGCTCTGTCACCCAGGCTGGAATGCAATGGCATGATCTCAGCTCATTGCAGCCTCTGCCTCCTGGGTTCAAGTGATTCTCCTGCCTCAGCCTCCCAGGTAGCTGGGATTATAGGTGCACACCACCACGCCCCGCTAATTTTTGTGTTTTTAGTAGAGACTGGGTTTCACCATGTTGGCCAGGCTGGTCTCGAACTCCTGACCTCAAGCAATCAGCCTGTCTCATCCTCCCAAAGTGCTGTGATTACAGGTGTGAGCTGCCATGCCCGGCCCAACCCACTGTCTTCAGACAGTTTTCGCCATGGTGTCCAGGCTGGTCTCAAACTCCTGGGCTCAAGCCATCCTCTTGCCTCAGCCTCCCAGAATGCTGGGATTACAGGTGTGAACCACCACACCTGGCCTAGAGGTTTTTTTTTCTTTTTAAAAAAATTTTTAAATTTCTTTTTTATTTTTTATCTTTTTATTTTTTTGTTTATATTTTTTGTGTTTTCAGAGATTATTATACTACTGTAATTGTATATTTAGGTGTCAATAGCCACTTAGCTAGGGACAAATCTTATTTATCTTTGAATAATCAGCATCTGTTTCACTATTTGGAACACAAGTTCTTGTTATTTTAAAATTTAAAACTTGTGGTAAATTAAAATAGTTTTTAAAATAAAATTTTCTGTAATCCTTTTATGAATCACTGAATTAATAACCAAAATCCATTAAAAAATAAATGACAAAGTGAACAAGGCAAATTCACTTATTGTCTTTGAAAACTTTTTTTTTTTTTTTTTTTGAGACAGAGTCTCACTCTGTCACCCAGGCTGGAGTACAATGGTACAATCTTGGCTCACTGCAACCTCTGCCTTCTAGGTTCAAGCAGTTCTCTGCCTCAGCCTCCCAAGTAGCTGGGATTACAGGCACCCGCCACCAGGCCTGGCTAATTTTTACATTTTTAGTAGAGATGGGGTTTCACCATCTTGACCAGGCTGGTCTTGAACTCCTGACCTCGTGATCCACCTGCCTTGGCCTCCCAAAGTGCTGGGATTACAGGCATGAGCCACTGCACCCGGCCTCTTTGAAAACATTTAAGTGAACTTACTATGACTTGAGAGGCAAGGACATGTTGTAAAAGCTTGGATACTTTTATCAGTGGCTATGAAAACTAATTGCTGCCTCTTTATTAGAATTGCATGGAAAATACAGTGTAATTTGAGTTCAAGGAGAATATGCTAACTAAATTTGGTAAAATCTGTTGTATTTATTTAGAAAAATATCTCTGGGCCGGCCACAGTGGCTCACGCCTGTAATCCCAGCACTTTGGGAGGCTGAGGCAGGTGGATCACCTGATATCAGGAGTTTGAGACCAGCCTGGCCAACATGGTGAAACGCCGTCTCTACTAAAAATACAAAAATCAGCCAGGTGTGGTGGCATGCATCTGTAATCCCAGCTACTCGGAAGGCTGAGGCAGGAGAATAGCTTGAACTCGGGAGGCAGAGGTTGCATTGAGCTGAGATCGTGCCACTGCACTCCAGCCTGGGTGACAGATTGAGACTCCGTCTCAATAAAAAGAAAAAAAAAATTTCTGAATGAAATGCAGGCTGACTTTTTTTGTTTTTGTTTTTGTTTTTGAGACAAAGTCTCATTCTGTTGGCCAGGCTGGAGTACAGTGGCACTTCAGCCTCAACCTTCTGGGCTCAAGTGATCCTCCCACTTCAGCCTCCCAAGTAGCTGGGACCATGGGCATGTGCTACCACATCCAGCTTTTTTTTTTTTGGTAGAGATGGGGTTTCGTCATATTGCCCAGGCTGGCCTTGAACTCCTGGACTCAAGGGATTCTCCCACCTCAGCCTCCCAAATGGCTGAGATTACAGGCATGAGCCACCACTCCTGGCCCAGGCTGACTCTTAAATACATTAGCTGTAATTAGCTTTACCACATTTTCAGGAACATAAGGCACAGTTTGGGAGCCTTCCGCAAAAATTTTCAAGAGTCTCCAAATAAAAGCTGAATAATACATTATATGTATAGTGTATATATAGGATATATATATGTATTTAAAATACATATATATTTAAAAATATGTGTGTGTGTGTGTATATATATATATATATATATTTTTTTTTTTTTTTTTTTTTTTTTTTTTGAGAGACAGTCTTACTTTGTCCACAGCCTGGAGCGCAGTGGTGCATTCTTGGCTCACTGCAACGTCCGCTTCCTGGGTTCAAGCTATTCTCCTTCCTCAGCCTCCCCAGTAGCTGGGATTACAGGTGTCTGCCACCATGCCTGGCTAATTTTTGTAGTTTTAGTAGAGGCGGGGTTTCACCATGTTGGCCAGCTGTTCTCGAACTCCGAACCTTAAGTGATCTGCCCGTCTTCATCTCCCAAAGTGCTGGGATTACAGGTGTGAGCCACTGCGCCTGGCCACATGATATATTTTTTAAATAAAAGAGAATTTGGCATTGTCAACAATTTTATATAATGAAGAAAATAATTTTTATTTGAGTAGGCAGACTGGATCTGGAAAAAGGCCTTGTTTCAGAACTAAGACAGCAATTATATGAGCCTTCCCCAAAGGTCAGCTTCTTTTTTAGTCCTCTTTCTGGAGAAAGAGGTCTTAACCTAATTCAGGGCAGGAGTTTAGGAATCCCAAACCTGTATGGAATGAAAATTTTGTATGAGGGTACATTTTTGTCAAGAAAAGGTCCATAGCTTTCATCAAATTTCCAACAGTTGAGACACTTTTAAGAATCGTTGGTTTATGTACTTAACTGGCTGTCTTTGCTGTCTAGTGAGGTTATAAAGTGGAGGGGGTGAGGGAGTAAGGATTAGTTGTGGCTTTAAGGCTTTTTTTTTTTTTTTGAGACAGAGTCTTGCTCTGCTGCCCAGGCTACAGTGCAGTGGGGTGATCTTGGCTCACTGCAACCTCCGCCTCTCGGGTTCAAGCGATTCTCCTGCCTCAGCCTCCTGAGTAGCTGGGATTACAGGCACACACCACCACACCTGGCTAATTTTTGTATGTTTAGTAAAGACGAGGTTTCACCATGTTGGCCCAGCTGGTTTTGACTCCTGATCTCAGGTGATCTGCCCATCTTGGCCTCCCAAAGTGCTGGGATTACAGGTGTGAGCCACCACATCTGGCCGCTTTAAGACTTTTTTTGACATACCTCATAATAAAATGTCATTTACATCATGACCTATATATAACTGAAACAAAAATTTACAAAACTATGGATACTGTCATAAACTATGGTATATCTTAACATTTTCTATCTTATTTCATTTTCAAAATATTGGTTATAACTTGCTAAATTGATTTCTTAATGTTTTGCTGGGTGGTAACCCATAATTTGAAAAACACTGGCCTATTGCATTATAGTTTACAAAATCCTTTCATATATTCTTAGTTTTCACAGCAGTCCCATGAGGTACATATGACCTTCTTTAAACTTAATTAAATTCGTTAATTTATTTATTTTTGAGATGGGGGTCTTGCTATGTTGCCCAGGCTGGAGTGCATTGGCTTTTCACAGGTGTGGTCATAGCACATTGCAGCCTCCAGCTCCTGGACTCTAGCACACCTCTGCCTCAGCCTCCCAAGTAGCTGGGACTGTAGGTGCACACTACTGCCCAGAAGACTTTCTTTTTTATTTTTACAGATGAGGAGGCTTGTCTGTATGATATACAGAGACGTTAAGTGACCTTCAAGTCTGCAGTCACTTGCAATATTTGACAGTCAGAGTTTGAGCTTGATTGGTCCTAGGTTTTAACTCCACTTTCACTGCATCTTTGGTTACATGATCCAAACTTTTTCCTTCCTCTTCTCAGTTGTAGGGAATAATACTAGCTCAGACTGCATAACTGGATAAATCCTAATATTCCTAAATGTTGTCCCTTGTCATTTAGGGGTCCTCTCGGAAGTTTTAGATTTCCCTACCAGTGTAATAGGTTCTTTCCTTTTGTTTCTTCTCTGCCCTTAACGAGTGGTTCTCAAGCGTGTATTTCCATCAGTGTCAATTAACTGTGGAACTTAAAGTTGATATCCCTGGGTCTCCAGCTGCAATTCTGATTCAGCAGATCTAGGGTGGTGTTTAGACTTTGTAAAATTTTTAAAAGCTCCGCAGGTGATTCTTAAACATAATCAGAGTTGAGAATTTCTACCCTAGATAGATTTAAATTGTCAGGCTTAAGAAGGAAACCGAGGATTTGGGGAGTTGCTAGAGACTGTTTGATCCCTTACAGTTTAGGGACTTAGTATAATGGGCACTCTGTCTTCCACCTGGCTCCCAATCTTTGTGTGTAGGTGTAACCGCTTGTAAACATAATCAGAGCTTAAGTGAATTGTAGAGAATCTAGTGGTTCTCTTCTCCCCACTGCCTCTTTTTTGATGAAATATTAGAAATGAAAATTTTGAAATGTATTCATGGAGTATACAATTGGAAAAGCCACCTTGTGAAATGGTAAGCTTGTTCTATTGTTTAATATTTTCTTAAACAATAGTCTTTATGTAATGTGTTTGATTTACAGAATTGAACAAATAATAAACTGCTAAACTTTGTGCTTTAAGTTAAATAATAGATTTGACCAGTAAAATAGATACTTCATATATTATTACCTTTGTATTATGCTGAGCAAAACAGGAATTGACAAAAGTTTGTTTCTTAAAAAAAAAAACCTTAAAATCTTTCTCTCTTTTTCTCTCTAGGTCTTTCTGGAAGTGGATATCTACTCAGACAGTAAGAATTATAAGAGGTCAGTTACAAATAATACTCCTTGTTTACAATGTGATAAAAATTTTGTTCATGTTGTAAAATATCAAACTGTAGGCTTTTGTGTTAAAAGTTGACTTCCACAAAATAATATAGGCAGATTTAGGGTGGATAACCTGAAGTGAACAAAGAGTCTAACAATGGTACTCAACTGTATTCTCTCTTTAATTCAGGACTAGAATCAGTGGAAATGGGACAGGCTGTGGAGTAGCTTCTAGAGTGTCTGGACAGCTACTCAGTAATTTTCCATACATGACCTCTCTTTTCTGTTGGTTTGTAGGCTCGTGCCTGGGAAATACTATTCAGTACAGTTGCTGGACAGGCTTTTTAGCTGTTCACACTGAGTTGCCTCCAATCTATGTAACCGTTTAGTGAAAGCTGCCTTCATGGTCTTCTTAGCTAGGAACTTGAAGTTGGCCTTATTGAGACTCTCACTTATTAGCCCAGGAACCGTGTTTTATTAACTCTCTTTTTCTTCTCCCATGGAGTCAAAGAATTGTGCCTTGTGGATTTTCTCTTTTGTGTGTGGTCATCTAACTTCAGTCAGACTGCAAGCTAGAATCTGCACCTGAGTGCCTTGCTTTCTTACTTTGTGAAGAAGGCACCCATTATCTTCTGTTAGTTGGGATGGGATTTTATTTTTTGGATCTACTGTTACTTTTAAACTTAACTATTTACTGCTGTAAATGTGAAAGAAATAGGCTTTTTGCTGCTGTAACTTTTGGTGTTCTTCAGTGTGGTCAGTCTGTTGGAACTTTCCCTTCCCTCCCCCTTTCTTTCTTTTTCCCTCCCTTTTACCCCTTTTCCCTCCCTTTTCCCCTTTTCCCTCCCTCTCTGCCTTTTTTCTTCCTTTTTTTTTTTCTTTTGAGACGGAGGGAGTCTCTGTCACCCAGGCTAGAGTGCAGTGGCGCAATCTCGGCACACTGCAACCTCTGCCTCCTGGGTTCAAGCAATTCTCATGCCTCAGCCTCCCAAGTAGCTGGGATTACAGGTGCCCACCGCCACGCCTGGCTAATTTTTTGTATTTTTAGTAAAGTTGGGGTTTCACCATGTTGGCCAGGCTGGTCTTGAACTCCTGATCTCAGGTGATCCGCTCACCTTGGCCTCCCAAAGTGCTGGGTATTACAGGCATTAGCGACTGTGCCTGGCCAAAAATAATGGGAGCCCTTTAAAGGTTTTTTGTTTTTTTTTGTTTTTTGAGACAGAGTCTCGCTCTGTCACCTCCCAGGTTCAAGCGATTCTCCTTACCTCAGCCTCCTGAGTAGCTGGGATTACAGGCATGCGCCACGCTCGGCTAATTTTTGTATTTTTAGTAGAGATGGGGTTTCACTGTGTTGGCCAGGCTGGTCTCAAACTCCTGACCTCAGGTGATCTACCTGCCTCGGCCTCCCAAAGTGCTGGGATTACAGGCATGAGCCACTGTGCCTGGCCTGTATTTTTAGTAGAGATGGGGTTTCCCCATGTTGGGCAGGCTGATCTTGAACTTTTTTTAAGACCTAATATTTCAAGGGAGAAATGTATAGTAAATTTAGACAGCAAATTTTTTTTGTTGCATGATACTTTTTTTTTTTTTTTTTTTGAGACGGAGTCTCGCTCTGTCACCAGGCTGGAGTGCAGTGGTGATCTTGGCTCATGTTGCATCATACTTTTATATTTGATTCTAGTTTTGTTTTATTTTATTTTATTTTATTTTATTTTATTTTATTTTTGAGACGGAGTCTCACTCTGTTGCCCAGGCTGGAGTGCAGTGGCGTGATCTCTGCTCACTGCAAGCTCCGCCCCCTGGGTTCACGCCATACTCCTGCCTCAGCCTCTCGAGTAGCTGGGACTACAGGTGCCCGCCACTACGCCCGGCTAATTTTTTGTATATTTATTAGAGATGGGGTTTCACCATGTTAGCCAGGATGGTCTTGATCTCCTGACCTTGTGATCCACCTACCTTGGCCTCCCAAAGTGCTGGGATTACAGGCGTGAGCCACTGCGCCCAGCTGATTCTAGTTTTAAAGATAGAAGTTAGCTAAAGTAATCTCCAGTTCACTTTCAGAAAATGTTAGGCTGGGCTCAGTGGCTCACACTGATAATCCCAACCGTTTGGGAGGCCAAGGTGGGAGGATCACTTGAGCTCAGGAGTTTGAGACTAGGCTGGGCAACATGTGGAGATGCTGTCTGTACAAAAAAACAAAAAGTAGCCAGGCATAGTGATGCATGCCTGTAGTCCCAGCTATTTTGGAGGTTGAGGTTGGAGGATGCTTGAGCCCAGGAGTTTGAGGCTGCAGTGAACGAGGATCGTGCCACTGCACTCTAGCCTGAGTGACAGAGCAAGACCCTGCCTCTAAAAAAAAGGGAAATGTCTATAGTTTTCTTTACTTTTCTTTTTTTTTTTTTTTTTTGAGACAGGGTCCTGCTCTGTCACCAAGGCTGGAGTACAGTGGTGCTATCACAGCATACTGCAGTCTTGAACTCCTGGGCTCAAACGATTCTCCCACCTCAGCCTCCCCAGTAGCTGGGACTACAGGTGCATGCCACCACATGCAGCTAATTAAAAAAAATTTTTTTTTAGGGATGGGATCTCACTATAGTGCCCAGGCTGGTATAGGTTTTCTTTAGTTTTGTTTTAGCAGTCTTGCCAATTTGTTAATTACTGTTTTATTCTTGTACCACAGTGATTCTCAACCTTTAGGGCTTGTGAAAGCATAGATGAATGGATGCTGGCCTGTAGGTTCTGATATGGTTAGTTGGTCTGGGGAAGGGCCCAAGAAATTTGCACTTCTAACAAGTTCCCAGGTGATGCCAATGGTCCAGGGACCACACTTTGAGAACCACACTACTCTAGCATTTATAAATGCTGTTTGTCTCTGTAAGTGAGTAAACTGACTCACAAATTACACCAGAACAATCGTGCATATGTAATTTTCACATGTTGAGTGGTGATTCCCAAACATTTTAAAGTATTGACGGTTTCTCATCTGATGTCAAGGAACACTGTTGTCCACTTACTTTCATACTTTACAGTGAGTTATAGCATACAGAGTTATTAATAATACATTTATTATCTATTAATGTACCATATCTTAGAGCACTTCAAAATCACAATTGGGAATTATTATTTTTCTATTTTTATTTTTGCAGTTGCAAGATTTAATAGAGTGAAGACAGAGCTCCCATACAAAGGGAGGGGACCCAAAGAGGGTAGCTGTAGCTGGCTCGAATGCCTGGGTTTATATCCCGATCATTGTCCCTCCTGCTGTGCTGTCAGGCAACAGATGATTGGCTATTTCTTTATCTCCTGTTTTTGCCTAATTAGCATTTTAGTGAGCTCTCTTTAGTATCTGATTGGTTGGGCGTGAGCTAAGTTGCAAGCCCGGTGTTTAAAGGTGGAAGCGGTCACCTTCCCAGCTAGTCTTAGGGATTCTTAGTTGGTCTAGGAAATCTAGTTATTCCTGTCTCTCAGTCCCCCCTCTCAACAGGAAAACCCAACTGCTGTTGGGGAGGTTGGCCAACAACCACTCTAACTGCTTCCTGCTGAATTGGGGCGTAGTAGAGGTTGTGCAGTTGAGATTTCCTCGGGAGGGGTGCCTTTGATGTCATTAACATCAGAGCATGGGCTAGCAGGCCGGTCCAGGGGTCCGTGGTAGATTTTACTCATGGACTGCATCTGGGGATCCATTTGAAGAACGATTTGTAGTTTTACTGCTTCGATTCTGGAAAAGACAAACTTAACAAGGAGGTTAAAGATACAGGGTCCAAAGAGGAGTAACAATATTATAGCTGCTAGAGGTCCTAAGAAGGGGAGAATCCAGGGCATCCATTGGCTGAGGAGGCCCCAGGGTCCAGTGTTTTGCAGCTCCTTTGCTCTACGTTATATTCGACCTTGAATTTCTTTAACTTTCTCGGTGATGATTCCGGATTGATTAACATAACAACAGCATTTTTCCTCTAAAAATAAAAAGGTTCCCCCGCTTTCCGCGGTTAGCAAGTCTAAAGCTCTTCGATTTTGAAGGACTACTGCTGCTAGGGAGTTAAGTTGATCTTGCAAGGTGACCAGGGTATCAGCGACCCATTCCATGTCACCATTTAGTTCTTGAGACAGTTTGTAGTAGAACTGAGTAGAGGTTGTGATACCGCCAATGCCAGTAGCTACTCCGCCTAGCACTCCTGCTCCAATAACAAAAGGAAGAATGGGTACTCTTTTGTTGCGGGGCTTAGGTATGACATGATTGTATAAATCTTGTTCAGTGTAGATGGGCATAGGGGCCACTAAGAATGAGAGGAAGCACACAGATTCTGAAGAGCCATTCAAACAATGATAGGCTGAGGTACCACAGACAAAAAATATTCCTGAGGGTAGGCAGACTATTCGTGTGGGAGGAGTTACCCACCTGATGCATTGGGAGTTGGTTGTGTCTATAGTATTGCTAAATTTTACACAGGTGAGGTTTGAGGTATGGGTTATTTCCAGATTGGAAAGAGGACCTACTAAAACAGAAGTGGTGTTTATTTCTGTGCTGAAGTTGTTCCATTGTTCAGGTATAGGGATTGAAATGTGTGGCCTAAAGTGCAGGGGGAGGCACATCCAACAGTTAGTAGGGTTTTGGGCCGAGACCTCATGGAGCCCAGTCAGGGTGGTATTAAATAGGCTTACCAGGCCAGTATGGGTATGGAGGGTTTCATGTAGTTTTGAGAGATCTAGTCCTTTGTAGGGGCCAGGGGTGCTATGTACCCAGGTCAGTTGGGAGATTACTTCCTTTATGTGTTTTTCTGTTGCCTGATCTTGAACTCCACCCCCATCAGACATACTGGTATGAGTGAAGTGAGTCCTCCAAGTCCTCCAGGACAACTGGGATTAATCGTTTTTCCTGTCCAATAATGAGTATTTGCATGCATGCAAAGAGTGGCAGAGTTATAGCAGTTGTGGGGCATATGGGTGTGGGCAGTGAAGGTGGGGGTTCCCTTAGATAAACTCCTATACAATGGGGCATCAATATTTCCGGGACGCTGCATTCTCCATAGAAACTCTTGCTAAGGGGAGCTACTGGCATGGACGGGGCATGGACGGGGTGCAGTGGCATGGACGGGGTGCAGTGAGAGTGAAAGGGGGTAAGAGAACAGTAAAGAGAAAAATATGATAAGGGAGGGCCAGGGGATTTACGATTTTAGTTACTTTCCCCCTGGTTGTCATTTGAAGAGCAGGCGCAGATCCTCTAGAGGTTCACAGGAATAGCTAGCATTGTCTCATGGATTTTTGAGTTCCTTTGGCAGTATCCAGGGTTTGACTTGAGTGTGATGTATCCAAGACTCCGCTCCAGCCACTTTAACTGCCGTTAGGGTAGATAAAATGGCTGGGTAGTTTCCTTCCCAGGATGTATCTAGGGATGGGGAATTAGAGGGAAGGGACTTGACTAATACCATGTCACCAGGGTGGAATAGTTCCTTTCCCTCTTCTTGGGGACAGGCTCCCTGTAATGTTTTAAGAACCTGTTGATATTTGGCTAAGGAGATGATGTCTGCAACTAAGTTGGCTGTCTCTCGGTCAAGCCCAAGTTCATTGGTTAGGAAGGGCCGTCCATACAGCATTTTGTATGGACTAAGTCCTGCTTTTTGGGGAGAGTTTCGGATTCTTAGTAAGGCTATAGGCAACAGAGCAGGCCATGCGAGGTGGGTTTCCTGGATTAGCTTTTTTAGATGTCATTTGAGTGTTTTGTTCATTTTCTCCACCTTTCCTGAGGACTGTGGCCTCCAGGCGCAGTGTGAGTGATATTGTATACCTAACACCTGGGATACTCCTTGGGTTACTGTAGCCTTGAAAGCAGGGCCATTGTCACTCTGTAAGCCTTGGGGAAGTCCGAATCTGGGAATTATTTCATGAACGTTTATTACCTCTTGGGCCTTTTCTGTCCTACAGGGGAAGGCCTCTGCCCAACCAGTGAAAGTATCTACCCAAACTAGTAGATACTGAAATCCCTGAGATTTGGGCCTATGGGTAAAATCTAGTTGCCAGTCTTCTCTTGGGTAGTGGCCTGTTCTTTGTTCTCCTGAAGGAGCTTGGCGATAAGGCAGGGGATTATTTCTTTGGCACACTTCACAGGCCCTGACTATCTGCTTGATAGTTTTGAAAAGGCCTGGTCCAGTAAATAATGATTTGGCCATCTGATGGGTGCTATCAATACCTAAGTGAAGGGTTTGGTGAAGGGTTTTAAGTAATTTCCATTGGTTAGCTGCAGGCAAAAGTATTTTTCCTTCTTTGGTGGCTAGCCATCCTGAGGGGAGGAAACTATGTCCCCGTGAGGTTCCCCATTCTATTTCTTCTTCTGAGTACTGGGGCTTGGTTTCCTGGAGGGGATTACCCCATACTAGGTGTCCTTCTATAAGCATTTCTAATGGAGGGTCCTGCCTTGCGGCTCTTTTGGCTCCAATATCTGGTTGGCGGTTCCCTTCTATTTCCCTTTCCTTTCCTTTCCTTTCTGATGACACCGGCAGTGTAAGACTGCCACCTCTTTAGGTTTCTGTACAGCCTAGAATAATCTCCTGATGGCTTCCCGATGTTTGATAGGTGTTCCTTGGAAGTTAGGAATTCCCTTTCTCTCCATATTGCTGCATGGGCATGGAGGACTAGGTAAGCATACTTAGAGTCTGTATATATATTTATCCTTTTTCCTTCTCCTAATTCTAGTGCCTGAGTGAGGGCTATGAGTTCTGCCAGCTGAGCAGTAGTTGCTGGAGTGAGGGCATTACTTTCAAGTATTCCATTATCACTGACCACTGCATACCCCACTTTTCAAAGTCCTTTTTCTACAAAGGAACTTCCATCAGTATACAAGTTGAGGTCGGGATCAGTCAAGGGAACCTCTAAAAGGTCCACAATTGGGAATTATTAATCTTTTTTTTTTTTTTTTTTTCTAGACAGAGTCTCACTCTGTCACCCAGGCTGGAGTGCAGAGGCATGATCTCAGCTCACTGCAACCTCCGCCTCCCGGGTTCAAGTGATTCTTCTGCCTCAGCCTCCCGAGTAGCTGGGATTATACACTTGTTACCACACCCAGCTAATTTTTGTATTTTTAGTAGAGACGGGGTTTCACCATGTTGGCCAGGTTGGTGTTGAACTGCTGACCTCAGGTGATCTACCCACCTCGGCCTACCAAAGTGCTGGTATTTACAGGCGTGAGCCACCGCGTCCGGCCAATCTTTTTTTTTTTTTTTTTGTACAGATGGGATCTTGTTTTGATGCTCATGCTAGTCTTGAACTCCTGGACTCAAACAATCCTCCTGCCTCTGCCTCCCAAGTTGTTAGGATTATAGGCGTGAGCCACCGCGCCCAGGCTTATTTTCTGAATTAAAATAATTGATCTGGGTACAAGCTATTTAATACTGAGTTGATCTGTAGTTTTGAAATTTTAAAATAGGATTTTTGAGATGACAGAAGAAATATTGTTTCATTTAGTTTGGGTTTTTATTGTTGTGGGCTCTTATTTTGGTTTTTAAAAAATATTTTTAAATTTTTATGGGCAGCACTTCATTCCATAAAAGAGAATGAATGTTGCTGTTTTGGTCTTTATTAATTAGTTTCTTTTTCTTTCTTTTTTTTTTTTAAATTATACTTTTAAGTTCTGGGATACATGTGCAGAACATGCAGGTTTGTTATGTAGGTAAACACGTGTCATGATGGTTTGCTGTTAATTAGTTTCTTAGTTAGCTATTGGCAGTATCTAATCCTAACTGGTAAGGCCCTACATTTAGAAAAATTATACTTACTTGAGGTGATTATAGATTTTAAATTTGGTGATAGATTCATTTTCTTCTCATATCAGTGTCAGCACATTAGAGCCAAAAGTAGTCATTTTGGGGTGACATTTTAAAATGCATAATTTAAGAAAAAACTCATGAGGACAAGTAAAGTTTTTTTTTTTTTAATTAAAAATTACCTATCTGGAGTTTGTTTTAAAAGTATACACATACGTAAAATTCATAGGCCAGGCACAGTGGCTTACACCTGTAATCCCAGCAGTTTGGGAGCCTAAGGTGAGAGGATTGCTTGAGCCCAGGAGTTCAAGACCAGCCTAGGCAACATAGGGAGTCCCCATTTCTACAAAATATTTAAAAATTAGACCGGGCACAGTGGCTCACACCCATAGTCCTAGCACTTTGAGAGGCTGAGGTGGGTGGATCATGAGATCAGGAGTTCAAGACCAGCCTAGCCAAGATAGTGAAACTCCATCTCTACTAAAAATACAAAAGTCAGCCGGGCATGGTGGTGGGTACCTGTAATCCCAGCTACTTGGGAGGCCGAGGCAGAGAATTGCTTGAACCCGGGAGGCGGAGGTTGCAGTGAGCTGAGATCGTGCCATTGCACTCCAGCCTGGGCGACAGAGTGAGACTACGTCTCAAAAAAGAAAAAAAAAATAGGCCGGGTGCGGTGGCTCACACCTGGAATCCCAGCACTTTGGGAGGCTGAGGCGGAAGGTCAGGAGATCGAGACCATCCTGGCTAACACGGTGAAACCCCATCTCTACTAAAAATACAAAAAATTAGCTGGGTGTTGTGGCGGGTGCCTGTAGTCCCAGGTACTCAGGAGGCTGAGGCAGGAGAATGACATGAACCCGGGAGGCGGAGCTTGCAGTGAGTGGCAGTCGCACCACTGCACTCCAGCCTGGGCAACAGAGCGAGACTCCGTCTCTAAATAAATAAATAAATAAATAAATAAATAAATAAATAAATGAAAAATAAAAATAGAATTAGCCGGGCATGGTGGCACGTGCCTATAGTCCCAGCTACTGGGGAGGCTGAGGTAGGAGGATCACTTGAGCCCAAAGAGTTTGAGGCTGCAGTGAACCATGATTGTAGTACTGCATGCTGTATGGGTGACAGAGTGAGACCCTGTCTCAAATAAATAAATAATAAAATAAAAGTTATAGCCTCTCAATATATAGTGTTTGAAGCCAGATGAGCATTATGTAGTTTAAATATTATTTCAAACAACCATTACTCTATCCAGACCCTTACCATTTATTCCCCCATTACTAACAACCAAAATATCAATATCACAACAAGCAGCTTTTTCCTACTGCAAAGGTTTCCCCATTGATCATAATTATTTCCTGGACACCACCAAATGAAAATGAGATTAGGAATGCCTTATAGGCTTTTGAGAAAAATTTCTTTGAGGAAAAGGGAACTGGTTTTAATTTATGGGCATAGTTATCATGATCTCAATTTTCCTCCCTTGTAGAAATTAAAGGCCCTGAAATAGAATAGCCAAGGAAGTTAGTTCTCAAATTGCCTTGCTTCCACGTCTCAGCTATGGTTTATTAGATATAACCTCTGGCTGACCTCAGATATAGATTATTATTCATAACCTGCCTTTCTCACTTTTCATTTTCTCCATAGCTGTAAGAGCTCATTTTGGAGGAATAATGGATGAACCATCTCCCTTGGCCCAACCTCTGGAGCTGAACCAGCACTCTCGATTCATAATAGGTTCTGTGTCTGAAGATAACTCAGAGGATGAGATCAGCAACCTGGTGAAGTTGGACCTACTGGAGGAGAAGGAGGGCTCCTTGTCACCTGCTTCTGTTGGCTCAGATACACTCTCTGATTTGGGGATCTCTAGCCTACAGGATGGCTTGGCCTTGCACATAAGGTAAGAGAGAGTTCAATGGTCTACTTATTTAATCTGTCTTGTTAGTTTTGCTGATTATGTTCTGAAAAGAGCAAGGATGATTTCAGCTAAGACTGCTTTGCCTTTTCCTATGTCACTGAACTCAAAGCTTTGTTGAGGAAGTCAGAAATGATGTATTTTTCAGAAATCATGTATGTTCCCATCAAATTTTTCATGTCCTACTAGGTTTTTTTTGTTTTTGTTTTTGTTTTTTGAGACGGAGTCTTGCTTTGTTGCCCAAGCTGGAGTGCAGTGGTGCGGTCTCAGCTCACTGCAACCTCCGCCTCCTGGGTTCAAGCAATTCTTCTGCCTCAGCCTCCCAAGTAGCTGGGATTACAGGCGCCTGCCACCATGCCCAGCTAATTTTTTGTGTTTTTAGTAGAGATGGAGTTTCACCATGTTGGCCAGGCTGGTCTTGAACTCCTGACCTTGTGATCCGCCCACCTCAGCTTTCCAAAATGCTGGGATTAGAGGTGTGAGCTACCCCGCCCAGCCTATTTTTTTTTTTTTTTTTTGAGATAGAGTCTCACTCTGTCGCCCAAATGGGAGTGCAGTGGTACAATCTCAGCTCACTGCAACCTCTGCCTCCCAGGTTCAAGAGATTCTCCTGCCTCAGCCTCCTGAATAGCTGGGACTACAAGTGCATGCCCTTGCGCCTAGCTGATTTCTGTTGTTTTTGATAGACACCGGGTTTCGCCATGTTGGCCAGGCTGGTCTCGAATTCCTGACCTCAAGTGATCCGCCTGCCTCAGTCTCTCAAAGTGCTGGGATTAAAGATATGAACCACTACACCTGGCCACTTCTACCTGCTAGGTCTTTCAGTGAGACCTAGTGAGTAAGAGTTAGGTTGAGGAACATCAGTTTTTGTACTACTTTGACTAACATTGTTCTAACTATCTTGATGATTGATAGGACTTCTCCAGGTGTTGTCAACTTCGTAGTAAGTTTTTTTGAACTAATTCATCAGATTGTCAGGAAGTTATATTCTGTTTCTAGCAGGGCCAGTCCCCAATAAAGGGCTGTTAATAGAGCTCTCCTTTTTCTCTAGAAACACAGTTCTCCCTAACTGAGAATGTCAGTACATAGTAACACTAGATTGTTTTTATTTATCGATGTTTGATTATATAACTAGCGTGTGAGATACTAACCTTTGGTCATTTACTTTTCAGTTCTTGGATTAAAAGGTCTGGATCAGTGGTTCTTGGTTCTCACTGTTCATCAGAATCACCTCGGGGAGCCTTGGGAGATAAGCCCCATCCCCAGAGATTTCGATTCATTTGATACTGGCTTGGTGTGGAACTGGGGCTTTTTTTTAAGGTATCCAGGTGATTGTTGTGTACAGCCAGCATTCAGATTATAGGTGTACCCTAGATAACATAAGTTAGGGTGGCTGTTGTTGCTGTTACTATCTTGGCACCTTTATTATTAATGGGTCATAAAATAATTCAGCTCTATTTTATACACTAAATATATCAACTCTATAATAAAATCCTGTATGAGATCTGGCTGGATGTGATTGTTCTGTCTTACTGTTATCCCTGGGGCTTGGGATCGGGGCTTCTGAGAGACTAGGCAGTGTTCGTTAGTGGTCACCCTCATTTAGCTATGTAGAGGTCAAAAGAAAAGTGTAAAGCAAGTTAATTATGTTTTACTTCACAGGTTCCTAGAATTGTAATAAACCAGAGAGATAATTTAGCCTAACACTTTTTATTTTATTTTATTTTAAAAAATTAATTTAAAACATTATTTAAATAGAGACAGAGGTCTTGCTATGTTGCCCAGGCTGGTCTTGAACTCCTGGCCTCAAGCGATCCTCCTATCATGGCCTGCCAAAGTGCTGGGATTACAGGCATGAGCCACCACACCTGGCCACAAAATACTTTTTGATAGTTGGGAAAACTAAGGCCCAATGAGGAGAAATAACTTGCCTAAGTTTGAATAGCCAGAGAACTTGGATTCAAACTCATATCCTGATTTTATTTCACTAACTTTTCTACTCTACTTTCCCGTCCATACAGGTGTCTTAATTATATAACTAGTTCAGACAAAGTTGGTTTTATGGAGTTAGTGAACAAAGCATTATCTCTGGGTTAAAAAGAGGAATAGAGAGCAGTATTTTAGTGGCAGGGAAAAGGGATTAGGTCTTTATGTAAACATTTTTTATTTTATAGTTCACTTAATGATTGGCTCTAAGGTTAATACTAGTGGTGGCATTCTTCTCTCTTGAGGTCATTTGGAAGTGTGTTGGGGGGTTGTGACTGGCAGGACTACTTGCATTTATCGGACAAAGGACAAAGGACCAATGATACTAAACCTTCTGTGGTATAGTAGATAATCCTACACAACCAAGAAATCTGCTACTCAAAATGTCGTAGTGCCCCTGTTGAGAAAGACTGGTTTAACTCTAAATCCATAAAACCACACAGCACCTTGAGAAATCTGTCCAGTTTGAGTCTATGTGAAACATAATATCCATTTGCTGGATTAGGAAACTGAGTTTGGCTATGGTGAGATAAATGTGTTATAAGAAACTCAGCTAGTGATATCACAAGGCAGTTTGTAGTTGCCAAGTCATTCCCAAAGTTGATGGTTCTTATGCAAAGTCTATGTGGTCAGTGGCATGAGTGTCTGGAATTTCTTTGCATGCCTTACTGTTGCAAAAATCATGTCCGTAGCTCGTGGAGGAGCCATGGATTGAAGTGTGATCAGCAGCATGGAAAGGAGACAATGCCAGTTCCAACTCACTCCTCAGCTAGCTAATGTTCTAAAATAGAAAAAACGTTTTCTGTTTATCCATTCCTTAAGTCACTTCTGGATATGGTGACCTTTGGGGTAATTTTAATTGAGTCAAATTCATTTGATAGGTGAAAGACCTCTGTTATGACATCTGCCACTAATTAGGTGTGTGACCATGGACAGTACATATTATCTCCTTGGAGTCATCTATAAAAATGAAGATATTGATTCAGATGCTCCTTTTCACTCCTGGAACTCAAAGTTAAATAGAGACTAAGTTGAGTTTAGGATCAGCTCTTAGAACGAATAGCCTAATCCTTCATGGGTGACATAGATTAAGGGGGCAGGTACATTCCTAGGAGATGTTAACTGGAGGTCATCTGAAACCAAATGAAGTAATTGCCATAATGTAAGATGGGACTGAGTCTCTCTCTCAAGTTTAGGTGCTGAGAAGTCTAGTGGTATGATGGATGAGCCCAAATAGAAAATAGACTTTTCCTGCGATGGAGATGATTTGCCCCATGTATTTTCTAGAGTCCAATGAAAGACTGGGTGAATCACTTTCTTTTTTCTTTCTTTCTTTTTTTTTTTTAGAGGGAGACTCGCTCTGTCGCCCAGGCTGGAGTGCAGTGGTACCATCTCGGCTCACTGCAACCTTCACTTCCCAGGTTCAAGCAATTCTCCTGCCTCAGCCTCCCAAGTAGCTGAGATTACAGGCACCCGCTACCATGCCCGGCTGTTTTGTATTTTTAGTAGAGACAGGGTTTCACCGTGTTGGCCAGACTGGTCTCGAACTCCTGACCTCAGGTGATCTGCCCGCCTCAGCCTCCCAAATTGCTGGGATTACAGGCGTGAGCCAGCATGCCCAGCCTTTTTTTTTTTTCTTTTGAGACGGAGTTTCGCTCTTGTTACCCAGGCTGGAGTGTAATGGTGCAATCTCCACTTACCGCAACCTCTGCCTCCCGGGTTCAAGAGATTCTCCTGCCTCAGCCTCCTGAGTAGCTGGGATTACAGGCATACGCCACCACGCCAGGCTGATTTTGTGTTTTTAGTAGAGACAGGGTTTCTCCATGTTAGGCTAGACTCGAACTCCCAACCTCAGGTGATCCACCTGCCTTGGCCTCCCAAAGTGCTGAGATTACAGGCATGAGCCTGTAATCTGTGCCTGTCAGCCTATGCCTGACCCTGGCCATTTTTTTTTTTTTTTTTTTTTGAGACAGTCTTGCTCTTTCACCCAGGCTGAATTACAGTGGTGCAATCTCAGCCCACTGCAACCTCCGCCTCCCAGGTTCAAGATATTCTTGTGCCTCAGCCTCCTGAGCAGCTAGTACTGGAGGTGTGTGCCACCATGCCCGGCTAATTTTTTTGTATTTTAGTAGAGATGGGGTTTCACCATATTGGCCAGGCTGGTCTTGAACTCCTGATCTCAGGCAATCCGCCTGCCTCAGCCTTCCAAAGTGCTAGGATTACAGGTGTGAGCCACCATGCCCAGCTGGATGAATCACTTTCTAAGCTTTATGACCCAAACATTTGAAAATAAGACCCTGGCTGGGCGTGGTGGCTCACGCCTGCAATCCCAGCACTTTAGGAAGCCAAGGTGGGTGGATCACCTGAAGTCAGCAGTTCAAGACCAGCCTGACCAACATGGAGAAACCCCATCTCTACTAAAAATACAAAATTAGCCGAGCACGATGGCACATGCCTGTAGTTCCAGCCAGTCGAGAGGCTGAGGCAGGAGAAGTGCTTGAATCCGGGGGTGCAGAGGTTGCGGTGAGCCGAGATCATGCCATTGCACTCCCGCCTGGGCAACAGAGCAAAAAAAAAAAAAAAAAAAAAAAAAAAGAAAGAAAAGAAAATAAGACCCTAAGTAAAAAGTAGTTATAGCTTGGTGGGAATATACAGACCTCATTGTAGACAACTGATTTGGCTTTTTATTTTTAGATATGATCAGCTAGAGGTTGATATATCAGCCAGGTTGATATATTTCTGGAACTCACTAGTATTCAATTGAACATTTAAGAAGAAAGGCTGAATGTGGACTTTTTTTTTTTTTTTGAGACTGAGTTTCACTCTTGTTGTACAGGCTGGAGTGCAATGGCGCGATCTTGGCTCACTGCAACCTCTGCTTCCTGGTTTCAAGCAATTCTCCTCCCTTAGCCTCCCAAGTAGCTGCGATTACAGGTGCTCTCCACCATGCCGCACTAATTTTTTTTTTTTTTTTTGAGAGGGAGTCTCGCTCTGTCCCCAGGCTAGAGTGCAGTGGCGCCATCTTGGCTCACTGCAACCTCCGCCTCCTGGGTTCAAGCGATTCTCCTGCCTCAGCCCCCTGAGTAGCTGGGATTAGAGGTGCGCGCCACCATGCCCGGCTAATTTTTGTATTTTTAGCAGAGACAGGGTTTCACCGTGTTCGTCAGGCAGGTCTCGAACTCCTGACCTTGTGATCTGCCTGCCTCAGCCTCCCAAAGTGCTGGGTTACAGGTGTGAGCCACTGTGCCCAGCCCACCATGCCTGGCTAATTTTTTGTATTTTATTTTATTTTACTTATTTATTCATTTATTTTTTTAATTTAATTTTTTTTTTTTTTTTGAGTTGGAGTTTCACTGTTGTTCCCCAGGCTGGAGTGCAATGGTGCCATCTCGGCTCACCACAACCTCCGCCTCCCGGGTTCAAGCAATTCTCCTGCCTCAGCCTCTCGAGTAGCTGGGACTACAGGTATGCGCCACCATGCCTGGCAAATTTTTTTTTTTTTTTGAGATGGAGTTTCACTCTTGTTGCCCAGGCTGGAGTGCAGTGGCATGATCTCAGCTCACTGCAACCTCTGCCTCCCGGGTTCAAGTGATTCTCCTGCCTCAGCCTCCCAAGTAGCTGGGATTACAGGCGTGTGCCACCATGCCTGGCTAATTTTGTATTTTTTAGTAGAGATGGGGTTTCTCCATGTTGGTCAGGCTGGTCTCAAACTCCCGACCTCACGTGATCCGCCCGCCTCAGCCTCCCAAAGTGCTGGGAGTATGGGTGGGCGTGAGCCACCACACCTGGCTTATTTATTAATTTTTTTGAGACAGAGTTTCGCTCTTGTTGCCCAGGCCAGAGTGCAGTGGCGCAATCTCGGCTCACTGCAACTTCCGCCTCCCAGGTTCATGTGATTCTCCTGCCTCAGCCTCCCCAGTAGCTGGGACTACAGGCATGCGCCACCACGTCTGGCTAATTTTGTATTTGTAGTAGAGATGGGGTTTCTCCATGTAGGTCAGGCTGGTCTTGAATTCCCGACCTCAGGTGATCTGCCCACCTCGGCCTCCCAAAGTGCTGAGATTACAGGTGTGAGCCACTGTGCCCAGCTAATTTTTTGCATTTTTAGTAGAGATGGGGTTTCACCATGTTGGCCAGGCTGGTCTTGAACCCCTGACCTCAGGTGATCCACCCGCCTTGGCCTCCCAAAGTGCTGGGATTACAGGCGCCCGGCCAGTGGACATCTTAATTTTGATAACCAGTGTATGATTTGGTGGCATATAACAGAGCCATCTAGTTGTATGGATATTGGCAGTTTCTCTGCTCCTATGGGATGTCACTTGAGGTCAGATCGTTTTGCATACTTAAAATTCACCGCATGCTATCAACCAAATAGAACTGTAAACAGTTTGTCAACTAATAAGCTGAATTTCTGGTTGAAGTACAGTTGGAACAGGTTATCTCCACATTTGGGTCTTTTACCTCTTAGCATAGTGTGATTTCTTTCCTCTTTTTTAAAAATCCACCTCCTTCCTCTCTAGCATAGTGTGATTTCTTTAAATCTTTTTTATCCTATGCTAAATGTATGGGTTTTTTGTTTGTTTGTTTGGTCTCACTCTGTCACCCAGGCTGAAGTGTTCAGTGGCGCAATCATAGCTCACTAACTTCCAACTCCTGGGCTCAAACAATCCTCCTGCTTCAGCCTCCTGAGTAGTGGAGATTATAGGTGTGCACCACCGTGCTGAGCTAATTTTTAAAATTTTTTTAGAGATGGGGTCTTGCTATGTTGCCCTGGTTGGTCTTGAATTCCTGGCCTCAAGTGATTGTCTGGCCTTGGCCTTCCCAAGTGCTGGGATGACAGGTGTGAGCTACCTTGCCCAGTGTATACTTCATGTTATAGTGAAACAGGAGAGTTCCCTCATCTCCCTTGCAGGATGTACCACAGGGATGTGTCTTGCTTGCTCCTTCGGTTGCCCCACTGCTCAAACCCCTAAGGGGAGGATGCAGATGGGCAGGTGCAACAGCCATGGGAAGCACTTTTGGGCTCCAGCCCCACGGCACCATCTTGGGGTGGTGTCTGCGACTCTGAAAGCCCAAGTGAGCATGTGTTACAGTGTGCTCTTTCAGCTTTGCTGTCTGCAGACAGCTTGTGTTAACCAGCTCAATAGACCATCTGCCTTATTGCAAGGGCAGAGGGCCAGTGTGACAGCTTTCTGTATCCTGAGCTCTTGCCCAGTGTACCAGAAAAATTGGATCACATGTGGGCTCGAAGGATGAGTGCAAGGTTTTATTGAGTGGTGGAAGTGGCTCTCAGCGACATGGATGGGGAGCTGGAAGGAGGGGCTGGAGTAGGGAGGTGGTCTTCCCCAGGAATCAGGGCTCCTGGAGGCCGGACTCTTCTCTGACGGCCCCGAGTTGAATTCCCCTCGGTGTCCAGACGTCCCTCCTCTCTTTCTCTGCCTTGTCGTTCCACCATTGCAAGTCTGCTGGCCTGCTGGTGTCTGCTGGTCTGTTCCTCTGCTCCTCTTGATGTTCAATCACTTGTGTCTGTGCCTGCTGTGGTCTCGGGTTTATTTGGGCACAGGATTGGGGGTGTTGCAGGCCAGAGTGGTCTTGGAAAATGAAGCATTTGGATGCAAAAACAGGCATGCCTGTTCTCACTTAGGTCCATAGGTACAGGTCAAAGGTGGAGCCCTTGACAGGGACTCTGCCCTTCTCTACCCAGCACTTCCCTGTCCCCTTCCCATATCAATAGTATTTGAAACTTGATCTCAATTTTCTCTCATGTGTCTTAAAACATATGTTCAAGTCACTGAATGATCTTCATTTTATGGTTAACATAAAATGAAGCATGTTTGGTTAACAACTTTATCTGAGAACAATCTGTATTTGCTGTTATATGTGTATACCTAAAACCAGCGTAAGATGTCTATCACTGGGGTTCAAGACAATAGTTGTTGCTTTGGAAGGAGAAAGTATATTCACTCAGGAAGGGCTCTGAAGTTGAGTTATATTTCTATTTCTTTTCTGATCTAGAAAGAAAAGTACTTTACCAATATTTTTGAAAATTGAGAATTCAGATGAGATTGCCTGTAAAGATGTTGGACTCTTCAGAATAATTTAACTAGAAAATTTTGAGCTCTTTTGTAATTATAAATAATTTGTAAAGTTTCTCCCATGATACTAGTCATAGTATGTTAATGAGTTTGGAATAAGCTCCTAGATACCACATTTCATTTTTTTTTTTTTTTTTGAGATGGAGTCTTGCTCTGTCGCCCAGGCTGGGTGCAGTGGCACGATCTCGGCTTACTGCAACCTCCGCCTCCTGGGTTCAAGTGATTCTCCTGCCTCAGCCTCCTGAGTAGCTGGGATAACAGGTGTGCACCACCATGCCCGGCTAATTTTTGTATTTGTATTTTTTTTTAATTATTTATTTATTTATTTTTTTGAGATGGAGTCTCGCTCTGTCGCCCAGGCTGGAGGGCAGTGGCGCAATCTCGGCTCACTGCAAGCTCCGCCTCCTGGGTTCACGCCATTCTCCTGCCTCACCCTCCCCAGCAGCTGGGACTACAGGCACATGCCGCCACGCCTGGCTAATTTTTGTATTTTTAGTAGAGACGGGGTTTCTCTGTGTTAGCCAGGATGGTATCGATCTCCTGACCTCATGATCCGCCCGCCTCAGCCTCCCAAAGTGCTGAGATTACAGACGTGAGCCACCGCACCCGGCCACGTTTTGTAGTTTTAGTAGAGACACCATGTTGGTCAGGCTGGTCTTGAACTCCTGACCTCGTGATCCACCTGCCTTGGCCTCCCAAAGTGCTGGGATTACAGGTGTGAGCCACCACGCCCAGCCAGATTTCATTTTCATTCACAATTCATATAAAGCTGTGCAGACCTTTATCCTTGGGCAGTAATAGTGTCAAGGTCAGATTCTGGGAGGATCTGGGATTGACTTTCAACTTCTTCCATTGGGTCAAAAGAGAAGTTTAGAGGACAATAGTGAGAGAAGGCCTATCTATTGTTCCTACATTCTATTTTTCACATTAACTTTAGGAAATATTAGTCAAGTTTTCTCAGTGGCTAATTAGAAAAATAATGGTAATAATAGGTTACATTTAATAAGTGCTTTACTGTATGCCGGATACTCTGCTGTGCTTTATGTGGAGTACCACACTGAATTATCAAAACAATCCCATGAGGTAAGTATTGTGCTATTATTTCCCACAATTTTTTTTTTTCTTTTTTTTTTGAGATGGAGTCTCACTCTGTTGCCCAGGCTGGAGTGTGATGGCGTGATCTCGGCTCACTGCAACCTCTGCCTCCCAGGTTCAAGCAATCCTCTAGCCTCAGCCTCCCAAGTAGCTGGGATTACAGGTGCCCGCCATCATGCCTGGCTAATTTTCATATTTTTAGTAGAGACAGGGTTTCACCATATTGCTCAGGCTGGTCTCGAACCCCTGACCTCAGGTGATCCACCTGCCTCGGCTTCCCAAAGTGCTGGGATTACAGGCAGGAGCCACCGTGCCTGGCCTATTGCCCACAATTTATGGATGGGGAATTGAGACATAAATTAAATAACATGCCCAAGGTGGCCAGCTTGGGTATTGAATCTAGTCAGAGCTCGTACTATAAACTACTACACTAAACTAAAACCTTTGGTGTAACAGATATGCTTTTTTTTTTTTGAGATGAAGTCTCGCTCTGTCGCCCAGGCTGGAATACAGTGGTGTGATCTCGGCTCACTGCAACCTCTGCCTCCCAGGTTCAAGCTATTTTCCTGCCTCAGGCTCCCATGTAGCTGGGACAACAGGTGTGCGCCACCATGCCTGGCTAATTTTTGTTTTTTTAGTAGAGACAGGGTTTCGCCATGTTGGCCAGCTGGTCTCGAACTCCTGACCTCAGGTGATCTACCCACCTCAGCCTCCCAAAGTGCTAGGATTACAGGCGTGAGCCACTGCGCCCAGGCCTTATGGTCTGTTGAGCAGTTCTTCTCTAATTAAATGTTAGCCTTGTTAGAAAGGGATAGAAGTTAGAAAATATATATTTATATATACTTGAAAAATTTTTTTTACAGACAGGGTTTCTCTCTGTTGTCCAGGCTGGAGTGCAGTGGTGTGATCATGGCTCACTGTACCTTCAGACTCCTGGGCTCAAGCAATCCTCTTGCTCAGTCCCTGAGTAGTTGGGACTACAGGTATGTGCCACCATTCCCAGCTAAGTTTATTTATTTATTTATTTATTTTTTGAGATGGAGTCTCACTCTGTTGCCAAGGCTGGAGTGCAGTGGCATGATCTTGGCTCACTGCAATCTCTGCCTCCCAAGTTCAAGCAATTCTCTGCCTCAGCCTCCTGAGTAGCTGGGATTACAGGGGCCTGCCACCACCCCCAGCTAATTTTTTGTATTTTTAGTAGAGACAGGGTTTCACCATCTTGGCCAGGCTGGTTTTGAACTCCTGACATCGTGATCCACCCACCTTGGCCTCCCAAAATGCTGGGATTACAGGCGTGAGCCACAGCGCCTGGCCTAAATTTTTTTGTAGAGATGGGGTCTCACCACGTTGCCCAGGGTGGTCTTGAACTCCTGGGCTCAAGTGGTCCTCCCACTTTGACCTGTCAAAGTGCTGGGATTACAGGTGTGAGCTACCGTGCCCAGCCTAGAAAAAATATTTTTTAAATCATGCTTTATTAAAGAAGCAGAATAGAAAATAAAAAACAACACAAGCAAGCAAACATAAACGCTTGTATATTTGCCACCCAAAGGTTACTCCCTACCATCTGTATCCTTTTCTATGCATATATGTATATATTCATATTTTTTTACTAAAATGAGGTCATACTGTACACACTGTTTTATAATCTGCTTTTTTTAGTCAAAAAAATTCACTTTCTATTTCAATAAATTTTAATCTAATTTAATATACACACTCTATTCATTTCTCCAAGGAACCTGAAAATTCTGGTTCCTTCATGCAAGTATCCAATCCACAAATTGTGTATTATGTTCTTTAAATTTCTTAATCTGTCACATTCTATCACATTACCACCCCCCACCTTTTTTTATGACAGTGACTAGTGACTCGTTTAAGAGGAAGTTAGCAAATCATGAAAGTATATGATTGCTAGTGAAAATTTGGTAGCATATAGAGAAACAGAAGGAAAAATAAAGGAAGATTTACCATTCTACACTTTTTATAGTTACAGAGCAACAATTGGTATTAATTGCATTAATGATGATATTTTAATGAATTTTATAATCATTTTATGTACCATTTATGACAGAGCTTTTTAGTTTTAGCTATATATGTTTGTGTTTGACTAGGAAAGACATACAGATTCTCATTTCTTTTTAGTCTCACTTTAAACTCCTTGAGTTTGAAATGACTTTATTTAAATCTAGTGGTAGAGATAGAGTTAAGTAATAGCTATGAAACTTTTGGAATAGTAAAATGTGCCATATTGGTATAATACATTATTTATTATCAAGGAGTCCTTTTATAAGATAAAAATTTTTTACTGGAAAAACCTCTTTAAGTCTTTTGCATGTTAGTGCTTAAAACTTGGAAATTTAGGTCTGAAAGCCTTTTGATGATGGCAAATATATACTATCAATATTATAATTCAAACGTTGAGAATAACCACTATTGAAAATGCAGGAGGCCAGGCGCGGTGGCTCACGCCTGTAATCCCAGCACTTTGGGAGGCCAAGGCAGGTGGATCTCCTGAGGTGAGGAGTTCAAAACCAGCCTGGCCAACATGGCGAAACCTTGTCTCTACTAAAAATACAAACATTAGCCAGGTGGTGGCGAGCACCTGTAATCCCAACTACTTGGGAGGCTGAAGCATAAGAATTGCTTGAACCCGGGAGGTGGAGGTTGCAGTGAGCTGACAGCACGCCACTGCACTGCACTCCAGCCTGAGCAACAGAGCAAGACTCCATCTCAAAAACAGAAAAAAAGAAAAGAAAGTGCAGGAAATTTTATTCCTGCTTCCTATCTATTGGTTCATCACTATCAAGCTTTGACATGGGAAATAAGGAAATTGGCTCTGGTTTTGTTTATATTAAGGCTTTGCTTATGGATAGTTTGAGAGTGTTCTTATGTATTGACTTTCTTAGCATTTTTCATTTAGCTTTCCTGAGCTTCTTCCCTTCCCCTAATAGCTCTCCAAACTTTCTACTTTCAGTGCTCCTTCCTTGATATTCTGAGGTTCCCAGTTGCCATGGTGCCTTTGTAGTGAGTAGACAGAGAAGGTCATTATGAGATCTGCAACTTGGTACTCCTTTGCTGAGGGAACTAGTTTCCTCTTTCCATCTCCCATCCTCCCCTTCTTTCCATTCAGAAAACAGGAGCTGTCTGTGGCCATATATGTATTTTAGTCTCTGGAGTGCATTCTATAAACTTAGCTAATTGTGGAAATGAAATTATGAATGTTGTAAGTAAGGCTCGGTACAGCTGCTTGACAGTGTTTATTACTTTTATTATTTCAAGTGTAATGCATGCATTTCCCCCTCTTTTCTTTCTGTTAGCATAAATTTACAAATGAAGTTTGCATTTACTACTTTATATTGTTAAATTATTAGAAGTAATGTAGGTTTATTATTAGAAAAGTAGGAAATCCAAGAAGTTTTTTTTTCCAGATAGAGTCTTGCTGTGTCGCCCAGGCTGGAGTACAGTGGCATGATCTTGGCTCACTGCCTCCGCCTCCCGGGTTCAAGCGATTCTCGTGCCTCAGCCTACTAAGTAGCTGAGATTACAGGTGCCCGCCACTATTCCCAGCTAATTTTTGTATTTTTAGTAGAGACGGGGTTTCGCCCTGTTGCCTAGGCAGGGCCGCCTGCCTTGGCCTCCCAAAGTGCTGGGATTACAGGCGTCAGCCACCGCGCCCAGCCTCAAAAAGTATTTAAAAAAATAGAAACACTGAGGAATACAATCATTCCATAGTAATCACTATTCATATTTTATATATTTCCTTTCTGTATTTTTTACCACTTAAGGATAAATGTCATTAAAAATATACATATAGATGATATTATAATGAATATACAGCTCTGCTTTCTGCTTTTTTTCCCCATATAACAACACTTTCTCATGTCATTGCAAATCTTTTTTTCTTTTTTTTTTTTTTCTGTGACAGGGTCTCTGTCACCCAGGCTGGAGTACAGTGGCATGATCACGGCTCACTGCAGCTTCAACCTCCCTGGGCTCAAGTGATCCTCCCACGTCAGCCTCCCAAGTAGATGGGACTACAGACGTACACCACCACACCCAGCTAATTTTTGTATTTTTTGTAGAGACACGGTTTCGCCATGTTGGCCAGGCTGGTCTCGAACTCTGGACCTTAGGTGATCTACCCTCCTCGGCCTCCCAAAGTGCTGGGATTACAGACATGAGCTACCTCGCCTGGCCTGATTCTAAATTTTGGCTGTTGTGAATAGTGCTGCAGTAAATATGGAGTGCAGATATCTCTTTGATATGTTGATTTCCTTTCTTTTGGATATATACCCAGTAGTGGAATTGCTGGGTTATATGGAAGCTCTATTTTTAGTTTTTTGAAGAGGTTTCATACTGCTTTCCGTAGTGGCAGTACTAATTTATATTCCTACCAACAGTGTACGAGGTTTCCCCTTTCTCCACATCTTCATCTCATGACACTACTTCAGAGGGTTCTTGTTACCCATAGGATATGTTAGTGTCTAGCCAAACATTGTGTCACAGGTGCTTAACATTATTTCTAATACTCACAACAGTACTAATTATTATTATGGTGGGCTCAATGAGTTCTGTTAAGGGTCCAATAAGGTCTTGGAGATGTTTGAACTAGAATTTGAAGGATGAACAGAAAAAAGGCTAGCAAAGTTAGGGGTGTGTGTGTGTGTGTGTGTGTGTGTGTGTGTGTGTGTGTGTATGTAAGGGTAGAGCTGGTAGGGTAGACAATGTGCAGAAGTATCAGTGAAACGTCTAGCATTTTCAGGCAATTACAAGTCATTGACTATTACTGCAATGGAAGGTGGGCAGCATGGTTGGTGCAAAAGAAGAGGCCGGTAAGACAGAGGTCAGGTCATTAAGGGTCTTTCATGTCATACTGTGATAATAAATAAGCATTTGGTCTCTATCCTTGGTTCCTGGCACACAGTTCCTAAAGCCCTTGGGATTTCTTGACCGGTAAGTATCTTTTATGATAATGAGATGACTGGGGTCTGAGGGCCCCTGGATAGCTTCAGGCTGGGGTCTGTTAACCAGAAAGACCAAGGAATAATTAGAGAATTGGAACTTTCAAGTCTGCTCTCTAACCTCCAGGGAGGGGCAAGGGGCTGAAAATTGAGCTAATCACAAGTGGCCAGAGATTTAATCAGCCATGCCTACTTAATGAAACCTCCATAAAACCTTGTAAACAACAGAGTTCATAGAGCTTCTGGGATGGTCAACACATAGAGGTTCTGGTAGAGCTGTATGCCTGGAGGAAGGTTTGGAAGTTCTGTGCCCCTTCCCCCATACCTTGCCCTATATGTCTCTTCCTGAGTTCCTGAGTTGTATCCTTTATAAAGCAGTAATAGTAAGTAAACTCTTTTCCTGTGTTCTGTATGTCATTCTAGCAAATTATCAAACACGAGGAAGGGGTCATGGGAATCTCCGATTTATAGCTGGTTGGTCAGGAGTATAGGTGGCTGGGATTTGCAACTGGTATCTGAAGTAGGGGACAGTCTTGTGGGACTGAGCCATTAACCTGTAGGATCTGTGCTAACTCTGGGTAATTAATATAAGAATTCAATTGTGAGACTCCCAGTTGGTAGCTGGACAGAACTGGTTGTTGATATGGAAAAAAACCTGTACATTCGGTGTCAAAGTGTTGTAAGTAAATACAGCTCAGACATAAGACATCTGTAAAATGGAAAACAATGTTTAGGTTCTCCTTAACTGTGCAACAGACTTTATTAAAAATATGGATTCCAGCTGGGTACGGTGGCTCACGCCTGTAATCCCAGCACTTTGGGAGGCAGAGGCGGGTGGATCACCTAAGGTGGGGAGTTCGAGACCAGCCTGACCAACATGGAGAAACCCCATCTCTACTAAAAATACAAAATTAGTTGGGCGTGGTGGCACATTCTTGTAATCCCAGCTACTCGGGAGGCTGAGGCAGGAGAATGGCTTGAACCCGGGAGGTGGAGGTTGTGGTGAGCCAAGATTGTGCCATTGCACTCCAGCCTGGGCAACAAGAGCGAAACTCCATCTCAAAAAAAAAAAAAAAAAAAAAAAAGCATTCCTGGCCGGGTGCGGTAGCTCATGCCTGTAAATTCCTAGCACTTTGGGAGGCTGAGGCAGACAAATCACTTGAGGTCAGGAGTTTGAGAACAGCCTGGCCAACACAGTGAAACCACGTCTCTACTAAAGATACAAAACTTACCCGGGCATGGGGACATGTACCTGTAGTCCCAGCTACTTGGGAGGCTGAGGCAGGAGAATCACTTGAACCCAGAAGGCGGAGGTTGCTGTGAGCCAAGATTGTGCCACTGTACTTCCAGCCTGGTTGACAGAGTGAGATACCATCTCAAAAAAAAAAAAAAAAAAAAAAAGTGTGGATTCCTGAGTCCTATCCCGGATTTATTAGATTACAGCCTCTGGTCGTGGAGCCCAGGAATCGTTATTCTAATACTTTCCAGGAGAGTCTGGTATGAATCCTGAGCCAAGAAGCACTTTTTCAGAGCTTAGAACAATGCTTGGCACATTTCAGTGCTTAATAAATGTTTGTTACATTGAAATTAAAGTTGTACAAATGGAAATCTACTTGCACAAGAATATATAGTAGAGTGGTCGGGCGCAGTGGCTCATGCCTGTAATCCCAGCACTTTGGGAGGCTGAGGCGGGCGGATCACGAGGTCAGGAGATCGAGACCATCCTGGCTAACACGGTGAAACCTCATCTCTACTAAAAATACAAAAAATTAGCCGTGCATGGTGGCGGGCACCTGTAGTCCCAGCTACTCGGGAGGCTGAGGCAGAATAGTGTGAACCCGTGAGGCAGAGCTTGCAGTGAGCCAAGATTTCGCCACTGCACTCCAGCCTGGGTGACAGAGTGAGACTCCATCTCAAAAAAAAAAAAAAAAAAGAATATATAGTAGAAAGGAAATATGTCTTAGGGAAATATCTACCTCATTCTTTTTTATGGCTCAATAGTACTCCATTGTGTGTATGGAGTAGATATACTCTCTATTTTATTACATATTTCTTTTTATCCATTCATCTGTTGATGGACCCTTACGTTGATTCCAAATCTTGGCCATTGTGAATAGTGCTGTAATAAACATGGGAGTGTAGATATCTCTTCAATATACTGATTTCCTTTATTTTTTGCATTTACCTAGCTGTGGGATTGCTGGGTTGTATGGCAGTTCCATTTTTAGTTTTTTGAGGAACCTCCATACTGTTCTCCATAGTGGTTGTATGGAGATTTACATTCCCATTGTGTTTTAATTTATACAGCCATCAAGGGAACCACCAATACAAGGGTTCCCTTTTCTCCACATCCTCTTAGCATTTGTTACTGCCTCTTTTGGGTAAAAGCCATTTTAACTGGAGTGAGATTATATCTCATTGTAGTTTTGATTTGCTTTTCTCTGATGATCAGTGATGTTAAGCGCCTTTTCATATAGCTGTTTGCTAATTGTATGTCTGCTTTTGAGAAATGTGTATTCAGAACTTTTGCCTATTTTAAAATTGGATTATTAGATATTTTCCTATTGAGTTGTTTGAGCTCCTTATATATTCTGGCTATCAATCCTCTGTCAGATGGAGATACTGTTTGTTGAAATGAAAATGAAGTTGTAATAACCATAGTTTGATATCTCATATTTTTCTGAGTATTCTTTCTCCCAAGATTCATAGTTCTTTAGTTCTTTTTTTTTTTCCCTTCAACTTCTATTTTAAGTTATGGGGTACACCTGCAGGATGTGCAGGAGGTAAATGTATGCAATGGTGGTTTGCTGCACAGATGAACCCATCACCTTGGTATTAAGCCCAGTATCCATTAGCTATTCTTCCTGATGCTCTCCCTCCTGCAACCCCCCAAAATTCTTATCTCAAAATGCTAAATTTAATAATTCTTCATAAGTAAAAATTCTAACCTCCTCCCTAGTAAAATCTAATGATAGTCATGAAACTGGGACTCCATTAGTCAGGAAAATGTCTAGGAGTTCATCAAGGAAAGATTCTTCAGAGTGTTCAGAATATTGAATTTGGGTTCCAGGATATCCTGATCTGCCAAATGTATCATGACCCACTAATTGTGTCATGTCATCTCTATATTTTTTCCCTTTATATATTTTTTTTGTTTCTTTAAAAATTTTTTTTGTAGAGATGGGGTCTTGCTACGTTGTCCAGGCTGGTTTCAAACTCCTGGACTCAAGTGATTCTTCTGCCTTGGCCTTTCGAAATGCTGACATTACAGGTGTGAGCCACCGGGCCCAGCTGCCTTTATTATTTCAGTTCCCACCATCACTGACTTTATGTAGGTGTTCATTATCTCTAGCCTAGTCTATTACAATGGCCTTTAACTATTTTCTCTTACTTTAGTCTCTCCCTGTTTCACATCTGTTCAAAAACATGTAATGTTTTCCCTCTGCTTTCAGAGTAAAGCCCAAGATAACAACCCCAACTTTTACTGCCATTTATTGAGCATTTACTGTGAGTTAAGCACTAAGTGCTTTCAATATTTATCTTATGTAACCAAACAACAGTCAGTCCTGTAAAATAGGCGTTAATTATCTCCATTTTCCAGAAGAGGAGGATACAGGCTCAGAGAGATTATGTAATTTTCCTACCTAATAAGTGGTGGAGGCATTCAGTCATGGTATTCAGATTCTTCCACAATTAGGCCATAGCTGATTTTTCCAGTCTTGTTTCTACCCAGTGTTTTTTCCCTCTTTGCTTATTCCAGTTGCAGTAGACAATTGCCTGTTTCCTAAAATTCCATATACTTTCCATCTTTATGTCCTTTGATCATTCTATTTGTGTCTCAGTCTCTTTTCCTGTGTCTCTCTTTGTCATGTATCCTTACTGAAATGCCATTTCCCTGACTGTTGAAATTCCATTTACCCTTGGAGGTCATCACTCCTTTTTTTCTTTTTAATGAGATGAAGTCTTGCTGTGTTGTCCAGGCTGGTCTCAAACTCCTGGCCTCAAGTGATCTCCTCACCTCAGTTTCCCAAATGCTAGGATTACAAGTGTGAGTCACCATGCCCATCTGAGGTCATCAATCTTTAAAGACCTTCTGAAATGCTGCCTCTGCTATGAAGCTTTTCTTTTTTCTCTTCTCCTTCTTCTTCTTCTTTTTTTTTTTTTTTGAGACAGGGTCTTGCTCTGTCACCCATGCTGGAGTGCAGTGGCATGATCTTGGCTCACTGCAAACTCCACCTCCTGGATTCAAGCAATTCTCCTGCCTCAGCCTCCCGAGTAGCTGGGATTACAGGTGCGCGCCACCATGCCCAACTAATATGAAGCTTTTCTTGTTCTTTCTCCTATATTGTTTTTCTCTTCTGGTAATTTGGCCTTCCATTTTCTGCAACAGTAATTTCATTTCTTCTCCATTGTCCTTAAACCAGCAGTTCCATTTGTGCCATTTCCTGCCTCTTCTAGACACTTTTAATTTATAGCTTTGCCACATTATTTTATTAAGAAAATAGAGACTATCTAGTAATTCTTCTAACACCTCATTTCAAACTTACTTTTATCTGTATTCTCCTTCTCATTTTTTCTTCATGCATATGTATGTATGTGTGTGTGTGTATTTGTGTGTGTGTGTGTTTTGTAACCCAGAACAATGCTGACAACATTTTTCCTTCTTTCCTGAGAAGTGTTCCAAGTGCTTGGAACAGAGGATGACCAAAGGAGGGAGGGTCCTGAGAAGTGTTCCAAGCACTCTGATTTCTTCCATCTTTATAGAAGGCCTTTTTTTGATAGCCACATTCCCTTTGGATTATTGCCTTATCTCTCTGCCCCATTTTATGGTCAAGATTTTCAGAAGTGCTATCCCTACTTCCTCATCTCCCATTCATTCTTAAAGCTATTCTGTTCTGTCCTCTGCCCAACTATGCTATTGAAACTGCTCTCGTAAAAACCACTAATGACTACTGTATTGCTAAATCAGTGGATGCTTTTCAGTTCTCATCCTTCTAAGTCTCTCAACAGTTCCATACAAGTGACTACTTTTTTCTTGAAACACATGCCTTCTTTTCTGCTAAAGACTACACTTTCATGACTCCTGTGTTACCTCCATTCTACTCTTACCAATCTCCAGTCTCCCTTGCAAGTCCTTCTGCTTTCATGCAACCTTTGAGTGTTGAATACTTTCATTGCTTGGTTCTGGTCCTTCTTATCTTTTTACTTGATATACATTTTCTTTCTTTTTTTTTTTTTTTTTTTTTGAGATGGTGTCTCGCTCTGTTGCCCAGGGTAGAGTGCAATGTTGCAATCTTGGCTCTCTGCAACCTCTGCCTCTGGGTTCAAGTGATTCTCCTGCTTCAGTCTCCCAGGTAGCTGGGATTACAGGCGCCCACCATCATGCCTGGCTAATTTTTTGTATTTTTAGTAGAGACAGGGTTTCACCATGTTGGCCAGGCTGGTCTTGGACTCCTGACCTCAGGTGATCCACCTGCCTCTGCCTCCCAAAGTGCTGGGATTACAGGTGTGAGCCACTGTACCCAGCCACATTTTCTATATATAAAATTCATCCCTTTGCTACTGCTTATATGCTGATGATTCCCAAATTTATAATATCCATCCCAGACCTATCCTCTGAGATCACTTGTTATGTTCACCTATTCATATGACATTTTCATTTGAATGTCTTATAGACATTAAATTCTTGATTTCCCCTATCTTCTTCATAAATTTGATCCTCCCCCAATCTTCCACATCTCACTAAATAGCACCTCCAGCCACTCTGCTCAAACCAAAAAACCTGGGAATTGTACTTCAGTTTGGTTGATTCTATCTCCGGTATTGACCCCAGTACCTTCACTTGCAATCACCTTAGTCCAAGCCTTAGCACGTCAGCTCTTGCTTGGACTATTAGAATGATCACCTAACTAGATTTCCTGTCTGTATTATACTTTTGCCTCCTTATTTCTTGCTGCACATAGCATAAGATACAAAATTCTAGTTTTTCTGTTTTTTTGTTTTGAAACAGGGTCTTGCTCTGTCACCCAGGCTGGAGTAGTGCAAACAGGACTCACTGCAGCCTCAAGCTTCTGGGCTCAAGCCTCAGACTCCCAAGTACCTGGGTCAATAGGTGCATGCCACCCTGCTTGGATAATTTTTAAATTTTTTTGTAGAGATGTGTTCTCACTATGTGGCCCAGGCTGGTCTCAAAGTCTCGGACTCAAGTGATCCTCTCGCCTTCACCTCTCAAAGTGCTGGGATTACAGGTGTAAGCCACCACACCTGGCCTAGATACAAAATTTTTAACTCAGCTCATGAGACCCTGAATGATCTGACTTCTGTCAACTTCCATTTGCTGACAGGGCTTCAATCATACTGGCCTTTCAGTTCCCCTGAAAAGATAGTAGTCCAATATTTTTCCTATCTCAAGGCCACATGCACTGGTCCTTATGCCTAGAATTCACTTTCACTCTCTTTGATCACTTGAGGTCTTTATCCTTTAGGTTTCAGATCAAATATCATTTCCCCAAAGAGGCTCTATTGTTACAGTGTTCCTTTTTTTCCCATTGCAATAGCATTTATCACAATTTGTAATGTTTTTAGTAATATATTTATTTGATTTCTTGTCTCCATTATACTGTAACATGAGCACAGAAGCCATATATTTTGTTTATAGCTGTATACTCATCATTTTCTATAGCATATAATAGTCACTCAATAAATACTTGTTGAAGCCAGGCATCGTGGCTCATGCCTGTAATCCCAGCGCTTTGGGAGACTAAAGCAGGAGGTTTGCTTGAGCCCAGGAATTTGGGACAAGCCTAGGCAACATAGAGAGACCTATACTCTACAAAAAAAAATTTTTTTTAATAGCTGGGCATGGTGTTGCATGCCTGTATTCCTAGCTACTCGGAAGGCTGAGGCGAGAGGACTGTTTGAGCCCCCAAGAGTTTAAGGCCGCAGTGAACTATGATCATGCTACTGTACTCCAGCCTAGGCAACAGAGCAAGACTGTCTCTACAAAGTAAATAAAAACATAAAATAAATACTTGTGAATAAATGGTAGAGGTATAAAGACTGATTGGGAACAGTCACAAAAGATAATAGTAGTAGTTTTTGTTTTTCCATTTTCATTTTTATTTTATTTTATTTGAGGGCAGTAGCGCAATCTTGGCTCACTGCAACCTCCGCCTCTCAGGTTCAAGCAGTTCTTGTGCCTCAGTCTCCCGAGTAGCTAGGATTACAGGCGTGCACCACTAAGCCAGCTAATTTTTGTATTTTTAGTAGAGGCAGTGTTTCACCATATTACCCAGGCTGATCTCAAACTCCTGACCTCAAATGATCCACCTGCCTTGGCCTTCCAACGTGCTGGGATTACAGGCGTGAGTCACCACACCTGGCTAGTAGTTTTTAAATTATACATATTATGTATTTGATTTCTGTAGTAGATTTAGGATTATTCAGATTTTCATGTCTTTCTGGGTGGAATGGAAAGTCGTTAAGAAATTTATCAATTTTTTTCTAACATTTCAAATTTATTGGCATAAAGTTTGTAATAATATGCTTGTTTTTCATGTCTATAGGATTTATAGTGATTCCCTTGTCCTCATTCCTGATATTGGCAATTAGCATTTTTTTCTTTTATTTTTATCAGTCTTAGTAGAAATTTATCAATTCAGTTCCTTTTCAAAGAATTAACTTCTGGCTTTGTTGATATCCATCTCTTCATCTCTGTATTCACTCATAAATTCGTCTTATTATATTCCTCAAGCTTGGATATACATTTTCATTATTATTCAATTAAAATATTTTCTTAATTTCCTTGTGATTTTTTGACTCATAAATTGTTTAGAAATATATCAAGACACTTGTGGATTTTATTACCTTTGTTATTGATTTTTAGTGTAATCCATTGTGTTCAGAGCATATACGCTATGTGATTTCAGACCTTTGAAATTTATTGATACTTTATGGCTTAGTATATGGTCTATTTTGATAAAGTTTCATAAACACTTGCAATGAATGTATATGTTGCAGTTGGTGATTATAGGTTCTATGTATGTTCAGTTTTTCAGTTTGTTGTTCTTCTGTGTCTTTGATTTTTTTTTTCTACTTGTTATATCAGTTGCTGAAGAAGAATATTAAAATATCCTACTATAAGGATCTTATGACTGGGCACAGTGGCTCACACCTATAATCTTACCACCTTGGGAGGCCAAGGTGGATGGATTGCCTGAGCTCAGGAGTTTGAGGCCAGCTTGGACAACATTATGAAACCCCATCTCTACTAAAAATATAAAAAATTAGCCAGGCATGGTGCCACACGCCTTTAGTATCAGCTGCTTGGGAGGCTGAGGCACGAGAACCACTTGAACCTAGGAGGTGGAGGTTGCAGTGAGCTGAGATTGCACTCCAGCCTGAGGGATAGAGCGAGACTCTGTCTCAAAAACAAAGCAAAACAAAACAAAACAATAAGAAAAAAGACATTCAACACAATAGAAATATGGGGAAAAGACTTCAACAGGCACTTCAAAAGAAGATACCAAATGTCAAGTAAGTATATGAAAAGGTGCTCAATATTACTAGTCATCAGGGATTTGCAAATTAAAATTACAATGAGTTAAACACATAGCCCAACCAAAAAAGGTAAAATTAAAAAACGAGCAATATCAAGTGTTAGCAAGGAAGTGGAACACACTGACTCTTACACATCACTGGTATTAATATGAATTGGTACAGCCACTTTAGAAAACTATTTAGCAGTATCATTTAAAGCTAAACATGCACATACCTCACTAGTGAGCAATTTCATTTTAGTGTATATTCCCAGAGGAAATTAGTTCATTTATCCATCAGAAATAAGCAAATATTGTCAAAATTCATAAACAACCCAAATGTCCGTGAATAGTAGAATAGGTAAGTAAATCATGGTATATCATATGATGGAATACCATACAGAAATGAAAATGAACAAACTACTGCTGTATCACAACATGGGTGAATTTTTTTTTCCATAAATTCGACCAAGTGGTAAGCATAGATAAATTTTATACACATAAGGCCAGGCGTGGTGGCTCACGCCTGTAATCCCAGCACTTTGAGAGGCTGAGGTGGGAGGATCAGTTGAGGCCAGGAGTTCAAGACCAGCCTGGCCAAAATGGTGAAACCTCATCTCTAGTAAAAATACAAAAAAAATTACCTGGGTGTGGTGGTGCTTACCTCTAATCCCAGCTACTTGGAAGGCTGAGGCAGGAGAATCCCTTGATCCCAGGAGGCAGAGGTTGCAGTGAGCCGAGGGTGCACCACTGCACTCCAGCCTGGGTGACAGAGCAAGACTCCATTGCAAAAAAAAAAATAATAATAAATTTATACACATAATATTGATCAAAAGAAGTCAGACATTAAAGTACATACATTATATAACACTATATTTATGAAGTTCAAGAGTAAACAAGACTGATCAATGGTTATAAAAGGTCAGAGTAGTCTTTACCTTTAAGGGAGAATATTGACTAGGAAGGGACACAAGTAAGCCTTCTGGGACTCTGGAAATATTCTGTATCTTAATGAGGTGATTGGTTATATGGCTATATATATATTAATTTTACATATATATGTTTTATACTTAAGATTTTTCCACTTCATTGTATGAAGTTATATCGGTCATTAAAAAGTAAATAAAACAGGGAGGACTTCCAGGTATAGCTGAATGAGGAGACTGGCAGATCTTCAACACAAAAACCAATTATGAAGATTGACAAACTTGACAAAATTAACCATTTTAACACTCTTGAAATCAACCAAAAGGCATACAATAATTTGAGAGAATTTTATGATTAAAAAACTGCTGGCCGGGTGCAGTGGCTCACGCCTGTAATCCCAGCACTTTGGGAGGCCGAGGTGGGCGGATCACAAGGTCAGGAGATTGAGACCATCCTGGCTAACACGGTGAAACCCCTTCTCTACTAAAAATACAAAAAATTAGCCGGGCATGGTGGCGGGCACCTGTAGTCCCGGCTGCTCGGGAGGCTGAGGCAGGAGAATGGTGTGAACCCAGGAGGCGGAGCTTGCAGTGAGCCGAGATAGTGCCACTGCACTCCAGCCCGGGCGACAGAACAAGACTCCGTCTCAAAAAAAAAAAACAAAAAAAACAAAAAAAAAAACTGCTAAAATTCCGTAAAACAGTAGGAGTTTGTGGTATTCTTGTCTGGGATTGTTCCTATTCCCCTTTCCCCAGCTGATTTGTCATGAAAGTTTTACCAGTGTGGGTAGACCATGAAGACCAGCTGCTTTGATGCTGTGGTTGAAGGGAGTTTACTCAGTTTGGGTGGTGGATGATGTCCATGCTCAATGGCATTGTTGGGAGAAGTGACCACTTGGCAGTGGGTGAGTGGCACAGGCCAGTGACTTTGCCTGTTTGTGGTTGGGGCAAGCATATTGCAGGCTGAGGCATGTACATGCACAGAAGAGACATGATAAGGCCCAACGGAAAGTAACAGCTAGGGCAGACTTGAAAAACCTGAACTTTGAATGCACTACTCTATATCCCCCATACTCCAGACCCATAAACAGAGGATAAAAGCCTTTCTAGCTTTAAGTATATGAGCATAAACTCTATCTAATCATTGGCTACACAGACATAGGGGTGACTCCTCAAAAGCCACATTTAAACATAAAACCAAGAAATAAAAAGAAAATGAGCTGAGACATCAGTGGCTGCACACTGTTAGGGAAACAGAATTCACAGATTTAGCTCAGGCAAATGATTAAGCCAAGAAAGAAAAAAACAAACTAGTAACAACAATTTTCATGGGTGAAAGAAATCAGAATCCAAATTGTTCATATGTTCAATTTGTAAATTGTTCATATGCATAATTTGTTTTCTAATCCCATGACAGGTTATATTCAATTTTTAATTAAAAAGCCGTGAGACATGTAAAGATACAGGAAAATGTGACCCATGTTTAGGAAAAAAGTCAACAGAAATTATCTACAAGTGTCCCTAGATACTGGATTTAACAAAGATTTCAAAGTAGCGACTGTAAATGTGTTCAAAGACCTAAAGGAAAACATGTTTAAATAATTTTTAAAAACATATTTATTTATTTTTATTTTTATATTTTATAGGGACAGAGTCTTACCATGTTGCCCAGGCTGGTTTCGAACTCCTGGCCTCAAGTGACCTTCTTGCCTTGGCCTCCCAAATCTCTGGAATTACAGGTGTGAGCCACTGTGCCCCATCTTAAATACTATTTTTTTTTTTTTTTGAGACAGAGTTTCGCTCTTGTTGCCCAGGCTGGAGTGCAATGGCACGATCTTGGTCACCGCAACCTCTGCCTCCCGGGTTCAAGCAATTCTCCTGCCTCAGCCTCCCGAGTAGCTGGTACAGGCGTGCACCACCACGCCCAGCTAATTTTGTATTTTTAGTAGAGATGGGGTTTCTCCACGTTGGTCAGGCTGGTCTCGAACTCCTGACCTCAGGTTATTGCCCGCCTCTGCCTTCCAAAGTGCTGGGATTATAGGCATGAGCCACCGCGCCTGGCCCCTTAAATACTGTTTTTTTAAGCATGACAACAATGAATCAATAAATAGAACTTCTCAGCTGAGTGCAGTGGCTCATGCTTGTAATCCCAGTGCTTTTGGGAGGCAAGCGGGGTGGATTTCCTGAGCCCAGGAATTTGAGACTCCATCTACAAAAATTTTAAAATTATTTGAGCATGGCAGCATATGTCTGTGGTCCCAGCTACTTGGGAGGCTGAGGCAGGAGGATCGCTTGAGCATATTGAGTGTTTGCACCACTGCATTCCAGCCTGGGCAAAAGAGCAAGACTCTGTCTCAAAAAATTAAAAATAAAATAAATAGAAATTCTCAATAAGAAAAGAGAAATGATTTTTAAAAAGAAGCAAATGAAACCAAAGAGGATATACCTATGGCAAATAAACACATGAAAAGATGTTTTATAATTATCTAATAGTTATTAGGTATTAGGAAAATGCAAATATTAATTAGTATTAGGAAAATGCAAATTAAAATAGCAATGAGATATCATTACACACTTATCAGAATGCCTAAAATAAGAAATAGACACAATACCAAAGGTTTGTGAGAATGCAGAAAAATTGGATTTCTTGTACATTGCTGGTGGGAATGTAAAATGATACAGCCACTCTGGAAAATAATTTGACACTTTCTTTTTTTTGAGACGGAGTCTCGCTCTGTTGCCCAGGCTGGAATGCAATGGCGCGATCTTGGCTCACTGCAACCTCCGCCTCCTGGGTTCATGCGATTCTCCTGCCTCAGCCTCCTGAGTAGCTGGTATTACAGGTGCCTGCCACCATGCCCAGGTAATTTTTGTATTTTTAGTAGAGATGGGGTTTCACCATGTGGGCCAGGCCGGTCTTGAACTCCTGATCTCAAGTGATCCACTTGCCTCGGCCTCCCAAAGTGCTAGGATTATAGGCGTGAGCCACTGTGCCCGGCTAATTTGACACTTTCTTATAAAACTAAACTCTCACCATATGAACCATATGATCTGGCAGCTTCACTCCTTATTGTATACCCAAGAGAAAGGAAAGCATATGTCCACATAAAAGTTTATACATGAATGTTCATAACATTATTAATAAGAGCCACAAAATGGAAACAACCCAATATCCATTAACTGATGATGTATAAACAAAATATGGTGTGTCCACACATTGAAATATTGTTCAACCATAAAAAGAAATGAAGTACTGATATATGCTACAGCATTGAAAACATTATGCTAAATGAAAGAAGCCAGTCACAAAAGGCCACATATTATATTATTCCATTTATATGAAATGTCTGTAATAGGCAAATCTATAAAGACAGAAAGTAGATTAGTGGTTGGCTAGGATTGGGGAGCATATTGGAGAAATGAGGAGTGGCTGCTACTGGGCATGGGGTTTCTTTTGGAGGTAATAAAAATGTTCTAAAATTGCCATGCGTGGTGCACGTTCCTGTAGTCCCAGCTACTTGGGAGGCTGAGGCAGGAGGATTGCTTGAGCCTAGGAGTTTAAGTCCAGCCTGTGCAACATAGCAAGACCTCGTCTCTTTAAAAAAATGACACATATAATGAAATGAAAATGTCCTTAAATTTATTGTGATGATAGTTCATAACTATGTGAATATACTAAAAACTATTGAATTGTACCCTTTAAGTGGGTGAAATGTATGGTGTGTGAATTGTATCTCAGTAAAATTGTTAACAAAAAATTTTTAAATGAGTTTATCAAGATCACAGGGTGTAAGATCTATATAGAAAAGTTAAGTATATTTCTATATGCTAGCTAGAAATGAACAATCCAAAAATGAAATTAAGAAAATATTCTGTTCATGATAGCATTAAAAAGAATAAAATAGGAATAAATTGAGCAAAAAAGGTATAAGACTTATACACTAAAACTTGTGGAACATTGCTGACAGAAATTAAATAAAATCAGCCAGGTGTGGTGGCTCACGCCTGTAATCCCAAACCCAGAGGCTGAGGCGGATGGATCACCTGAGGTCAAGAGTTCCAGACCGGCCGGGTGTGGTGGCTCACGCCTGTAATCCCAGCACTTTGGGAGGCTGAGGTGGGTGGATCACCTGAGGTCAGGAGTTCGAGACCAGTCTGGCCAACATGGTTAAACCCCATCTCTACTAAAAATACAAATATTAGCCTGGCATGGTGGCAGTCACCTGTAATCCCAGCTACTCGGGAGGCTGAGGCGGGAGAATCGCTTGAACCCGGGAGGTGGAGGTTGCAGATTGCAGTGAGCCGAGATCGCGCCATTGCACTCCAGCCTGGGTCACAAGAGCGAAACCCTGTCTCAAAAAAAAAAAAAAAAAGAGTTCCAGACCAGCCTGTCCAACATGGTGAAACCCTGTCTCTAATAAAAATACAAAAAATTAGCTGGGCGTGGTGGTGTTCTTTTAGTTCCAGCTACTTGGGAGGCTGAGGCAGGAGAATCGCTTGAACCCAGATGGCAGAGGTTGTAAGTGGAGATCGTGCCACTGCACTCCAGCCTGGGAGACAGAGCGAGACTCCATCTCAAAAAAGAAAAAAAAAAGAAATTAAATAAAATCTAAATAAATGGAGAGGCAGTCCATGTTCATGGATTAGAGGACTCAATATTGTCAAGACAGCAGTTCTCCTTAAATTGATCATAAATTCACAGTCCATATCAAATTTCCAGCAGCCTTTCTTTTTCTTTCTAGAATTTGACAAGCCGATCCTAAAATTTACATGGAAACAAAGGACCTAGAATAGCCAAAACACTTTTGAAAAGGGAATGTGAAGTTGGAGGTCTTCATACTACCTGATTTCAAAACCTACTATAAAGTCACAGTTATCAAGACCATGTGGCATTGCTTCAAGGCTAGGCATATAGGTCAATGGATCAGAATTTAGAGTCCACAAAGAAACCTTTAAATATATGGTCACTTGATTTTTTGACAGAGACACATCCTTGATCCAAGATTTCTCTGCTTGTAAAAACCCAATGTAAAACAGTCTCTCACAGTGTGTGTGCTGCAGTATAACTCAGACTGTGTTGCAGTCAAGCTAGCGAATGCATCACTGTCTGCCGGGTAAACTGCTACGTCATCCTTGGTGTTTGGCATGTTACAATGCTGGGATCAGTGTGGGCTTCTAGTTGGATTTTGTGCCAGGTATGTGTCTACGTTGGACACTGTTCATGGTAGATTAAAAGGGGGATGCTTTAAATTTGGAGAAATGAATGTGGCTTTTTATTTCTTGTATTCTAATATTAGAGAAAGATTGTGAGCAGCAGTGTCTATAAAAGATCTATATAGATCTCTAGCTTTGCTTTTGGACCTGGGTATGCTGTGTTAGTGTTTGGTTGTCGTAGAAAGATCCGTTTGGTGAAAGGAAGCATAAACTCGATTATTGAGTGTGCCTCTTTAGTATATTTTTCTGATATAGTTGAGTGCAAAATAGTCTGCCTTATTTTTACACTTAGTGCTTTATTTGCATTTTTGAATGGTGAACTTGTATAACAAGTTTGTTTTGTAGACACTTAAGTGTGTGTAAAATTGAGCAGCTTCTCATCTGTGGCTACTGAACTTTCCTGAACAAAGGCTGCAGTGCTCTATTTTTGAGACAGGTTATTCTGAAGAGACGTAAAGATAGAAGGGCTCCTCTGTGTCAGCTTGGTTCTTTAAAGGGAAAGTAAACTTGACTAACTTAATGGGCATTGGCACATTGTGGAAGGGATGATGTGAAGTACAGACCAGAGAACAACCAGGACTTCCATTTTTTATTATAGCTGGTTGTCATGTTGGGTGGCCTGATTGAGTTGCTTTCAAATTTGGGCAACTTGAGTCTTTACAACTTAAGTTGCCCGAATGTCCTTCAGATCAATGTTTGTTTGTTGTAATCATTTATCTTTTATCTGATTATTTAACTTCTATCTATGCTCCAGGTCATTTGTGTACTTCTGTTTTTGAAGGTTTTTCTGGAAGCTTAATATATTCTCAGCGTGGTTGGCATCAGATTGTTAACTATTTCTATCCAGCATTTTGATGGGAATAAATTTTTTATGGTTCATGATTCAGGTTAGATTTGGTGTACAGGCCTGAGGACTTGCCTCAGGAAGTTGTCTTTCTATAGATTCTAAGCCTTTAGGGTCTTTTGCCATTGATTTTTCTCCTAATACACAGAATATCATGAGCATCTACTTAAGTAAAAGCTAAAAACAGGAAGATATTACAAGATAACATTCAGCTAGTGTTTATTTCTTTAAGAGATCTGTCTGTGGCAAATTTGCTTTCATAGTAATATATGTGTCTCAGTAAGTAGTCTTTCTAGGCAGGATTTTTCTTCCCTGCTTAAGGGGGTTAGACCTCCAAAATATTTGTCAGGGTCTCTTTTCCTTTTAAGGGTTTAACCCACAATCTTTTCTGTATCCGTTTTGTACCAGCTCCATTCCTATTCTCAAGCTTTGGTGCATAAAACCTTAGTTTAGGTGTCTATATATACCACTACTTTGGCCTGAAAATTAGAATCGTGGCTCACACTTGATTCTAAGTTCCCTAGTAGTGGCGTGTTTCCTTTCTACGTGCTTACTTTCCCACCTGACCTGCTTTTCCCCACCGTGCAGTCTGATAATTGGTATTATTTGTTTTGATTGGATCTCAGAAATTACCTCTTTAGACCGAGCTGTGCTCCTCCCTCTGGATTTCATGAGCCCATTATTTTCTTGGCTTAATTGTCCTTGTAAATTTGGTCTTTTTGTCCTGGGCTTTCCCTGTCATGTGCTCCTGGCAGCCAGGAGAGGCAGTGGAGCTTTTCTCCGTTGACTGTCAGAAGAAAGTGACTGTTGTTGAAAATGTTTGCTGCAACTAAAGGAGAGCTGCTAAGATCTACTTTCTAGTTAAACAAGCTTTTATATTTCTCCCCGGCTCCTCTCAGTTCCCTTGGGAAATCAACTAATTGTGTGTGTAAGCTAAGTGTGTGGAGGAGAGAAGATGCAAAAAGGAAGAGAAAGGTGGGGAAAGAAGGAAATTGGGAACAATTAGACAAAAAGACTATAGTTTGAGGCCATCAGGAGTATTCTAGTCTGACTGAAGCCAGGCAGAAGGCACAGTATCTCTTGTCCTCCTGGGTTTTAAGCAGCTGCAACAGGAGGAGGAACTGCGGCTTGTGTTTACAAGGCCGAAATCTGAAGAAAAAGCTTCCATTCTTTTCCCATCTTGATATGGAGGGTTCTCCAGAGGAAAATAAGGAAATGAGATATTACATGCTTCAAAGGTAAGTGTTAGGCTACCACATTTGGGTAATATATATATCTTTAAAAAAACAGTAAGGTACTGACAGCTAAGCCCTGAGATTTATTTGATCATTTTTTTTCTATCTTTAAAAAATGAAGGCTATTTTTTTTAAGAAAATGAATAAAAATGGGCATATTGGCTCCTGAATGTCTAAACCTTTATTTTATATTGGGAATTTGAATAAAAGATCCCTGAGCCCATGTGTGATATTTTAGCTACGTTGAAAACAAGCACCCCATGCAGACCCTGCTGTGCTATTATTTCCTGAAGGGAACCTCAGATGTATCAGATTTACTCCCTGGATTTGGCTAGTATTTCCAGTGAAGTCTCTTCAACTGCTGTAAAGGAAAGATATTGTATAGTTTTGCAGAAAACTTTTTTAGAATGTGTGTCTGGGGCTAGGAAAGGTGCCTGCTGTAATTGTGGTATGTAGTCAGACAGAGTTGTTCAGGATGCCGAACTCCTTCACTTTGGGACCTTTCTTATTGCCATTAGAACTCAGGCTGAGGAGGAAATGAGTCAGGCCTTCTTGGGCCTTCTTCAGGCCTCTTGCAGGTCTGCACCTCCCTGCAGAGAATTGACATAAAAGACTTGAATGATTTGCTTGTGCAGTGGCGCGGTCATAGCTCACAGTAGCCTTGAACTCTTGGGCTCAAGTGATCCTCCCACCTCAGCCTCCTGGGTAGCTGGGACTACAGGCATGCACCATCATGCCTGGCTAATTTTTTTTTCAAGTTTTTTGTAGAGATGGGGTCTCACTGTGTTGCCCAGGCTAGTCTCAAACTCCTATACTCAAGCAATTCTGCCACTTTGGCCTCCAGAAGTGTTGGTATTACAGGCCACTGTGCCTGGCATCCCTCCATTATCTTTTTTGTTTGCTTGTTTTTATAATGTAGAGTTTTTATTTTGAAGAAAATTACTGAAAGTTAAACTAAACTTAGGCAAAGACAGAAAATAAACAAAAAACACTGAGTTGGCAAAATCTGTCTTTAGATCATCCTTTTCCATTCCTTTTTTTCCCCCAACTGCCTCTGTAATTGCCCCTTTTTCTTTTTTACCACTTCTTCCACCCTTTGAGGGGATAACCAAGCAAAACTTCCACTGAGAGGCAAAGAGGTATAAAAGTAACTACAATATAGCTGAGTGCAGTGGCATGAGCCTGTAGTACCAGCTACTCTGTAGGCTGAGGCCAGAGGATTGCTTGAGCCCAGCAGTTTGAGGTTGCAGGGAGATATATTCCTGCCACTGCACTGCAGCCTGGTCAACAGTGAGAACCCATCTCTAAAAATTTTTTTTCCAAAGTAACTGAGATATATATAATCTATGTTTGTGTATATATATAATATAGTATCAAAATTTTTTATGTATATACATGTATAAATATATATTTCAAAAATGTATATATAGGCTGGGCACGGTGGTGGCTTATGCCTGTAATCCCAGTACTTTGCGAGGCCAAGGCGGGTGGATCACCTGAGGTCACGAGTACGAGACCAGCCTGGCCAACATGGTGAAACCCCGTCTCTACTAAAAATACAAAAATTAGCTGGGCGTGGTGGCAGGCACCTGTAGTCTCATCTACTTGGGAGGCCAAGGCAGGAGAATTGCTTGATCGAGCAAACCCAGGAGGCAGAATTTGCAGTGAGCAGAGATCACGCCATCACACTCCAGTCTGGGTGACAAGAGCGAAACTCCATCTCAAAAAAAAAGTGTGTATATATATATATATACACACACATATACATACACAAACACACGCACATATATACATATATATGTACACACACGCATGTGTGTGTGGTTTTTTTTTTTTTTTCTTTCGAGACAGAGTTTCACTTTTGTCGCCCATGCTAGAGTGTGATGGCGCGATCTTGGCTCACCACAACCTCTGCCTCCCGGGTTCAAGCGATTCCCCTGCCTCAGCCTCCCGAGTAGCTGGGATTACAGGCATGCACCACTATGCCCCGCTAATTTTGTTTTTTTAGTAGAGATGGGGTTTCTCCATGTTGGTCAGACTGGTCTCGAACTCTCGACCTCAGGTGATATGCCCGCCTTGGCCTCTCAAAGTGCTGGGATTACAGGCGTGAGCCACCGCGCCCGGCCTTAAATGTGTTTTATATATAACATAGTTTTTATATAAAAACCTCATGGCTATACATATAGAAATAAAACGTGCATATATATCTCTATAAGTATATATTGATATATAGTGTCTGAATGTGTCTTTGCCAAAATTTATATGTTGAGGCTGGGCACGGTGGCTCATGTCTGTAACCTCAGCACTTTGGGAGGCCGAGGCGGGCAGATCACCTGAGGCCAGGAGTTCGAGACCAGCCTGGGCAACATGGCGAAACTCCATCTCTACTAAAAATACAAAAATTAGCCGGGTGTGGTGGTAGGATCCTGTAATCCCAGCTACTCAGGTGGTTGAGGCACGAGAATTGCTTGAACCTGGGAGATGGAGGTTGCAGTGACCTGACATTGTGCTACTGTACTCCAGCCTGGGCTACAGAGCGAGACTCTGCCTCACACACACACAAAATGTATATGTTGAAATCTAATTACCACTATGTCAAGAAGTGGGGCCTTTGGGAGTTGAGTAGATCATGGGGCAGAGCCCTCATGAATGGGATTAGTGCCCTTATAAAATAGGCTCCAGGCGAGGCATGGTGGCTCATGCCTGTAATCCCAGCACTTTGGGAGGCCGAGGCAGGCGGATCATGAGGTCAGGAGATCGAGACCATCCTGGCTAACATGGTGAAACCCCATCTCTACTAAAAATACAAAAAATTAGCCGGGCGTGGTGGCGGGCGCCTCTAGTCCCAGCTACTCTGGAGGCTGAGGGAGGAGAATGGTGTGAACCCAGGAGGCAGAGCTTGCAGTGAGCCGAGATCTCACCACTGCACTCCAGACTGGGAGAGAGAGCGAGACTCTGTCTCAAAAAAAAAAAAAAAAAAAAAGGCTCCAAAGATCTGCCTTTCCCCTTCCACTCTGTGAGGACACAATGAGAATCATGCAAGCGAGTAGGACCTGGAGGCAGGGAACCCAAGAACTTTCTAGAACTAAATCAAATGGAAACAAGCACTTCAGTTATGACAGGAAGCATCCTCTTCCTTTACATAGGATATACACTGAATAAATGACTTTGTAACTTCATCATCTTTATTTACACAGGGTGTATACCAAGTAACAATGGAAATCTCTAGAGGGTATTTAAACCCCAGAAAATTCTGTAACCAGACCCTTGAGTGGCTGGCTTGCTTGGGCCAGCTCCCAACCTGTAGAGTGTGCTTTCATTTTCTTTTTTTTATTTTTTATTTTAATTTTTTGATTTTTTGAAATGGAGTCTCGCCCTTTAGCCCAGGCTGGAGTGCAGTGGTGCGATCTTGGCTCATTGAAACCTTTGCCTCCCGGGTTCAAGCAATTCTCATGCCTCAGCCTCCCGAGTAGCTGGGACTATAGGTGCCCACCACCACGCCCAGCTAATTTTTTGTATTTTTTAGTAGAGATGGGGTTTCACTGTGTTAGCCAGGATGGTCTTGATCTCCTGACCTCGTGATCCACCCGCCTCAGCCTCCCAATGTGTTGGGATTACAGGTGTGAGCCACCGTGCCTGGCCTAATTTTTGTATTTTTAGTAGAGACAACGTTTCAACATGTTGGCTAGGCTGGTCTCGAACTCCTGACCTCATGTTATCCCCCCACATTTACCTCCCAAAGTGCTGGAATTACAGACATGAGCCACTGTGCCTGGCCGTGTGCTTTCATTTTCAGTTAAGTCTCTGCTTTTGTTGCTTTATTCTTTCCCTGCTTTGTTTGTGTGTTTTGTTCAATTCTTTGTTCAAAACACCAAGAACTTGTACAGCCTCCACTGGTAACATATTTTGGCAAGCCAGCCAGGAGGTAATCCCAAAGTTTGGGGTTTATTTTTCTTGTTTGTTTTTCCTGCTCCATACAGGGGAATCTCAGTCTCTCTCTCTCTTTTCCTTTCCAACTTGGGACGGTTGGTGGGCAGCACCTAAACACAGAGGCAACTGCAGGTTTCTGGCCGGGGCCACTCTGAAGGACTCCTTTCTATCTTTTCCAGTTGTGGTCCCTGATCCCTACGTGTGGCACAGCTTGGGGCGAGCTGGCATTTGTTTCAGTGACTTAAACCTTGTTTTCTCATGCTAAATTCTTCCCTTCCCCTACTCTACTGGCTAAGGACAAAAGAAACCCACCCAGCCTCCAGTTCCTATCATTACAGTTCATGGCTATCACTCTAGTGGAACAGGAAGCATGGGAAAGTGTGGCCTTATCAAATTATAAGGATGCCAGAAGTCCAGGCCTTCATCCAGGGACAAAAGGAAACCTCATAGTAGGCCATTGCCTCTGAAGGGAAAACATGCTAAGCAGCACCAGTGCCCACCTAAGGTCAGAGACGTCTGACACTCTGAGACTGGACCCCAAAGGGGGACGGCCCAGGGATCCTCCAGACCTCAACTTCTCCAAAGGGGACACCCTAGGCAGAGTTCTGAGGTCTAGTATTAAGCCCTCCTTAGAATTTTCTCTCGCAGTTGCAATACTGTTTGGCCCAATATTGTTTGGAATCTGGAGCTTGCTGTTGAATGGGAAAGTGGGATGGAGTTGCATGTGTCAAACTGCTGTGGAAACTGCTATATCTGAAATTTTGGTTCACAGCCTTCATTGGATTATCTGTTGGGGCAAACAAAGGAAAACCCCCCAAGCTTGTATTGCTATCTCATGCCTTAAGATTCCCAGTTAAAAGCGATTGAATCTTCGTTTGTGTGCGTCTATACATGTCTAGATGTGTTTATTTGTATGCACACTTATTGTTACATGTTGTGTCTACCAAATTGGCTTATAAATAAAAGAGCACTTAAAAATTAAGTAAATAAGTCTAAGCAATTTTCAAGTTCACGTGACTTAAGTATAACTTTACTAAACAAGCTGGCTTTAAAATTATTAGTAAAATAAAACTAGAAATGCCTTCAGAATTGTCAGAATACATTCTTTGTCTGGATTTTATATTTGTCTCTGCTAAATATTTTGAGATGTCAATGTTTGGCATAGAAGGTTATAAAACTACTAACTTAGCCCATACAAAATGATCTTGGTTTGTGTGCCCTTTTTTTTTTCAACGAATGAGAGTAACTTAATGTTGTTAACTAAGTCTTCTGAGTTATTGGCAAAAAAAAATACCAGTGTATTTACCTTTAAGGCTGTTACTTAGGTTTAGGTGAGCACCTTATGTTCGCTGGCTATTAAAAACATGGTTAGCAAGGAAATAACTAACTTTAAATGATAGTGTCTGATATCTCTGTTTATAGAAGTTATCTAAATAAACCGTTAAACATGAAAGAATTGAGTACAGTGAATGGGATAAATGTTTTAGGTAATCTTTTTGTGTAAATTAAAATCTTGGCCAGGCGTGGTGGCTCATGCCTATAATCCCAGCACTTTGGAAGGCCAAGGAGGGTGGATCACCCGAGGTCAGGAGTTCGAGACCAGCCTGGCCAGTGGCGAAACCCCATCTCTACTGAAAATATAAAAACTAGCTGGGCATGGTGGTGTGTGCCTGTAATCCCAGCTACTGGGGGGCTGAGGCTGGAGAATTGCTTGAACCTGGGAAGAGGAGGTTACAGTGAGTTGAGATTACACCACTACACTCCAGCCTGGGGGACAGAGCAAGACTCTGTCACAAAAAAAAAAAAAAAAAAAAAAGTCCTAAAATTATTTTTGATGCTCATTGAATATCTGGGTCAGTTCCAATTAAGAAAAGGTTGTGACATGGGGAAATATGTTTCTACAAATTGTGGAATTGTTCTTATCTATAATGCTTTTATCTCTGATGGTTCAGGATTTCTTGCTTTTTCGGGTTTCATTGAAGTTTTAGGTTACTAAGGATAAGAATTCTAGTTAACACATAATTCTATATACAAAATGTGCCAGAAAGTGTTGTGTGATTAGTGAGAAAAAATAATAATTTTGTCTAATTCGGAAGTTTTCTAAAAGTTAGTTCAAATTACAGATTTGAAAAGGTTATTTATGAAACAATGTAGTAAGGAACCGGTAAGGAGGGGAGAAAGACGTGGAAAAGTTTAGATAATAAAATATTGCTTAAAACCTGATAGAGAACTGGAGAAATTTGGCTAATTAACATTTTCATAGTTAAAGTTCTTAGTCTTGATTAAAGTAAAAATAAGTATTGTAAAAAAAAATGTGTCGGCAGTTTGCCAGTTTTTTTAATATATAGTTAAGCATGAAGCCGGATTTAGTGTGGAGCCAAATTTCACATATGTGCTTGCATTGCTTCACACTTTGTTTCCTGTTTTGCACGGGTAGTGCCGGCACTGAAGTACTTATTGGTCATTTGCCTAGAGTCAATTTCTTTTTTTTTGAGACTAAGTCTTGCTCTGTTGCCTAGGCTGGAGTGCAGTGGTGCGCTCTCAGCTCACTGCAACCTCTGCCTCCCAGATTCAAGCGATTCTCCTGTCTCAGCTTCCCAGGTAGCTGGGACTACAGGCACACACCACCACGCCCAGCTAATTTTTGTTTTTGTTTTTTTTAAGTAGAGATGTGGTTTTGCCATGTTGGCAAGGCTGGCCTTGAATTCCTGGCCTCAAGCCATCCTCTCACCTTGGCCTCCCGAAGTGCTGGGATTACAGATGTGAGCCACCGCACCTGGCCTTTCTTAAACTCTTTATCCTTTTTTATTCTCTTCTTTTCATTTTGAAATCTTTCAGGATGATGCACAGAAAAATGCTTATGTTTAAAGTCTGATCTTTCTTTTAACTTGCTTATAGAATGCCTTTTTTTTGTTAACTTCTGGCTTTCCCTTGAGAGGACTTTATATACTTTGCCCTGTTTAGAAAGTTCCAAGGGGAATCAAAGCTTGTTTTTCTCAAGATGCTTTGAGAATTTCATAGCAGCATAATGGCAGCAAGGGTAAACCTTGAAAGACTATCATTACAAAGTCTAACTGTTTAATGCTTTTTAACTGGTAAGTTTAGTGTTTGCCCCTTACTGCTTTACTTAGCAAGTTGAAACTATATTCACAAAACAAAATCATACAAATTTACATGATGTTATACAGTTATATAGAGCTCTACAAATGCTCGTATCACCCTCTTTAAAATTACCTATTATCCCTTAGGCCATTGAACAGGTAACACATTTCCGCAAGGGTAGTTCAGCTTTGCTTACTAGATGCATAAGCACATTTTTAATTGAATATATGACATTCATACTATGTTTTGTGCAAAGTTAAAAAATTACTTCTTAGAGCAGTCAAATTAACATTCTAGTATCTTCACATTTTTACAGTTTCAATGAAAAAAAAAATTCTCCTAAAAGGCACTGCCTTTTACTCTTGCCCTTTCCTTCATGTTTAATTTTATCTTAATTTTTTGATAACTATAAGACTACATTTATTTAGTATATGTCATCTCAGATTAGTATAATCGTATCAGTCATTTATTTAATAACATCATCAGGTGTTCTTTCAGTTCTTGAGAGAATTGAGATTTGTAATGGTTAGTATGACTGGCATGTATTTGGGGCTTATATGTAAACATTGGAAGACATGGGCAGCAAAGATCTAAGAAATTTGTTCTCCAAAAACTGTTTTAAAGAAACATCACCTGGTATTTGCTCTAAAGTAAGCTCGTCCAAATCACTGCCCATGGACTGCATGTAGCCCAGGACAGCTTTGGATGAGGCCCAACACAGCTTTGGATGAGGCCCAACACAAATTCATAAACTTGCTTAAAATATTATGAGATTTTTGACCAGGTGCGGTGGCTCACACCTGTAATTCCAGCACTTTGGGAGGCTGAGGCGGGTGGATCACCTGAGGTTGGGAGCTCGAGACCAGCCTGACCAACATAGAGAAACCCCATCTCTACTAAAAACACAAAATTAGCCGGGCATGGTGGCGCATGCCTGTAATCCCAGCTACTCGGGAAGGCTGAGGCAGGAGAATCGCTTGAACCCAGGAGGTGGAGGTTGCGGTGAGCTGAGATTGCACCATTGTACTCCAGCCTGGGCAACAAGAGCGAAACTCCATCTCAAAACAAAAACAAAAACAAATATTATGAGATGTGTGTGTGTGTGTGTGTGTGTGTGTGTGTGTGTGTGTGTATGTGTTTTTCATCAGCTATCATTAGTGTTAGTGTGTTTCTTTTTCTTTTTTTTTTTTTTTTTTGAGACAGAGTCTTGCTCTGTTGCCAGGCTGGAGTGTAGTGGCGTGATCTCGGCTCACTGCAACCTCTACCTCCCAGGTTCAAGTGATTCTCCTGCCTCAGCTTCCCAAGTAGCTGGGACTACAGGCACACGCCACCACGCCCGACTAATTTTTTGTATTTTTATTAGAGATGGGGTTTCACCTTGTTGGCCAGGATGGCCTTGATATCTTGACCTCGTGGTCCACCTACCTCAGCCTCCCAAAGTGCTGGAATTCAGGCAAGAGCCACTGTGCCCGCCAGTGTTAGCGTATTTTATACGTGGCCCAAGACAATTCTTCTTCCAGTGTGGCCCAGGGAAGCAAAAAGATTGGATACCCCTGCTCTAAAAACATAATTATTTACATGGATATACAGTGAATAATTAACTGTGACTATATTCAGTGCAGGTTAACTTGAGGCAGTATTGTAGGGTATCAAGTTCAAGGACTTAGAGTCAGAAAGGTTGAATTCAGATCTGTTTTGTTACTTCTGGCTGTGTGAATGATCATGGGCAAGTTACCTAATCCCTCTGAGCCTCACTTGTAAAATGGTGCTCAAACATCATAGCATTATTGCGAGGATTAATATGCCAGTGCATGTGAAGAGCTTAGCATAGTGTCTGTCCCATAGCGAGTACTCAGAAATAGTGTTATTTTGTGTAGTTGTCAATAATTAATAAATAATAATCACCATTCAAAAATGTTTGAGCAGGCTAGGTATGGTGGCTCACACTTGTAATCCCAGCATTTTGGAAGGCTGAGGCAGGCAGATCACTTGAGACCAGGAAGTTGAGACCAGCCTGGCCAACATGGTGAAACCCCGTCTGTGCTAAAAATAGAAAAAATTAGTCGAGCGTGGTGGCACATGCCTGTAATTCCAGCTACTTGGGAGGCTGAGGCACAAGAATCGCTTGAACCTGGGAGGCGGAGGTTGCAATAAGCCGAGATTGGACCACTGCACTCCAGCCTGGGTGACAGAGTGAGACTCTGTCTAAAAAAAAAACCCAAAGATGTTTGAACAGCTTCTATCTGTGCCAGGTACCCTTTGGTGCTGGAGATACAGCAATAAATAAGAATCTCTGACCTCAAGGGATGAATAAGAGTATCTGACCTCAAGGAACACACACTATTTATCAGGGAAAACAGATGTGTTAAGCTCATGTAACAGTCCAGTGTGATTGGGAGGAAAGATGTAAGTGCATGTTCTGGTGTGGCACAGAGGAAGCTCAGTTACCTACCTCCTTAAGGGGTGAAGTTGGAAGGATCCCCATCAGCAAAGGCTCACTGGGAGCACTGACAGTTTAGTTGCATTTTGAAGAATGAATTGGAGTAGTACTGACAAAAATACTATAATGCAGTGGTGGATTCCTGTTGTTGAGAAAGCCAAGCTGTAATAGAGTAGATTATATTACTGCCGGAGAGCACATGGTATTGGTTAGGTATCTAAATGTATATGGGGTAATGGAAAAATGGAAGTTCCTAAGAAGATCAGTCCTAGTTTGCATTTTGATTGACATTTTTGTATCCTCAGACTTTGAAATACTCGTGGGATATGAAGTGGAGGTGCCTAGAGGGTTGAAGATAATGAGGACAGATGAAGAAATGTTTGATTGTGCCATACTTACAGTTGCTGATTTTCAAGGTGTGGGTACTTCCTTAGCCTTATTCTCTGTGTTACCTTTCAATACCATTAGTAACAGTTCTTTAAAAGCCAACTTTACTGAGGAATAATTTACAGCCAGATATACCTGTTTTATGTGGACAGTTAAATGATTTTTTTGTTTTTTGTTTTTTTTTTGAGATGGAGTCTAACTCTGTCACCCAGGCTAGAGTGCAGTGGCGTGATCTTGGCTCACTGCAACCTCTGTCTCCTGGGTTCAAGCGATTCTCCTGCTCAGCCTCCCAAGTAGCTGGGACTACAGGCGCCTGCCACCACGTCTGGCTAATTTTTGTAATTTTAGTAGAGACGGGGTTTCACCATATTGGTTAGGCTGGTCTCGAACTCCTGACCTCAAGTGATCCATCCGCCTCAGCCTCCCAAAGTGCTGGGATTACAGGCGGGAGCCACCATGCCTGGCAGGTAAATGAGTATTTTCAAAAGTCAGGTTTGTTGAGGTATAATTTAAGTACAGTAAAGTTTACCCTTTTTTTTTGGTGGAGCGGGGGCAGGATCTCACTCTGTCACCTAGGCTGGAGTGCAGTGGTGTGATCATAGCTTACTGCAGCCTAGTCTTCCTGGCTCAAGTGATTCTCCCACCTCAGCCTCCTAAGTAGCTGGGACTATAGGCGTGTGCCACCAAGGCCGGCTAATTTTTTGATTTTTTTGTATAGATGAGCTCTTTCTATGTTGCCCAGGCTGGTCTTGAACTCCTGGGCTCAAGCAATCCTTCTGCCTTGCCCTCCCAGAGTGCTGGGTTTACACGTGTGAACCAATGTACCAGGCCAAGTTCACCTTTTAAAATTATGTAGTTTGATGGTTTTAACACATATATCTACCCATGTAACCATTACTATGAGATCAAGATATAGAACGTTTCCATCATTCCCATACTCCCTTGCAGTCGGTTCCCACAGCCCCAGCCCACTGATTCGTGTTCTGCACTGTAGATTAGTTATCCTTGTCATATAAATGGAGTCATATGGTATATACTTTTTTGTGTCTGGTTTCCTTCTCTGAACATGAGGTTTTTGAGATTCATTCATGTTATTGCTCAGTCTGATACACTGATAATGATCCATGGACTTGGGGCCCAAAAGAAATAGGTTCATGACAAAGTTAAGGACAGGAAGGTAATTTTTATTTATTTAAAAATACATGCAATAATAAAAAAATTAAAAAGAATGTATGAAAGAAAAATGAAGTGATTAAAAAAATGAAACAAAACATGTACACTGGCACTGTTTTTAGACCTCTGGTGTTTATTATCATTAGATATGTTGCATAGTGTAATTGGAAGAACATTGAAATGACCATGAAACCTGGTTTTCTGGTCTATATATGCTACAGACTTCCTTTGTGACCTTAGACAAATCATTCTCCTTGTGGGCCTCTTTTTCTATAAGGTGCCTCTTAACTTTAAAGTTCCAGTCCAGATGCAGTATAACTAAATACCTGGATAGAAAAGGATGAAGAAAATTTTAATAGATTGACCAGCTTGAAATGTCAGTCTCTAAGAAGGGTACAGAGCATTTTATATTGAGTGCCAACAGCAGAGTGCATAGCCTTTGTTATGTCTGTCCTTAAGTCTAGTAGGCAAAGTAGCTGCTAGACTCTGAACTGTCCCTTCTTGTTTTTTTTTTTTTGTCTTTTTGTTTTTGAGACAGAGTCTCGCTCTGTCGCCCAGGCTGGAGGGCAGTGGCTTGATCTCTGCTCACTGCAACCTCCGCCCCCTGGGTTCAAGTGATTCTCCCACCTCAGCCTCCTGAGTAGCTGGGATTACAGACGTGCACCACCATGCCTGGATATTTGGTTTTTTTTTTTTTTTTTTTTTAGTAGAGACGTGGTTTCGCCATGTTGGCCAAGCTGGTCTAGAACTCCTGGCCTCAAGTGATCCGCCTGCCTTGGCCTCCCAAAGTGCTGGGATTACAGGTGTGAGCCACCATGCCTGGCCTTGTCCCTTCTTGTTATACTCCCGTAGGTGGTGGTTTTGCAAGTTAAGAGCCACACTAAGTCATGTGAAGTATAGGGAAAATGCCCACTCATTGAGTTTTATGCATAGAGACACTCAGAGAAGAAAGAAAGACTGGTCTTATTTATGTATGTATATGTAAAACTATATGTGCACAGAAAGCTAGATATTGTGCTGCATGTGGGAAGATTTTAATCATACCTTCTTATTTTGAAAAGACACCTTACTGCCCCATCAAGTTTAAATTGTAGGGGAAGGGAAGAAAAGGTGGGAATAGGAAAAGAAAACAGCTGTCTATCAAACGGTGTACAAAGGAGCTTATGTCCACTATCTTATTTAATCCTCTGAACACTCTTTTGGAGGGTCTATCAGTCAAGGTGCAGTCACAAGGAAAATAAATTGTAGTAGGTGTTATAAACAGAGAACATTCAATAGCGAGAATTGCATAATTGGGTGTTAGAAGAATAAAAGAACAACAACAAAAAAGGCATGCTGAGGTACCCCAGAGTTAATAACTAGAGGAAGTAGCTATCACCTCTAAGTCTGGGAGAACAAAAGGGGAGGTAGTGTTACCAGAACTAGGAGCTTGGTGGAGATCTCCTGGAGGGCTGGTGCCTGGACCTCTGGGCATAAGCTTTGGGTAGCTGGTACTCAGATCCTTGGCCTGACAGGTGATTGATAGGCCCAGGCAGTGAGGTCCAGAGGATGAGTGAGCATGGCAAGGTTGATATTCTGACTGCCAAAGAGCCACAACCCACTGCTGCTGGTACCTCTATGGCTTTTCACCAGACTGTTGAAAGAAGCTAGAGACTGGAATTAAGTTTCTGTTACAGCTGGAGCAATACTGATAACAGCTGGGAAATAGGAAGGAAGGCCCTTTTCTTACCTTTCTGCCTTCCGGTTTGGTGAACAGAACAGGAAGGAGCTAGCAAAGGAGTCTTGGAAATGAAGTTTGCAGAATCTTGGCCCCATTGTCACAGAGCACAGCATAAAAGGGTAGGTTTGGAGCTGAGAGACAATAGGTAAATAACCAGGACAGTAAATATCATGCATATTTTACAAAGAGAACACTGAAGCTGAAAAGGTTAAATTATTTGCAAAAGATCATTTAAGTGGACAGATCTGGAATGTAAACCCAGGCCTGTGCTGTTTCCACTATCATATTTTGTCTAATCCAAGGTGCCATTGATTGTTAGAAACACTGTTATTTTATGTACCACTAAGAAAAAATACAGTACTGCCAGCCAGGCGCGGTGGCTCATGCCTGTAATCACAACACTTTGGAAGGCCGAGGTGGGCGGATCACCTGAGGTCAGGAGTTCGAGACCAGCCTGGTCAACATGGCGAAACCTTGTCTCTACTAAAAATACAAAAATTAGCCAGGTGTGGTGGCGCGCCTACAGTCTCAGCTACTCTGCAGGCTGAGGCAGGAGCATCGCTTGAACCTGGGAGTCGAAGGTTGTAGTGAGTTGAGATCTGGCCAGTGCATTCCAACCTGGGCGACAGAGTGAGACTCTGGCTCAAAACAACAACAAAAACAGTACTGCCAATTTAATAAGGCATCAATTGTAAAATACATACCAATTTCAGATTTTTTTTTTGAGACACCCATCTCATTCTGTTACCCAGGCTAGAGTGCAGTAGCATGACTATGACTTACTGCAGCCTCAACCACACGTGCCCAAGCAATTTATCTGCCTCAGCTGCGCCCCCCACCCCCCACCCCAAGTAACTGGGGCTACAGGAACACACGACTGTGCCAGCTAATTTTTGTATTTTTTTTATAGACAGGGTTTTGCCATGTTGCCTAGGCTGGTCTCGAATTCCTGGTCTCAAGCCATCCTCTCATCTCAGCCTCCCAAAGTGCTGGGATTACAGGCATGAGCCACTGCACCCGGCCTAGGAGATTTTTTTAAAGTAAAAAGAAAAGAAGTAGAACCTTAAAACTGATTAAATATGGCATATTATGCTGCCTTGTAAAGAATTTTGTTTTGGAGTTGTTGATTTTGAAATACCTAGGAGATACCCAGGTAAAACATTTAGTAGGCAGTTTTAAAATGTGGAGTTATAGCTCAGAAGAAAGATAGAAGTCAGAGATACAGAGGTGAAGGTCATCTGCACACCAGAGTCGTGATCCAGAAACAACCCTGGTAACTTGTTTTTTGGCTTTAACGGTCTCTGAGTCTATTATTTCTACCATTTATCCTTTGCCTATCTCTTTGTGATGGCATCTGCTGGTAAACCTTGATATTATCTTTTATTATTCAGAAACGCTTTTTTTTCCTTAAATTTCCACAAGCAAGATCATTTTCTTTTCTCTCTTTTATTTGAAAAGTACGTGACCTGCCAGCATGCAGTCTTCACAGGATGCAGTTGTGAAAGTACTGTTATGGGTATGGTAGTGAAAAGCAGGTCTCCAGAAAATATAGGTGGTGTTTTTATGGCTTCTGTATTTTTATAGGTCCAGCATGTCTGGCTTGCACCTAGTAAAGCAGGGCCGAGACAGAAAGAAAATAGATTCTCAACGAGATTTCACTGTGGCTTCTCCAGCAGAATTTGTTACTCGCTTTGGGGGAAATAAAGTGATTGAGAAGGTAAGTTGTAACTTGCTGAATTATTTTGTCAAAAGCACTTAGGATTTAATGCTTGCCTAGATTTGTTGTCTAGATTTGCTCCCAATTGATATTTAGTTTCTCAGAGGCTTTGCCTCTTTATGTGAATTTTAGCCTTTCTGCCTCCCTAGCATCCTATTAATATAATTTCACTGTTTTCCTATAATATGTATTTACCACAGATAATTTAATCATAGCTAATTAAGGAGTTAAAATAGTGCTCATAAAGTTATTTTTGAGTCCCAGCAACTTGGGGGGCTAAAATGGAAGGATCACTTGAGCCCAGGAGTTCAAGGTTGCAGTGAGCTATGGATTGTGCCACTGCACTCCAACGTGGGCGACAGAGGGACCCTGTCTCAAACAAAACATGTTTTTGAAAGATCTTGTGGTTTTACAGGGTGGGGCTGCACTGATCTGACAGGGTATGAAGAATTGATTAGCTTGTGGGTGCTGGTGGGGAGATAATATGCCACAGCACTGGTTTGAAAGCTAAGGGAGTAGAGAGAGTTTCAGAAGAGAAGGCTTAAAGAGTTTGATACACTGTGACTTACTGGCTTCCACCAAGTATTTGAGATGTTTCAAGGGAATATACCACATGATATACTTAGAGATTCCAGGTATTTTGAAATGTAATTCCGTGTCACTTTTGTCTAAACCATGTCAGAGCTGAGAGGATGACTTGGCTGAAATAGCTTCCAGTGATTAAAAGATTAAAGGATGGGGACCTGTATTTCCACTCCTAAAAGTATTACTTCATCAGCATCCTTTTATTAGTCTTCCAATAAAGACAGATTATGTGTCTATTAGTCTGTGTTATCCTTAGAGGCATGACTGCAAGATAGGTAAGGAGACGAAAGGTTTGTTTACAGAAAGTCTCAGGATTATTCTATTTTTCTACAACAGTGACCATTCTTTCTGAGGCATTCTCTACAATTCTAAGGTATTGGAGTTCAGTATTTTGGAGAAAAGTAACTAATACCAGGGTTTTTAAACATGTTCAGTGCTCTGTACCTCATTTTATTGCAACAGAGAAGAGTGCATGGCACTGCACTGGTTGGCCTTCCCCCATTCCTGATTTCATAATATACCATACCCACAATATGGTAGTATGGTAGAATAATTCACAAAGTCACAGATTTAAGTAATTGTGACTTTTCCCTTCAAATAAATGAAGTTAGAAAGGAGTATGTTTTAGCTGGCACATACTCAAGTATTTGCTTAGTTAACATTTAAAGATACTGCTTGGCCTTGGGGAAGCCAGTTTCTAACAGTCTGGACCAGTAACAAGAATTCTTGGTTGAAAGTATGACTTTTACACAGAAAGATAGATATGTAAAAATTCTCTCATCTCTTTTCCTCCATTGTTGCTTTTTTCTGCCTTTTCTTCCCATTCCCATCTCCTTCCCCCTCCCAGGTTCTTATTGCTAACAATGGCATTGCAGCAGTGAAATGCATGCGGTCTATCCGTAGGTGGTCTTATGAAATGTTTCGAAATGAACGTGCAATTAGATTCGTTGTCATGGTCACACCTGAAGACCTTAAAGCCAATGCAGGTGAGTTATTAGCATTATGAAAGCATCACTCTCAAAACTAAAACATGGAACAGCACAGCCTTTAAGTAGGAGAATGTTAACTTAGGGGGATTCCCAAACATAGGACTTCCAAGTAAAATCCTTTTAAAATAATTTCTGTTTAAAATGTGTCAGTAATAGACATATAAAAATGATTGCACTATAGTCAACCTCGATACAGATTCCTGTGTCCTAGGGATAAGTAGGAAGAAATTTAACAAAAGTGTTGATTTGGGCTTTCAAGTGTATGCCTTTTTCAGTGTTAAATATTTGCTATGCCACATTCTTTGGAATGCGTAAGTGGAAAGATTTAGAAGGAAATGCTGTTTTTTCCTTATGCGTTATATTGAATTATAGAAAAACTTTGGGTTAAGATTTTTTTTTTCTCTTCCTGAGGGAGAGACCTTTTGGGACCGAAGTGTGTTTCACTCTGTAAATTCGGCTACATATTCTTTTTACTCAGATGGTTCTCTGTCTGATAGTTGTAGATAAAGACTGTTGGTATAGCTGAAAGATATGACTAGTCTTTCTTCTCCATACCTTCTATCACTAAGGTATAATCTCTTAAGGTAGAGTACCCACAGATAATGTGAAGAGCTATGTTTTTTTACTTTTTTTTATCTTTTACTCCTAGGAAGCTGCGAAAAAGAGCTATCCTTTTATACTTATTTTAGTCTGCATATGTTTTTTCTTTGTTGAGACAATGGTATTATGATTATTCCTAAGAAAGAAAGGTTATTATATCATCTTATTTAGAAATTGAGAAGACACCAATTTATTAGAAAGCAAATGTTATATATTAGATCATTCTTGCATTGCTATAAAGAAATACCTGAGGCTGCGTAATTTGTAAAGAAAAGAGGTTTAATTGGCTCACAATTCTACAGGCTTTACAGGAAGCATGGTGCTGGCATCTGCTCTGCTTCTGGGGAGGCCTCAGGACACTTACTGGGGGAAGATGAAGGGGGAGTAGGCACATCACATAGCCAGAGCAGGAACAACACAGAGAATTGTGGGGAGGGTGCCACACACTTTTAAACAACCAGATCTCATGTGAACTTAGAGTGAGAACTCACGTATCATCAAGGAGATGGCCCAAGCCATTCATGAGGGAGCTGCCCTCATGATCCAAACACCTCCTACCAGGCCCCATTTCCGAGACTGGGGATTACAATTCAATATGATATTTGGTGAGGGACATACATTCAAACTATATCATGTTATTATATGAAATCATTTAGATGCACACTTTCACATCTCTGAGCCACAAGTTTCATACTTATAAAAGGAAGATCCTAATGTCTAATTCACTGGATAATTGTAAAGATGAGATCATCTATAATAAATACAGATTAACTTGCGTGGTTTTTTTCTTTTTTCTTTTGAGAGGGAGTCTTGCTGTGTCACCAGGCTGCAGTGCAGTGGTGCAAACTCAGCTCACTGCAACCTCCGCCTCCTGGGTTCATGCAATTCTTCTGTCTCAGCCTCCCAAGTAGCTGGGACTACAGGTGTGTGCCACCATGCCCAGCTAATTTTTGTATTTTTAGTACAGACAGGGTTTCACCATGTTGGCCAGGATGGTCTCGGTATCTTGACCTTGTGATCCACCTGCCTCGGCCTCCCAAAGTACTAGGATTACAGGTGTAAGCCACTGCGCCCGGTCCGGTTTCTTTTTCCTCATTCATTTCTACCTGGTACTCCAATTAATTCATTTATTCATTCACTTAACATGGAGACTGACAGTTGAATAAGATGTGATCTTGTTCTAGGAAACAAATGATTTCAATACAATGAGGTAAGTGCTATAAAAGAAACATGCACAGGGTCCGGTGAGAACACAGAGATGAGACATCTAATTCTTGGGGGCAGGCTTAAGAGAAAGCTTTCTTAGGCTGAGTGTGGTGGCTCATGCCTGTAATCCCAGCACTTTGGGATGCTCAAGCGGGTGGATCACTTGAGGTCAGGAGTTTGGGACCAGCCTGGTCAACATGATGAAACCCCATCTCTACTAAAAATACAAAAATGAGCTGGGCATGGTGCTGGTGCCCGTAAATCCAGCTACTCGGAAGCTGAGGCAGGAGAATCGCATGAACCCAGGAGGAGGAGGTTGTGGTGAGCTGAGATCGTGCCACTGCATTCCAGCCTGGGCCACAAAGCGAGACTCAGTCTCAATGAAAAAAAAAAAAAAAAAGAGAGAAAGACAGCTTTCTGAAAGAGATTATGTCTAACCAAGAATGAGTAAGAGTTAGTGAAGCAATTGGGGGGAGAGAAAGGTGTACCAGACAGAAAGAACAGCATTGCAAATGCATAAAGGTATGACACAAGTGGTTTTCTAGAAATTACGGATGGCTACAAGATGTGATGTAGTATTTGCCAAGGGGGACCTTGTTTTCCATCCTCAAAAGCACAGACTTTGTCTTTTAAGGAGAGTATGTGTGTGTGTTGGACATCTAAGGATTTGCATTTTAAATGAATGTGTTTTTTGGGGTGTGTGTGTGTGTGTGTGTGTGTGTGTGTGTGTGTGTTAACTATGTAAAAGTTGAAGAGTATAATGAATCCCTTCCCATCTACCTGTCATGCAATATCAATAATTATCAACTTATGGCGAATCTAGTTTCATCTATATTCTTAACCCCGTGCACAATTATTTTGATGCAAATCCTTGATACCATATTATTCTTCATGTTATCTGTGAAGATACTCTACCTTAAGATTAAGAGATTATACCTTATTGATAAAAAGCATGGAGGGCCAGGCATGGTGGTTTACGCCTGTAATCTCAGCACTTTGGGAGGCCAAGGCAGGCGGATCACTTGAACCCAGGAGTTCAAGGTCAGCCTGGACCATGTGGTGAAATTGTCTCTACAAAAAATGCAAAAATTAGCTGGGCATAGAGGCGCATGCCGGTAGTCTCAGCTACTCCGGAGGCTGAGGTGGGAGAATCACTTTAGCCCGGGAGGTCGAGGTCGCAGTGAGCCATGACCATGCCACTGCATTCCAGTCTGGGTGTCAGAGTGAGATCTGGTCTCAAAAACAAACAAACAAACAAAAAAGAAATCTAAACCAAAACAATACTAAAGATTTTTTTTTAACTTACAAAACTCACAAAATTGAAGACATTGATAATACCTAACATAGGTGAGAGTATTTGGTACCCATGTTGCTAGTGAGAGTCTGAAAATGTGAATACCTTTTGACCCAATAGTTTTATTGCTAGTAACATATCTGTGGATATAATTGGACAGCCGTACAGAGACACACATTATTTTATTATTTTTCAAATTATACATAATCTGTACTTCCATTGATAAGTTAGTAGTCAAATGAATTATATAGGCTATTGAAATATTAGGTATCCATAAAAAATATTAAACATATATATACCAAAAATATATATATTTATGTACAGTAAAGCATAAACTGGTTGTCTTTGAGGTGGGACAATAGGTGAGAGTCTCACTCTGTCCCCCAGGCTGGAGTGCAGTGGCGCAATCTCGGCTCACTGCAACCTCTGCCTCCTGGGTTCAAGCGACTCTCATGCCTCAGCCTCCCGAGTGGCTGGGATTACAGGTGCCCACCACCAGGCCCAGCTAATTTTTTTTTTTTTTTTTTAGACGGAGTCTTGCTCTGTCACCCAGGTTGGTGCAGTGGCGTGATCTCAGCTTACTGCAACCTCTGCCTCCCAGGTTCAAGCGATTCTCCTGCCTCAGCCTCCCTCAGCCTCACTCTGTCTGTGGTGGGACTACAGGCTTGTGCCACCATCCCCGGCTAATTTTTTGTATTTTTAGTAGAGATGGGGTTTCACCATGTTAGCCAGGATGGTCTCCATCTCCTGACCTCGTGATCCGCCCACCTCAGCCTCCCAAAATGCTAGGATTACAGGCGTGAGCCACTGCGCCTGGCCAATTTTCACTTTTAAAATATAGTATTGTTATATTCTGTTGTATTATCTAACATTGTTTAATAATTTGCATGCTTTCCTTCCTATAATCAAAGAGAACAATAAGCCTATTTTAATTTTGAAGAAATTCTAGCGGAATTTTTTTTAGTAGAATTTTTTTTAGAAGGGACTTAAAATCTTTTAGAAATAAGAACAAGATAATCACCATTCTGACTGGCATGAGATGATATCTCATTATGGTTTTGATTTGCATTTCTCTAATGATCACTGATGTTGAGGTTTTTTTTAAAATATGTTTGTTGGCCGCATAAATGTCTTCTTTTGAGAAGTGTCTGTCTGTTCCTGTCCTTTACCAGTGCATGTGGGGCTTAATACCTAGGTGATGGGTTGATAGGTACAGCAAACCACCATGGCACACGTTTACCTATGTAACAAACCTGGATGTCCTGCACATGTATCCTGGAACTTACATTTTTAAAAAAGAACAAGATAAAATAAATTTATTATTAGTAAATAATGGTGGATGCTTGAGTTGAAATTTGAAAGCTAAAATAAATTTATAAATGGTGGAAATGAACTTTGAGGAAGTTACTTAACTCCTCCAAGCCATCATTTTCTGTCACATATTGGGTTGATGAGAGAATTAAATGAGATAATATATATACAAAGTGCTAGTTACAGTCCCTACACGTGGTAGCTCTTCTGTTACAGGTGTCATTGCCAGAATAGGAAAATAGAGATGTTAGGTGACAAATTTGAAAGGGAATACTGTACAACAAATATATATGAGAAAGTGGTTATCTTTCTAAAGTTTCTTACAAATACCTGTTACCCTCAGTATTCCAGATAAACTCTTTCCAGACACTCCTGTAACTAACCTTTCTTGTTTAGCCAGTTTGCAAGCCATTCAGGCTCTCCTATCTTTCTCCATTCTGTCAAGCTCTGTACCAGGAAAAGGGCTTTCTCTAGGTCCAGTACCAGTTAAAGACAAAGGATGTCAGGACTAGAACTTTTTCTCGGAATAGAGTAATTGCACTTGGGCCCCTAACTGACAGACACATCAGCCTTGATATAGAAGTCATAAAGATTCCTCAGAAAGATTACATAGTGAAATGTTGGAGAATTGCTATTTTACTATAAGAGCTTCTAAATATGGGATTAACTCGTATTAGTGCTTGTGACTTAACAAACTAAGAGCCTCGAACTAAATGGTCCTGGAAATTATCCTACTAATGCTGTTTGTCCTGTGGTTACTTATGATAGTCCCTGACCTTTACGTAGTTTTGCTGTGCAATTATATTTCTGGAAAAAAAAATCATGTGTTCTCTATTAATTCGCTTGCATTTTCAGAATACATTAAGATGGCAGATCACTATGTGCCAGTGCCTGGAGGACCAAACAACAACAACTATGCAAATGTGGAATTAATTCTTGATATTGCTAAAAGGATCCCAGTACAAGTAAGAGATGCCAATGTGTCCTTTAAAACCAAATTCAGCCATTTTATAGTTAGGCACAAGGGGATATCTAGAGAAGAACATTTTTGTAAAGCATCATTTTCGAAAATTATTAAATGCCTGTGTATGGGATAACTAAACCAAATAAGGAAAAGAAAGATGGAAATAATGGAATGGCTAAAAATAAAGTAAACGTAATACAAACAGAAGGTTTGGAAGCATCTTTCAGAGATTATTTATTCTAGGTATCTCACCTTTGAGCCAGTAAAAATTACCTGTTTGTTGTGGAATATTAGCCTAAAGGATGGTGGTATATTAAAGAAGTAGGCTGTTTCTTCCCTGTCACATTGTGTTAGTAAGTTTAGGGTAGGTACCTTAAAGCCCAAAGAGGAAAAAACTCTAAACTTAGATGGCAGTGTAATCAATAATGATGTAATGGCGTGGCCATAGTAATTGAATATGTGAAACATAGCCAGTTTTTCTAGAAAACGCCCTTTACAGCCTAGGCTATGAATTGAGTTTCCTAAAGAGCAACAAGTATAACTGGATCTTAATATCAATTTCAACTTGGTTTTGACCCCTTCAGAAATCTTGCCACAATGGACTACTTATTGTTACTCTGTAAAGAGTTTGCCAACAATCAAGCATAGAAGCTGAATTAAGCATTAGGCTGCTGTGGAACTACTGTACCTCAAGAAACAGGGCCAGCCTGGATAGAGACTCTTGCAGTTTGTGGGGGTTTTGTATGAATTTTAAGAATGAATTATATTGTATTCCCTTGCAGGCAGTGTGGGCTGGCTGGGGTCATGCTTCTGAGAATCCCAAACTACCGGAACTTCTCTTGAAAAATGGCATTGCCTTCATGGGTAAGCTGTTCTGACATATTGTCCGTCTTTCTGTTTCTTTCTGTCAATTTTGCCCACATTTTACTCTATAGTCTGATTTTCTGTTTAACATGTGCTGGGCTCTCTCTCTCTTTTTTTTTCCCTCAATCTATTACTAACTCTCAGAGTAACCCTCTTCATTTCTTTCTTTTTTTTCATTTTTTGCTTATCTCACTTCATCTTGATTTTGTTTTCTGTCCCTGGGTCAGATATGGAGATATGGAGAAGGCTTTGGTTTCTAAAACTCTGACCTTTTAAAACTTTGCAGCTAACCTTAAGAAAGCATGTGGGAAAATGACCTGTTTTTAGATAGTGAAGATAATTGAATACTCAGGATGCCTTGGCAGTGTGCCCTTAAATATGAATCAGCACCTGTGCATTTAAGCATATAGGTGATACTCCTACAAGTGAGAGATACTTCTTCTGACTTTTCTGCTGTCATTATACCAGAGAGAAAAACAGAGGTTATATAGCTCAAAGTATTTTTCTCTCTGTCTCAGAGACCTTAAACAATGAAGATTATGTTTTGTAAACCTTTTTAAAGATGTCTCCTTTTTGGGTTCCCCTAAGACCAAAGAGCGTATACTATTTCAGACTTGAATCCTAAAACTTTAAAGTCCTTATTTCAGGATATTGACTTAAAAAAGAAGACTTTATTGATCTGGTGAAGTTGGATCATGAAGAATGATAACATTATAGCTAGATTTGTCAAAAATTTAATTCAGCATACATTTATATATATTGAGCTCTCACTCTGCACAAAAAGCTTACTACATTAGGTTTTACAGATGGTACAAAGATAAGTCAAAGCATAATAGTCCCCATAATTTATGATCTCCTTGATATGTGAGGGGTGGGGGGAGGACAAGACAAATACATAAATAGCTATAATACAAGGCAACTACATGTGCCAGAAATGAGGCCAAGGGGTTACAGTCAGGATTCTTTTCCTGTTTCGTTTTTAGGTCCTCCAAGCCAGGCCATGTGGGCTTTAGGGGATAAGATTGCATCTTCCATAGTGGCTCAAACTGCAGGTATCCCAACTCTTCCCTGGAGCGGCAGTGGTAAGAACTGAATTCTTGTTTGTATCTTGAAGTACAGAATAGCTCAGTAGGATATTTGGGACTTACCTCTTTTGAAAAAGTATTGGTATACTTGACAAGAAATGGAATACTGGTTGATTAATGGTACCTTGTAGCTCCTAGCTTAATTAATACACCTGTGATTCTTTTAGTAATATAAATTTAGTTCCAGGTACACAGATGCTAAATTGTGATCTGGAGTGATCTTGTGAGTTAACTTAGAAAAACTCTGGGAAAACATATATATGGTTTTGTGGGTTTAGATGTACTCTGGGTAGGCTAGAATCTTCCTCAGAGGTGGGCTTCCCAGGGGGAATTGGGTCTTCAGACCTGCCTGGGAGTAGCCTGGATCACTAGGAAAAACCTAAAACCCACTTACTCAAATGTTTCCTTGCCAATGTTTTTTTTCTTTTTTTTTCTTTTTTTTTTTTTTTTTTTGAGTTGGAGTCTCACTCTGTTGCCCAGGCTGGAGTGCAGTGGCATGATCTTGGCTTACTGCATCCTCCACCTTCCGGGTTCAAGCAATTCTCTGCCTCAGCCTCCCGAGTAGCTGGGATTACAGGCACCCGCCACCACACCCGGCTAATTTTTGTATTTTTTTGTAGAGACAGGCTTTCACCATCTTGGCCAGGCTGGTGTTGAACTCCTGACCTTGTGATCTACCTGCCTTGGCCTCCCAAAGTGCTGGGATTACAGGCATGAGCCACCGCGCCTGGCGCCAATGTTTTCTTGATATCAACCCACAATCTATTGATGATTTGATTTGACTGTTTAAAAACCATTCAACCTCAGTTGCCCTTGATGCAGAAAATGAGGTCAGTAATTAACCTTTCTTCCAGGCATGCCAGAGGGGCAAGAATTTTCAAAAAGTGATTTATTCTCAACACATCCCTTAAACAGTTCCATGTGAATTATTATAGCTGATAACAATATGAACCTTTTTTTTTTTTTTCTTAAGTACTCAAGCACTGGGAACAGACATACACTAAAACCTCTTTTAAATGGGAATGACCACTGTCTTGAGGCTGAACAGATTTGAACCCTTGTTACTCTGGCTCTCCAGGGAGATTGCAATATCCTCTCCAGATCTGCTGGGTCAAATAGTTTAAAATAAAAGGTTGAATTTGTTCTTGTTTGAATGGAGAGGCTATAGTGTTCCCCTTATGGCTGAGTACAGGGACGTTCAGAGAGCATGGAATCATGACTCTGCTGAGGCCAATAAAACCGCCATTTCTATTTCCAAGGGCTCATAAAGATTGAATTATTTCCCAGACCTCTTGGCCCTGGAGCAGGCCTGAACACACAGTTTGAAGGTATTTTGCCTGCTGAGTTGCTGTGAGAAGTATGCTATGTTCTTTTTTTGTTTGTTTTGATCTTGTACGTCTTTGCATTTTTATAAGTTGCTCCCTGTTAGTTCGGCTGGCTTTTGCCAGCGTTAAGAACCCAAGTTGCCGGGTCATGCTGTGGCTAAATCCTGTTAACCCCAAGGACTGATCAGGGTTTTATGGCATCCTTCTTTCTCCCATCCACTCTCAGTTTTGGGTAAATATGATAGCATTTCAAAGAATGCAGAGCAGAAAATTGACAAGAGCAGAAGATCTTGTAATTGCCCTAAGTTGCTATTGTCTGTTGCAGGTCTTCGTGTGGACTGGCAGGAAAATGATTTTTCAAAACGTATCTTAAATGTTCCCCAGGAGCTATATGAAAAAGGTTATGTGAAAGATGTGGATGATGGGCTACAGGTAGGTTACTAACTCCAGGGAGTGATACCTTTCAGCTGACCAGTTATAGTCACAAATGTGGAGATTGGGAGCCTGGCTCGTGATATATACCCAAGGTGGTGTTAGGGATGTAAGACCAGGAGGTGTAGTTTGAAAGTATAGAATACGCTGGTTTCTCTTTAGATTGCATAAGTCTTTTGCCTTTAAAAAGTACAGATTGAGGAAGTGACTTTAAATGTAAACAATCTAAATTCATTTTGAAGCAGGCTGCTCATCTGGACAGAACATTTCTTAGGTGATTAAGTCAGAGTTTTAAGGAGGTGCTGATTCTCTCTCTCTCTACCACCTGTTAGTGTGTGAGGGCGGGGACAACAAACAACATACTTTTTCTACTGGTTGAATTCAGAACCAAGAAGCCAGGAAGCAGAGATCAAACAGTCAGCTTTATTATGAACAGAGATGTTGATGAAAATGGCTTAAGTGTGTAGCAACATTCAGATTTGTAAACTAAACACCAGAGTTAAGCAGGCTCACTCACCCACTGGTTACTGGCAGTGCTGAATGACCACAGATTTCCCTCGACAGAGAGAGAGAGCTTAATTCAGCTTAGTGTATGGCTGAGAGCTGACAAAGAGCATATGTCCTGTGCAGTGGGCTGATCCCAAAGGGGAAAAGGCTGAGCTATGCATATTCAGTCCCTCCTTCCAAGTTGACCAATCACATAATTTATTATTTTTCCCTTGGGGAGGAGCAAGGGAGTGAACCAAGAAAGACTGAAAGTGTTACTCTTAATTATTGTCTATCCATGTAGAAATGTGAACCTAGGCAAAAGGAGATCCTTTCCCCAACATTACCTTTTCTTTCCTTACAGTTCCCTCCAATTTGTTCCCCTTTCACTTTTATAAATAGTTTAAAGTGTTGGTTATGCTTCCAGGTATAATGAAAGATAATGAAAGAGGCTATTGTAGAAAAATACACTGCTTGAGTTTGACTTGTGTCATGTAAATTCAAGAGGGATGCTGAATGTTCAAATAATTTTGTTGTATTGTTTGCATTTTAAGTTAAACATCCTGTAATCTCCTTAATAAGAAGAATTAATATTTCTAATTGAATTTCAAATGCTTTATTTTGTTTGTTATAATTTGCAAAAGAGTAGAAGCTCTTTGTAAGGAACTAGCTATTCTAGCTATTTTGCTTATCGACTAACATTCTTTTTTATTTTTTCTGGTTATAATTATAAACAGCATTTTCTGGTAGAAAATTTGAAAAGCCAAAGATGATGATAAAGCCACATGCAAACACACCATCCAAAGATAATGCCCATTAACCTATTCATTTTTTTATCCCTTTTCAACTCATAGATTTATATCATATACAAATCTTTATTAATAGATTCCTATACTTATAATTATGATAATTATAAGTTTTGGGTCTTACTATTTGTATTGTGTTGGTAATCATAATACTTTTTTCTACTTAATATTTTTTTGTCCTTCTACCTCCCCGCTCCTTACTTAACATTATATTAAAGTGTTAAAATTCTTCCAAAATATTTTTAATGGGTGACCTGTGACTAAAGCTTTCATATATTTTTAAAAGGCCTACCTTCTTACTTACTGACCTCCTATGGGATACCCCCTTTTTTTTTTAAGTCTTTCTCTTTTTTTTAAGCTATCTCTTTGATCATCTATCACTCAGCAATTGAGTTCATCATACTAATTCTGTTTATATGAGCATAGAAAAGAATAAAGAAACATTAGAAAAGGTGAGACTGTGCATAAAAGATTTTCATTCATTAAGTAATCGATTGACATAGATTAAAAATTGAAATGTTCTTTTTCTGGGTGATACTTATTTTATTTTATTTTTTTGGGTTGGAGTCTCACTCTGTTGCCCAGGCTGGAGTACAGTGATGCCATCTTGGCTCACCGCAACCTCCACTTCCCAGATTCAAGTGATTCTCCTGCCTCAGCCTCCAAGTGGCTGTGATTACAGGTTACCGCCACCATGCCCAGCTAATTTTTGTATTTTTAGTGCAGACAGGGTTTCACCAAGTTGGGCTGGCTGGTCTCCAACTCCTGACCTCAAGTGATCCACCCACTTTGGCCTCCCAAAGTGCTGGGATTACAGGTGTGAAGCACTGGGCCAGGCCTGGTGATACATTTTAAAGATATTCTTATAATGTAGCAAAACCTTAAAAGACTGGAATATTTTGACAAAGGAATGACTTGGTTATTTTATTGAAACAGGGTCTCACTTTGTTGCCCAAGCTGGAATGCATTGGCACGATCTTGGCTCATTGCAACCTTTGCCTCTCAGGTTCAAGCAATTCTCGTGCCGCAGCCTCCCGAGTAGCTGGGATTATAGGCATGCAGTACCACGCCCAGCTAATTTTTTGTATTTTTAATAGGGCCAGGGGTTTCACCATGTTGGCCAGGCTGGTCTCGAACTCCTGACCTCAGGTGATCCACCTGCCTCAGCCTCTCAAAGTGTTGGGATTACAGGCACGAGCCACTACGCCCAACCCCACTTCAGCTTATTTTAAGTGAACTCCTTATGTCTTTTTTTTTTTTAATTGTAATACATGTATGCCTGCATACTATAAGCAAGAAATTCCAATAATGCAGAAATACATACAGTGAAAAAGGAAAGTTTTATATCCACGCATCTTTCTTTGTTTTTTGTTTTTGTTTTTTTTGAGATGGAGTTTCGCTCTTGTTGCCCAGGCTGGAGTGCAATGGCGTGATCTTGGCTCACTGCAACCTCCACCTCCCAGGTTCAAGCGATTCTCCTGCCTCAGCCTCCCAAGTAGCTGGGATTACAGGCATGCGCCATCACACCCAGCTAATTTTGTATTTTTAGTAGAGACGGGGTTTCTCCATGTTGGTCAGGCTGGTCTTGAACTCCCGACCTCAGGTGATCCGCCCGCCTTGGCCTCCCAAAGTGCTGTGATTACAGGCGTTAGCCACTGTGCCCGGACCCATTCTTTTCTAAATCATTGCTGGTATGTACTCTGGACTTCACTTCTTTGCACTTACATGTGTGGGTGTATGAATGCATATATAATTTTGTTTTTGACCCATGTGACATTACTTTAGATTGAACCATAAGAAATTGCCTATATTCAGTCATTTTTTTAAATCTATGAAAAAGGCAATTTCTTTTGGTTCAACCTAATACTACAAATATTGTTCTACTATTTATTTTTTCATAGTGTATCTTGAAGATCTTTCTATTTTATTGTATTTAGAATTACTAAATGACTGCATTCTTAAAGGGAGAAAAATGCCAGTTTTCTCCTTCCCTGGTAATAACACTGTTTCTTCTATTTTTTTTTTCTTTCTTTTTGAAGGCAGCTGAGGAAGTTGGATATCCAGTAATGATCAAGGCCTCAGAGGGAGGAGGAGGGAAGGGAATTAGAAAAGTCAACAATGCAGATGACTTCCCTAATCTCTTCAGACAGGTAGAGTATAAGCTGTTTTTGTTTGTTTGAACTAACATGTATATCAGAGATATATGATTTAACTCATACTATAATTTGGATGCCCAGAAAATATTTAATTTTTAATTTTGTCTATAGCTAACTGTCTTTCTCTCTAGTTTCTACCTGCATATTAGCAGAGAAAAAAGGTTAATGAAATGTCCAACTCAATTTTAAGTTTTATTTAATTAGGTAATTCAAACAGTAGAGTTATTCTGTCTTATATAAACGTGCTCAGTTTGTCAGATAGCTCTTTCCTACATGGTGCGTATGGCTTATAGGACCTCATAATGACAAAGAAAAATCAATACCTTTCTGTATTTTTGTGCCCCTGTTCTGCTGACTTTGTAGGTCATATGTGATATGGTGGTATGATACTGATATGGTTGCTCTTGGCTTGGCCAGGCCCAGGCTCTCTGATTGACTTTTTCTCACTTTAGTTCACATTGCCTAGAGACCTCTGAGTTTCTATCATATGTCTCATCTACCCTGCTGTCCCAGCACTCTATACCCTAGCCCGTGTTGCATGGCCACCACACCCTGGCACAGGAACCCTATGGCAGGCCTACAGTATATAGGAACTGAGAGTGACTCAGGAAAGCTCGATGTAGGATCTCTCTTTGCCTTACCCTCTGCTTTGCAGCCAAGTTGATGTGGCCATACTATACATTGGTTGCGGAGACGACCAAAGAAGTGATGTCTTTTTAGAATCTTAAACAGAAAGAGAAAAGGGAGACAGGGGTCTCTTTTTGTTCTGTCCTCAGAGTTACCCTCACATATTTAACTCACTTTTTTTCCTCCTACCAATACATAGTAAAAGATTTGTCAAAAAATGGAAAATTGGGACAGAAGTCTGCTCTTTTCACTCTCCTAGCTTCCCTCTTTTTCATAGTTTCCTCATCATCTTCTACTTTGCACTTCTTTTACTAGTGTGCCATGCTACCTTTTATTTCGCTTTTTTTTTTTTTTTTTTTCCCTTAAAACACTTAGCAGCAAACTCCTTGCTTCACTGTTAAGAGTTAAAAGGAAAGTCTTATGAGCTGGGTCTTCCATGATTTCATATACAGGTGGTCCCCAACTTAAAATTTCAACTTACAATCAACAAACAAACAACTTTACAATACTGTGCAAGTGATAATGCATTCAGTATAAATCTTACTTTGAGTGCCCATACAGCTATTGTTTTTCACTTTCAGTACAACATTCAGTAAACTACATGAGATAGTCAACACTTTATTATAATATAGGCTTTGTGTTAGAAGATTTTGCCCAACTGTAGGCTAATGTGTTTTAAGCACATTTGAGGTAGGCTAGACTAATCTATGGTGTTCATTAGGTTAGGTATATTAAATGCAATTTTGACTTAGAACATTTTCAACTTATGTTGGGTTTATTGGGACATAACCTTATTGTAAGTCAAAGAGCATCTGTACTAGATAAAGGAAGTGATAAAGGTGTTGTCTTGGCCAGGATTGGTGGCTTATGCCTATAATCCTAGCACTTTGGGAGTCTAAAGCGGGAGCATTGCCTGAAGCCAGAAATTTGAGATCAGTCTGGAAGATAAAGTGAGACTCTATCTCTACAAAAAATTGTAAAATAAATAAATCAATAAATAAGGTATTGTTTTGCTACATTATCCTATTTTAAGTGTCAGAAATTGAATATTACCTTGGGTTTTTTTTTTTTTTTTTTACATTTTTTTCATTGAATTCTAATTTCATAGGTAGATCAGTGACTCAGAGAGTCTAGAGAAAAAAGACTGCTCTTAGAAGCAAAAAGAAAAAAAAGGCATGTTAATTAATGTTAACTCTTACAGACATTTCAAAACTACTCATTACTTATGGAATCAAATAGTGGAAAAGTCTTAAAACACTAAGGGAAGGTTTTCTGTGAAAGTCCTTAAGTTTCAATACTAGTTGGCTGAATAAACTAATCCTCCCATTGGGAACAAACTAGAAAAGCTGAACCAGATATATATATATATATATATATATAGATAGATAGATATAGATATAGATATATTACATTTTACGGCATTAGAGACCATTCAAGACAGTGAAGAATTATGGGGCTAACATACAAGAGAAAAAGGAAACCCAGAGATGTGAGCCTGACATATGAGGCTACTTTTCCCCTAGATATATCTTCTAGTTCAAGATAGTAGAAAGGCTGATAAGTTTTCAACAGTCTTAAAAGACTAAGAGGGCTTCCTGGGGAGGGGTGCCCTGGAAAACCTCCCACATTTTAGGTTAGGATCTTTAAGGACTGACTACATCATGGGAGAAAGGGTGAACTGGAAATAGACTAGCCCTCACAGGGACTAAATCTTGGCTTCAAAACATTCAACCTCTGATTTAAGCAAGATGTTTTAGGATTGCTAGTGCTTCTAGACACCTGCAGGAAGCAAATGTAAATCCTTTCCAGAGAAAGATAACATCCAGAACTTAAAATTATTTCTATTAATTTTTCTTACAGCTTATCAACCACTCAATTGAAAATAGGCATACAAAATTAGATGATTGAAAACCAAGAAGAACAAAACAGTAGAAACAGACCCACAGAGGGTTTATATAATGAGATTATCAGACAAGGACTTTAAAGTAATTCTGCGTAATATATTCAAGGAAAGTAAAGGCAAGATTGAGAATTTTGGTAGAGAACTGGAAATCATAAAGAAGAAACAAAAGTTCTAGAACTGAAAATGCAATAACTAAAATTAAGAAGTCAATATCAGGGGTTCAAGACCAGCCTGGCCAACATGATGAAACCCCATCTCTACTAAAAATACAAAAATTAGCTGGGCCTGGTGGCACATGCCTGTAATCCCAGCTACTTGGGTGGCTGAGGTGGGAGAATCACTTGAACCCAGGAGACAGAGGCTGCAGTGAGCTGAGATTGTGCCACTGCACTCCAGTCTGGGTGACAGAGCAAGACATTGTCTTAAAAAAAAAAAAAAAGAAGAAGAAGAAGAAGTCAATATAGGAGTTTAAAATTATAGCATATTAGATGCAGTTGAAGAGAATCAGTAACTGGCACTGGAGACTGAGATGGGAGAATCCCTTGAGCCCAGGAGTTTGAGGCTGCCTTGAGCTATGGTCATGCCACTGCATTCCAGCCTGGGTGACAAAACAAAAAAATCTAGAAAAAGATAAATAATTAACGACTGGTGAGTAGATCAGAAGGAAATTCAGACTGAAGCATGAAGAAAGACAAAAGGATGAAAAACATAGAGCAATGTGAGAAATTATTTGCAATGGTTTTGTAGTTGTTGCTCTTGCTGTCTTGGAGCAAGCCCTCAGACTACCATGTGAAGAGCCCATTCTAGCCTACTAGAGAAGGAGAGGTCACATGAGCAGAGATGAGTTGTCCCAGCTAAGGCCTCCTAGTCCTACTAGGACAGTCAGCAGCACCACATTTGAGACATGTAAATGAGACCATATTTGACCATCTAACCCCAGTTGAGCTGCCAGATGACTATAGCTGCATGAATTACTCCAGGCAAGATCAGAACTGCCAGTTGTGCCCAGTTCAAAATGCTGATCCACACACTCATGAGCAAATAAAATAAAATGGTTGCTATACCAAGTCACTAAGATTTTGGTAGTTTGTTAGGTATCAATGGATAATTGACACAGAAATTGATACCTAACGGTATGATGTTGCCATAACAGAAAAGTAAAACGTAAGACATTGACTTTAAAACTGGCTCATAGGTGTAGGCTGAACATTGGTGAGGAGGATGTTAATGAAGACTGGAAGAATGATGAATTGTTAAGGGAGGCTGGAAAAGCAGTGTAGTAATTGTTACTGGAGTCTGGAAAAAAGATCCATGTTCTGTAATAATGGAACAATTGGCAAAAAAATGTTATCTGAGGTAACTTGGAAGACAAATAATATATTTAATGAAGTCATGGATCTGGTTAAGGAGCTCTCTACAAGTGTTTAAAGTATCTGTGGAGTGCTTCTAGTTGCTTATGCTAAAAAACTGTAAAAGAGAGGTAAGCTAAAGAAGATGTTTTGCTTACAAGCAGAATTTACAGAAATGTAAAGGACCCAGAACTTGTTGAAAATAGAATTGTTTCTCATCCCGAGTCTCTCCAGCTGGCAAAAGATTTGCAAAGTAAAAAATGCCTCAGAGTAAAGACCAAGTCAAGAGTGCCTGTGACTTTAAGGCCTCAGAAATCTTTAAGGTAGTAGCTAATAAATTACCCTTTCAGCTAGAAAGATGCTTCTAAGTATCTTTTTTTTTTTTTTAATGCTTTCAGCTGGAAACATGCTTCTAACTATCTTTTTTTTTTTGTTTTCTTGAGAGGGAGTCTCACTCTGTCGCCCAGGCTGGAGTGCAGTGGCGCGATCTCGGCTCACTGCAACCTCCACCTCCCAGGTTCAAGTGATTCTCCTGTCTCAGCCTCCCGAGTAGTTGGGATTACAGGTGCCCACCACAATGCCTGGCTAGTTTTTGTGTTTTGACTAGAGATGAGGTTTCACCATGTTGCTCAGGCTGGTCTCGAACTCCTGACATCAGATGATCCTCCCACCTTGGCCTCCCAAAGTGCTGGGATCACAGACATAAGCCACCATGCCTGGCCCTAAGTATCTTAAGGGTACTGTCTCACAGCATCCTGACGTGCCCAAAGTATAGAGAGGTCTATGCAGACATGAGTTGTGGATGTGTCTCTTTGGGTGAGCGGTGAACCCCAATATGATTCATAGGAAACCCACAAAGTTGTCAAGAGACTTGTGTTGATGAATGCACCAAGGGACTGAAAGGGCCAGAAACAGTTCAAAATGAAAAGTGACCTCTGAGCCTTAAACTTTTTAATGAGCAGGAAGCAGACAGAAAGCTATTCAGCTGTAAATAGCTGTCATTTCAAATAAAAAGAGGGATTTCTCAGAGAGTGGAGTCAGGAGCCCAGAGGGCAGAGCTAGGAGCAGGGGATGCCATGGATTAAGGACCTACTCCCAGGGAACCAAACTAGATCCTGAAAAACAAAACAAAACAAAACAAAATGAAAAGCATTCCTGACCCTGGAGTAAGGGAATCTGACAGCATGTACCTATCTGGATTTCAGAATTGCTATGGACCAATGACTACTATGTACCTCCTATTTCCTCCTCTTTGAACAGCAGTCTCATTTGCAGTTATCCCCTCCCAATATCATCATAAATATTGGGAGTGTTGGGCCAGATAACTTGTCTTCTTAGTTCCCAGGTCTTTGGATCAAGAGAAACTGTACCTGAGGAGTTGCACCCAAGGAACCTCATTTTCTTCTGGACATGACTCATGAGAAAATGGACGTCAAGCCCAATGCCATGATTGGATGAGACTTTGGGGGTCTTGGGAGGGGGTGAGTCTGTTTTGCATGTGGGAGGTATGTGAATTATTGTGGCCATAGGGTAGAGCATAGTAAGTTGTTTGCAAGAGATGGCGACAATAACTCCTCCCATTCCTGTATGTACACCCTTTGCAATGTGACTTTGCTGTTCCTCCCTTCCAGGGGTGGCATCTATTTTCCCTACCCCTTGAATCTTAGCTGGCTTTGTGGCTTGCTTAGACCATTAGAATGTGGCCAAAGTGATGTATAAATTCGAAAGCCTAGACCTCAAGAGGCCTTACAGCTTCTTCCCCTCTTGGAACACATCACTGAAGAAGCCTAGTCTAGCCTGCTGCAGGATGAGAAGCCACCTGCATTGGAGATGAACGATTCCAGCTGAGGCTCCCTAGACCTACCAGCCAGCAGTCAGCACAAATCACCAGACATCTGAGTGAGACCATTCTACCCCACTCAAGCTACCAGATGATGATATGTATGTAAGTGCAAGACCAGAAGAAGAACTGCCCAGATGAGAACAACATCATAAAAGGTTGATGTTCTAAGCAAGCCACTGAGTTTTGAGATGACTTGCTACATGGCAAAACAGAGCAAAAAAGATACAGAGCATAAAAGACATATGGTTATGTGAAATGGTCTAACATCATGTACTTTAAGTCTCAGAGGAGAAGAGAAAGAGAATGGAGCAGAAACAATAATTGAAGAAATGATGAAGCAGAAGCCATATTTGAAGAGAGAAAAGCTAAGAATTTCTTTGAACAGATAAAAGATACCAAGGACAGATTCAAAAAGCACTATGAGCCTCAAGCAAGACAAATACAAAGAACCACATCTATGCTTATCAGAGTAAATCTACCACCCTCCCCCCTATAAAAGACAGAAAGAGAGAAAATCTTAAACCAGCTGAGGAATAAAGATTACTTTCAAAATAGTAACAATAAGATTGACAGTTGGCATCTCAGTAGAAACAGTGAAAGCTGAAAATCATTGGGATTATTTAAAGTGCTGAGAAAAAAAATAGTTACCATTTTAGAATTCTGTCCCCAACAGTAATATTCTTCAAAACTAAAGATGAAAGTCCTTTGGCTGCAACAATACCATATATGATGTAATGTGAACCAGGAAAGTATCTTGTCTGGAACAAGTTGTACATTTGGTTGTACAGAGTACAGGATGGCAGTATTTTGCCCTGTTGTTGGATTTGTGTATGTGCCTATGTTTTCAAATATTTTGTTGTTTACCTTTGTGATGCACCAGATGTTCGTATGTTTTCATATTTATCAATTAATATTGGTTATGTAAGAATGCAGCATCTTAAAGATATTAAAGATGACAGCATGGACTGTATTTTATTCAGTTTTGTATTTCTGCTGATTAACATGGTTCCTGACACTTCTGGACATCTGCTTGTTGAAATCAAAGTAGCTTATCAAGATAGATAAAAAGTTTAAAATTTAAGAATTGGTTTTTTTTTTCCCCCTTTTCTAATACAGGTTCAAGCTGAAGTTCCTGGATCTCCCATATTTGTGATGAGACTAGCCAAACAATCTCGTCATCTGGAGGTGCAGATCTTAGCGGACCAATATGGCAATGCTATCTCTTTGTTTGGTCGTGATTGCTCTGTACAACGCAGGCATCAGAAGATTATTGAAGAAGCACCTGCTACTATTGCTACTCCAGCAGTATTTGAACACATGGAACAGGTACATATATTAAAAGGCTTACTTTATGTTTTCTTACATAGAACATTTTTCATTCAGTTCATGTACCAATCTGAGAACAATGGCATTTTAAGCAACGATTCTGAATAATTAATAAAATTATATCCTTTTCTTAGAGAAAAAAAATTCTACTGTTCTCCCACTAAGAGAATTGTCAAGGAACATGTCAAGCTTCTAAAAGTAGTTAACGCTTTCTAAAAAAAATCAGCGTACCATTTCAGGATACAGGGATAAAGAAGAGAAATGTTTTGGAATTTTTAATCTTATGATTGATTTTTTTAAGAGGCTCATAATCAGGTAGTTTTATTTGCTGGGTTGAGTATCATCAAGTCTTCAGCTGAATTTAATCAACTCTATTATCGTTTTTGGAAAGTCCTCTAAATATCTTCAGAGTTCACACATTCTATCTTTTTGTATAGAAAGTAGTTTCTCAAAGTCATGAGCGATGCCTTCGGAATAACTATAGTTTAGAGGCCTGAACATAGTCTTTTCTGGAGTCCTAACCCAGTCTCTACATCAAAATAGATTCTTCAAAATATATTTCATGTGTGTTAGAGGTCTATTTCCTATGTTGTGTATATATTAGGATGTACTCTTGAACTGCTGTAATAAAGATGCCTTCAAAATACAGTGGCTTGGCCGGGCATGGTGGCTCTTGCCTGTAATCCTAGCACTTTGGGAGGCTAAGGCGGACAGATCACTTGAGCCCTGGAATTCGAGACCGGCCTGGGCAATATGGTGAAACCCTATCTCTACTAAAAATACAAAAATTAGCTGAGTGTCATGGCACACGTCTGTACTCTCAGCTGCTTGGGAGGCTGAGGTGGGAGGATCACTTGACACTGGGAGGTCAAAGCTGCAGTGAGCCTTGATCATGCTACTGCACTCCAACCTGGGTGACAGAGCAAGACCCCATCTCAAAACAAATAAATAAATAAGCAAAATACGGTGGCTTAAACAAGGTGTAAGTTTCTATTTCTCTTTCATCATAGTTCAGAGATGAGCTGTTACCAGAAACAGGTTTATTGCTCACCTGTTGCCTGTTTTTGTAAATAAAATTTTGTTGGAACACAATGATGCTTATTTATTTATGTGTTATTTATGGCTGCTTTATCACTACAATGGTAGAATTGAATAGTTGTGACAGAGGCTATATGGCCCACAAAATTGAAAATAATTACTATCTGGCTCTTTACCAAAAAAGTTTGCCAAACTTTGCTCTTGGACATTGTCATCTTCATGATTAAGCTAACTCACACAAGATTATGTTCACATTGTGGCCTGTGGGAGGAAGAGACAGGGGATGTGGAGGGCAAGCATATGGAAGCATGATCTTGAAGTCACATACATCACTTCTGCTCACATTCCACTGGACAAAATTCAGTTACACAATTATACCTAGCACAAAGGATGTTAGGAATTGTGATCACTAACTGGGTGACCATGTGCTCAGCAAAAATTTCGATTTTATTCCTAAAATGATGAAGTAGAGAAAAGTCACTGGAGGGCATTTCATAATCTGTGCCTCAGTCTGTTCCTCTGGCTACCTATTATCCCTTTATCCTTTTTCCTACTTTCAGAGCACACATAGCCTTTGTCCAAGGAAGACAACCTGAAGCCCCATCCAGTTACTAGTAACTGGATGGGTTATTACTGGAGGTGATTCCGGATCTCTATATGATGTATATTCTTCTCCATTAGATATGTATTGTGGCTTTTCATGGGCCAGTGACTCAAAATACAAGTTATTTACCCAGTATTATATCCCCTGCCTTCACCATACACCCATATACAATGATGGAATAGGAACAGGATAACTCTCATTTGGAAAAATGAAAAATACATAGCAATCGTTGGTCCATAGCAGTTATCAAATCCTCCTTTTTAGGTAGGAATTGCAATGATTCCCTGCTATATAATAGAATACTACCTCAGTTAGACCTGGCTGTCCCTGGTTCTGCTACTGCACACTCCAGAGAAGTGCAATAAGGGAGTAAATCCCTTGTTCATTGTCCTTCAAGACACCTGACATTGTTTTCTGGGAAGTTCTTCCTCATTCAGTTTTCTCTGTGAGTTGGGCTTTGGAGACTATGCCTTCTTTGGCAGAACTTTCACAACCCACTTCCTGCTGGTGCAGGATTGAGGGCACAAATATCCCAATCATCAGTCGCAGGCTTTTGAAGGCCAGGTTTGTGGTTTGTTTAGAAATACAATTCCTTCAAATACTTAACTAAGCTTCTGGGCTATTTGCTTGCAATCAGCTTTGGGTTGGATTAATCATACTCATAGATTTCTTCTAGATATAGAAACTTTTCTTCTATTATTTACTGGCTTCTGTGCTTAGCCTATCTCTCTTGCCTTGATTTAATATTGGCTATCTTGGGGCCAGCTGAAACTAAAGCAGCACGTTTGATCTTTGACACTGAGTTGCTTCAGGGTGATAATCTCATTTTCTGTTTGGGGGGATACAAAAGAAGTTGGCTTTTTCGACACTCTGACCCTTTCAGACCATCTTTTTTAAGGTTTAGTTGGTGTGTGGTCAGTATCCCAAGTTATTGTAGGAAACAGTTTACCAAATGTTGTGTTATCCCAACAAGGAGATTATCACCTTTCCAGCCTGCAGTATCTGTTTCTCTGCTACCCACTACCCTTTTGCTAAGCTAGCATCTCATATTTTAATATTTTTAAACAGCAACATTCTACCTGCACTTAATAATTCCTGTATCGATTAGGATACAGGTTAAACTGCTATAACAAAAAGGTCCAAAAAACACAGCGGACCCCCCCAAAAATAGAAGTTTATTTTTCTCTCCCATCCTAGTCTGAGGTGAGCTTTTCAGGGCTGGTGGAAGTGTTTTATTCCACGAGACCATCTTGGGATTCAGGTTCATTCTTTCTTTTCTTTTTCTTTCTTTTCTTTTCCTTTCTTTTCTTGGTGTTCTTAGTGTGTTCTCATTTGCATGATTGAAGTTGGCTTATACTATCATGACTATGTTCCAATGAATAAGAAGGAAAAAGCCAGGAATAGAGAATGAGACATTTCCTTTTCAAAATATGACTTAGGGCTGGGTGCTGTGGCTCACGCCTATAATCCCAGCACTTTAGGAGGCTGAGGTGGGCGGATCACCTGAGATCAAGAGTTCGAGACCAGCCTGGCCAACATGATGAAAACCCATCTCTACTAAAGATATAAAAATTAGCCTGACATGGTGGCATGTGCCTGTGATCCCAGCTACTCAGGAGGCTGAGGTAGGAGAATCACTTGAATCCGAGAGGCGGAGGTTACAGTGAGCCGAGATTGCGCCACTGTGCTCCATCCTGGGTGGGTGACAAAGCGAGACTCCATCTCCAAAAAAAAAAAAATATATATATATATATATATATATATATATATATATGACTTGGGAGTTATGCATATCACTTACCAATGCTGGTGTCCTGTTTGTCAAAACTTAGCCACTAACCAGGCCAGGCATGGTGGCTCACGCCTGTAATCCCAGCACTTTGGTAGGCCAAGGCGAGTAGATCACTTGAGGTCAGGAGTTTGAGACCAGGCTGGCCAACATGGGGAAACCCCATCTCTACCAAAAATACAAAAATTAGCCAGGCATGGTGGCGCATGCCTGTAATCTCAGCTACTTGGGGGGCTGAGGCAGGAGAATCACTTGAACCCGGGAGGCAGAGTTTGCAGTGAGCCACGAGATTGTGCCACTGGACTCCAGCCCAGGAGACAGAGTGAGACTCTGTCTCAAAAAAAAAAAAAAAAATCTAGTCTCTAACTAGTTAGCTATGTTTCTAGAAAGAAGAGGAGCATATTGGAAATACTGGAAACTGGACAAGAGTCTGTCCCCATGTTTTTTTGTCTGCATGCATTTATGTCTGGTGGGGTGAGGTTGCTTTTGATGCAAAGTGAAAAATGCTCTTTTCTCCCGATTTTTCATTGAGTTTTTCATCCTTGTCCAGGGATATTGTATAATAATCAGAAATGTGCTCTCATGTGGCTAAAAGCTTTTGATGGCTCTTATACACACTGAACAGTTGAGTCAGTGAGAGGCTGTAGTGGTCTAGCAGTTGGATAAGGTGAGATACTTATGTTTGCTTATCTCTCTTCTTTGAGTGTGCGGTGAAACTTGCCAAAATGGTGGGTTATGTGAGTGCTGGGACTGTGGAATACCTGTACAGCCAGGATGGCAGCTTCTACTTTCTGGAATTGAATCCTCGGCTGCAGGTAGAGCACCCTTGTACAGAGATGGTGGCTGATGTCAATCTCCCTGCAGCACAGCTCCAGGTGAGTCTCCCTGATCTGGGTTGCAGAGCCTAGAAAAGTCAGAGAGGCCTGAAAAATGGGTTTAACCAGTGTGTGATAAGAGAAAAGCACCTCCTATCTGAGTCACACCTAATGGTCATTTCTCTTTCACCCTGTATGTGTTATGCATGTGTGGTTTGGTTTTCCTGATGTAGTACAGACATAGGAATGTTATTTTTTCTAGCCAGACACATCTGATATAATGTGTCATGTTTTAGAAATAAATGTTAATAATGTATGCTTTATTCAATTATTTAGCTATAGTAAACTTCACAACTTTGTATTATAATTATTCCCTACTCATTTTTGTTTTTTTACTAGTGTTCTTTATTGAAATAATTCTGCATCAGAGATTAGTGGTTGAAGTTTTTCCTTACAAGAGTGTGGTAGCACACATATATTTTTATAATTTGTAAAGTGCTTGCTGTCAATATTATTGTCTTCTCTCAGCCCAGGAAACAAATATTATGGAAAGCAGTAATAGTTAATGATAAGGCTTGATATTATTTTTATCTAACATTTGCCCACATCGAGAACACCTTCTGGGTTCCTATTAAAGACTAAAGATTTACTTACTTCCTCCAGTGGTTTGCAGGGATGGAAGAGATAATTATGACACAATTAAGACTTTCTAGCTGTCTGTTTTTGGATGGCTATTAACATTTACTCCTCTGTTGGATATTTTCATTCTTATTACGTGATGGAGAAATGACAACAGGGGAACTGGTGTCTGTTGCATTAGGAATGTGGGGACTTCTTTAGAAGTGGAGAATATTCTAACTACTTATCTGTAGTGATATATTGTATTTCAAGCAACTTAGAGTTGATGATTGTAGAATACAGGTTATAAAAATAGAATGTTTTAGGGAGTGGCTCCAAAAATAAAAATATTTTAGGTTATCTGATAGCCTCTACACTTTAAGGGAAGTAACTGAAAAATTAAAGATGTGTGTTTTATTACCTTTCAGATTGCCATGGGGATTCCTCTATATAGAATCAAGGATATCCGTATGATGTATGGGGTATCTCCCTGGGGTGATTCTCCCATTGATTTTGAAGATTCTGCACACGTTCCTTGTCCAAGGGGCCATGTTATTGCTGCTCGGATCACTAGTGAAAATCCAGATGAGGTAACCCATCACTTAAAAGGTTTATACCTCCTTTTAATGAACTTTAATGTTAAGATAGTATCTGAAAGTATACTTCTGAAATATCTTGGGACTTCCTCTGGAGTGGGAAACATAGAGGTTTCTCAGAGCAGATAAGTAAATGGTTGTTGCTTCATTGGTTACTTAATCCCACTTAAGTCACTGTAGAGTCTTCAGTGGGTCTGTGGCACTGGGTCTTGGCCTTTATCATTTTTGTGTGTCTTCTCTGCTTCTGTGTGTGATTAACAGAGAACTTAAACAATGAATATATAAATCTTCTCTTCCTTCGAAACATAATATGGTCTCTCATTCTTTATTCTCTAACAGGGTTTTAAGCCCAGCTCAGGAACAGTTCAGGAGCTAAATTTCCGCAGCAATAAGAATGTTTGGGGATATTTCAGTGTTGCTGCTGCAGGGGGACTTCATGAATTTGCTGATTCTCAGTTTGGTCACTGCTTTTCTTGGGGAGAAAACAGAGAAGAGGCAATTTCGTGAGTATAATAGCATTTGATTGCATTTTACAAAATAAATTTGTGCTAATCTTAAGTGAAGGTGTGAGCATGGGAATAGGAATCATCTGCTGTCAAAGTAATAATATGAACAACCTTTTTGAAGAAATTTTGAATATCTTTAATTACACTTGCATTCATGTTGTATTAAATTATGCAGTGCTTGGCAGATGTTTTTCTGTTTGTTGTTCTGAGCCTTTTGAAGTATTTTTCCTTTCAAATATTTTTGATAAATGTATAAAATTGATTGCTTTAAAGGTATCTTATTTTTCCACAGGAACAGTATTGTTATTGAGGGGAGGTAGATTCTTGGCCAAGAACTAGGTATCAAATAAATCATAGACTTTTATTTTATTTTTTTCTTGTGAGAAGACTTAAAATCTATTAGCAATTTTCAAGTACACAATCTATTGTTATGAGCCATAGTCACCATGATGTACTCTTATAGTTATTTAAAATAATAAAATTATACTGCTCATATTATGAAAAGGACATAAAGAAACTGTCTACATTGCTAATACAAGAGACCTTAGCATGCTGTATATAACAGCTTATGCAAATATAACTGCTATATCATAAATGTTAGATAATATTCTATTAATCATAAACAATGAATATTAAATTAACAGCACTTTTGCTTGCCTAAAACATAGGGCTGAAGGAGGTAATTTTAACAGCTTAGATCTTTTGGAATATCTATCTAAAATTGAAACTTGAACTAGTTCTTTTCTGTTTTTTAATGGTTTATTGCCTTGTATCAAACATTTAATACCATTCCCTTTACCTTTGTACTGTACATGGAGTAGGTAATTAATAAGTGTTTATTAGTATTAATTACTAATAAATAGCATTTGTTTATTAGTAATTAATCCTAATATATGGTTGTTTGTATTAATAAACACTTATTGATTAGTTTTATATTTTTATCAATTTCCTGAATTAATTAATTTTAAGAGGCAGAGTCTTGCTCTGTCACCCAGGCTGGAATGCAGTGGTGCCATCATAGCTCACTGAAACCTCGACCTCCTGGGCTCAAGCAATCCTTTTGCCTCAGCCTCTTGAATTGCTGGGACTGCAGGTGTGCACCATCATGTCCAGCAAATTTTAAATTTTTTGTAGAGATGGGGTCTCCCTTTGTTGCCCAGGCTAGTCTTAAACTCCTGGGCTCTAATGGCCCCACAAAGTGCTGGTATTATAGGCATGAGCCGCTGCACCCAGCCTTGATTAATTAGTTTTTAATATTATTTTTAGAAGTAGGGAAATCTCATTATTTCTCTATTTTGTCCTTTACATTTCTTCTCATTCTTCAAAACTATAAGTGGAATTTTTCAAAATTAAAACACTGCTACCAGAAAAAAACATTGGTATGAAGTTGCCTTTTAAGCATATTCGCTGCCATATTATGCTCTGCAAAGTGAAAAAGGTTTACACTAGAGCTTGCAAATTGTTGGCTTTCTGGTGAGTCTCAACATACAGATGTGTTTTGATGGGCTCACAAAGTGTTAATTTTTTTTAATTTGACAATATTAAAAAATCAGGAGATTGAAATCAAAATATGGATTTCTGCTAGCTCTTAAAAGTAGGACTATAATGACAACATTGGTTGTACATTCTAGTTGTTAAAAGTTAGCTAATTTTGCCTGGGCACGGTGGCTCACACCTGTAATCACAGCACTTTGGGAGACCGAGGCTGGCAGATCACTTAAGGTCAGGAGTTTGAGACCAACTTCGCCAACATGGTAAAACCCCGTCTCTGCTAAAAATACAAAAATTAGCCAGGTGTGGTGGCAACTGCCTGTAATCCCAGCTACTCGGGAAGCTGAGGCAGGAGAATCACTGGAACCCAGGAGGCTGAGGTTGCAGTGAGCCAAGATCACGCCATTGCACTCCAGCCTGGGCAACAAGAGCAAAACTCCGTCTCAAAAAAACAAAAAACAAACAAACAAACAAAAAACAGCTAGTTTTGTGTGACTGCTTCTTTTCGACGGGACATAAACTTTGTAGTTAACACAGCTCCTATTCAGTCTGCCTCACTCATTTATGTTCCCAGACTGGCCTCTGTTGGCATTTAGGTTTAAGTCCTGATTTGGCAGACCACTGTGTATTTTCTTCAGGGAATGTCCTATAACCCAATCCAGAAGCCTTGTTCCTTATTTCTGACCAGCTCTGTACATTTGTCTACAGTACAAAGCTAACTAGCTTAATTTTTAGCATGTTAAAAATACGTTATCTACAATAAGTCTCCTTCTTGACACTATGCCAAAAGTTCATTCTTCAGCTTAGAGCTTTCTTTGTTTCTTATTTCTTCATTTCATTAGGTCTATATCTCAGCTTGGGGTTTGGACTCTTGTTTGCCAGAATGCCCCAACTCATATATTCCAGTATATTCCAGTATAATTTCCCATGGGTCATAATCTAAATACCATGAGAACAGGACTGTGTCTTGTTGCTGCTATATCCCCTGAACATAGTAAGCATTCAGTAAACGTTGGTTGAATGGATTAGCCACTCATTCCTATCCTTATACCTCTGCTTCAATCATACCATTCCCTGAACTCAAGCTGTATTTTCCTTTTTTTTTTTTGAGACAGAGTCTTGCTCTGTCGCCCAAGCTGGAGTGCAGTGGCACGATCTCAGCTCACTGCAACCTCTTCCTCCTGGGTTCAAGTGATTCTCCTGCCTCAGCTTCCTGAGTAACTGGGATTACAGGCACGTGCCACCATGCCTGGCTAATTTTGTCAACCTGTATTTTCTTCCCTCTGCTTCTTTGTTCTTGCTATTTCCTCTGTTCATTCATTTATTCTTTTTTTTTTTTTTCTGACATGGAGTGCCCGCCACCACACCCAGCTAGTTTTTGTATTTGTAGTAGAGACGGGTTTCACCATGTCGGCCAGGCTGGTCTCGAATTCCTGACCTCGAGTGATCTGCCCAACTCGGCCTCCCAAAGTGCTGGGATAACAGGTGTGAGCCACTGTGCCAGGCCCATTCATTCATTGTATTCAACAAATATTTACTGAGTATCTGCTATCTACTGGTTCTGGCAATACAGTGAGGTCCAAGATAGAATCTCTCTCCTCACAAAACTTTACAATCCAGAGGGTGTAAGACAATTGGCAGTTAAAATACAATGTATTAAGTATGATGATAGTCAGATTATTTAAGGGCATTATAGGATCATACAGATGAGTCAACTAACTCAGTCTAGAGGGGTTCTGGGAAGGTATCCCAGAAGACAGTGACATCTAGATTGATAATTGAAGTTTGTAGAAGTAAGTCAGGTCAAAGGAGGACACAGAAAGGAGGACAGAGGTGGGCAACAGAATAATATTTTAGGCTGAGGGAATGCCTGGACTACCTGGAATATGATTCCTCTCACAGTTATAATTATCAGCTATACTTTAGCCCATGTCAGTTTCCACATTTTTCATGAAACTGTAGGGAGATGAATTTCTCCCTTCTTACAACCTCTCCAGAACTTTGTGTAAGTATTCTGTCTGGCATTGATGATATTCTGCCATATATTTTGAAAGTGATTATTGTATTTATGTTCTTCCTTACAATCATAGTATGTGTCTTATTAGTATGAGGTACATAATTAGTATTTGTGGAAGTAAGTACCTGTCCCATGCAGGATAGACACTGGGCATAAATATACAGAAAAGCCCCATAGTATTTGAAATTCTGCTAAAATTGGATCACTTTGCACTTAACTGGGAAGTAATAAAAGTAATGAGCAAATCATTGCATAGATATCCAAAATGCAGTTTTAAAAAAAACACTGTCACATGCAGTGTCAGGCTGATATATGACTGCACCCAGAGAGTTGCTTTACTGTATGGAAATCTTTAAATTAAGCACTTGGGAAAATTCATTGAACTGTATACTTAAAATAAGTATATTTTATTGTATGTAAATTATACATAAAATAAATAAGGTACAAGGATAGGGAGAATTAATGCCCTAATTCTTGTTAGCCAACAACAAATGAATGGAATAATGGAAACTTAGTAAGTAAAAGCTGAGGGTGACTTGCATATAATTTGTTATAATTTGTTCTGTACTCATTATAATGAAATGTTTCTGATTTGCTGATGCTCTTATGGTAATATCAGTTAGAATTCATACGTTTTCTGACTTTTTGCAAATTTCCCTCTCTTGAATGCACATGAATGAGCACACTTGACATGTGCACCCTTATTTGTTTTTGGAACTGCCTCTCTCCCTTCCCTCTCAAGATTCCAAAGGAATGAAACAGTTCTTTCTTTTATTTTTATTTTTATTTTTTTGGGGGGACAGAGTCTCGCTCTGTCGCCCAGGCTAGAGTGCAGTGGCGTGATCTCTGCTCACTGCAAGCTCCGCCTCCCGGGTTCACGCCATTCTCCTGCCTCAGCCTCCCGAGTAGCTGGGACTACAGGCGCCCGCCACCACGCCTGGCTAATTTTTTGTATTTTTAGTAGAGACAGGGTCTCACCGTGTTAGCCAGGATGGTCTCAATCTCCTGACTTCGTGATCCGCCTTGTCTTGGCCTCCCAAAGTGTTAGGATTACAGGCGTGAGCCACCATGCCTGGCCAAACAGATCTTTAAAATTATTGAAAAACATTAAAGTGTTTGTTGCTGAAACAGATTGGCTTCTGTTCTCCCAGAAACATGGTGGTGGCTTTGAAGGAGCTGTCTATTCGGGGTGACTTTCGAACTACAGTTGAATACCTGATCAAATTGTTAGAGACTGAAAGCTTTCAGATGAACAGAATTGATACTGGCTGGCTGGACAGACTGATAGCAGAAAAAGTACAGGTGTGTATTTCTCCACAAACAGATGCTGGGATTGGGTTTTTATAGACTTGTGTACTCAATCCCTGCCACTACATGAAATTTATTTGATTCTAATGTAAATGGTTCTTGATCTACCTGGAAAAATCTAGGAGTCAGTGTAATTTTAGCACTCTGATGGTTCCTGTGCTTGTGTCACACAGTCATTTTATGTTCTAGCATTACTTCCTGAGGTATATTTGAAGTGAGGCATGCAGGGATTTAATTACTTTCTTTTTCTTCATTTAATGTTAAACCTGGTCCATAGTTGCCAACTTCTGTATCTACCAGATGCTGAAGAGAGAGGCCTCATTTAGATCAAGAGTTATCACTTATTCCTTAATTCCTGGGGCTATGCTAAATTATCCAAGATTTTGTATAAAATCGTTAGATTCATATAATTTGGAGGTCCAAATTTTGGCTATACACCGTTTTTCTTTGAGATTATCAGTAGCCAAATCGTTGTGTCTTTTTAAATTTATTTCTGTCAGAAGCCTATTTTTGAGCTATTCAATGATTGGCTAAGTGGAAGTCTTAGGGAGAAAAGAAGAAAGTTGTTTTTCATTTCTCTTCAAGTGGTGCCTCTAATCAAATTCTAAAAGTGAATGTGTTCATTTTTATCTAAAAAATCAGTTGGGCAGTGAGAATGGAGATTTTCATTGCTAGCTGTTTCATCACAACAAATTTGAGCCTGATTTCATTTGAGAGGCTGTGGTGCCAAGTGACCATGCATTTGATCTGCCCTCTTTTTCCTCCTTTCAGGCTGAGCGACCTGACACCATGTTGGGGGTTGTGTGTGGTGCCCTCCACGTGGCAGATGTGAGCCTGCGGAATAGCGTCTCTAACTTCCTTCACTCCTTAGAAAGGTAGGCTTTGTTTCTTGTAGGCTACACAAACTAATCAATGGCCCTGAGTACAGGGACTGAAGCTCAAAGACCCATTTATTCTTCTGTCCATTCCTGGCAGCTTATGAGTGCTACTTGTTATTCATGGACCATGGTGGCAAGAAAGAGAGGGGATGTTGACATTTATGGCAAATTATTTGGGGAGTCAAACTGCAGATTCTAGACATTAACTTATACCACAGTTAGAACAGGTTGCTTCTTTAAAAACTGGAATCCATCTGCAGTAGATATTCTGTCCTGTATAAGTATCAAATCTCTCCAAACCCTGGTGATAAAAATCTGGTATTTCTCCCTAGCACTGAACCCTAAATATTTCATGTATTACTTGTACCACCTTTCAGAAGTAAATAATTAAGGCTGATATTCAGGATGACCTCATGAGTCTTTCAAGTAGAGGGTCAGACATCTATGGGGCTAAACTAATTTCTATTGCTGATTGAGGAGACTAAGCTCTGCCTTTGAGTCCCCAGAGGAATGTTCCAAGTGGCTAATCATTTTAAAGCACTTTAATCACAGGCACTTTTATTTCCTTCTGTGTTGTTAGACTTATATCAACTCCCTTTTGAGGTATCTGAAAGAAAGAAAAGAAACAAAATTTAAAAATTGAACTGAGATTTCAGAGTTATTCAAGTCCTATGATAAGTATCTTTCACTATGTTACTCTCATGTAGTAAAACCTTCAGCAGCTTGGCATTTCTCTTCTGTATCAAATCTAAATCCCTTGGCGTGACTTTCAACTCCCTGTATACATGGGCCGCTTTTTACCAATCCAGTCTTATTTATTTCTGTTCTGCAACATATAATCTGTAACCTAGTTAAATAGTTTTCTTATTGGTGTACAAATATGTCAAATGCATTTTCCTCTACAAGCCCCCCACCCACCTCCTTTTAAAATGCTTTTGTTTTTTACTTATTTTATTATTTTTATTTTTTTTATCTTTGAGACAGAGTCTCGCACTGATGCCCAGGCTGGAGTGCAGTGGCGCAATCTCGGCTCGCTGCAAGGTCCGCCTCTCGGGTTCACGCCATTCTCCTGCCTCAGCCTCTCGAGTAGCTGGGACTACAGGCACCTGCCACCAGGCCCGGCTAATTTTTTTTGTATTTTTATTAGAGACAGGGTTTCACCGTGTTAGCCAGGATGGTCTCAATCTCCTGACCTTGTGATCCACCCGCCTTGGCCTCCCAAAGTGCTGGGATTACAGGCGTGAGCCACCGTGCCCGGCTGCCCGGCCTTTTTAAAGACTCTCAAATAAAGTTTCAGTTGCTAGGAGCAGATATGCTTACACTGAAGTTTTATAATTTTTTCGCGTTTAATCTTAATCTTTTTTTTTGAGATGGAGCCTTGCTCTGTCACCAGGCTGGAGTGCAGTGGCGTGATCTCTGCTCACTGTAACCTTCGCCTCCTGGGTTCAAGGGATTCTCCTGCCTCAGCCACATGAGTAGCTGGGACTACAGGCACGCACCACCACGCCCAGCTCATTTTTGTATTTTTAGTAGAGACGGAGTTTCAACATGTTGGCCAGGATGGTCTCGATCTCTTGACCTCGTGATCTGCCTGCTTTGGCCTCCCAAATAGCTGGAATTAGAGGCGTGAGCCACTGCGCCCAACCTTAATCTTTATCTTTAAGAACAGTTAACACATTCATGTGGTTCAAAATTCAAAAGGCACAAAAAAGATAAGCAGTGAGAAGTCTCTCTCTTACCTCTGTTCCTTGGCCATCCAGTTTCCGTCCCCTATAGTAAATTCATATTACCAATTTCTTTTCTAACCTTCCAAAGATACCCTAAACTTACATGAACATATATATGTGTATTAGTCTGTTCTCACACTGCTAATAAAGACATTCCCAAGACTGGCTAATTTATAAAGGAAAGAAGTTTAATTGAGTCACAGTTCCAGATGGCTGGGGAGGCCTCACAATCATGGCGGAAGGCAAAGGAAGAGCAAAGACACATCTTTCGTGGTGGCAGCCAAGAGAGAAAATGAGAGCCAAGTGAAAGGGGTTTCCCCTTATAAAATGATCAGCTCTCGTGAGACTTATTCACTACCATGAGAACAGTATGGGGGAACCGCCCCCATGATTCAAGTATCTCCCACTGGGTCCGTCCCACACCACAAGAGAATTATGGGAGCTACAGTTCAAGATGAGATTTGAGTGGGAACACAGCCGAACCATATCAACATGCAATATTTGTTTCTTCCCACCTCCTGGTTTTTTAAAACTCAAATGGTAGCATGCTGTGAAGCTGTTATTTACCTTGCTTTTTTAACTCAACAGTATATTTTTTAAAGTGTTTTTTAGTTCACATCTTTTTAATGTCTGTATGTTTTGTTCCACATGTGAAAACATGCGCAACATCACTAATCATTAAGTAAATAAAATCAAAACCATGATGAGATACCACCTCACACCCATTAGGATGCCCACTGTCAAAAAACAGAAAATAGCAAGTATTGGCAAGTACGTAGAGAAATTGGGACACTTGTGCACTCTTGATGGGAATGTAAAATGATGCAGCCACTATTGAAAAATGGTATTGCAATTACTGAAAAAATTAAAAATAGAATTACCCTATGATCTGGTAATACCACTTCTGGGTATTCTGAAAGAATTGAAAGCAGGGTCTGAAAGATACTTGCACAGCCACATTCATAGGAGGATTATTCACAGTAGCTAAAAGATGGGAGCAACTCAGATGTTGGTTGATGGATGACTGGATAAACAAAATGTGGCATATACATACAATACAGTATTATTCAGCCTTAAAGAAGAAGGAAATTCTGACACATGCTAAAACATAGGTGGATCTTAAGGACATTAGGGCAAGTGAATTAAGCCTGTCACAAAAAGACAAATACTATATGGTTTTACTTATATGAAGTATGAAGAGTAGTCAGACTCATAGAACTAGAAAGTAGAATGACGGTTACCAGGAACTGGGGGGAGGGCGAAATTGGGAGTTGTTAATGGGTGTAGAGTTTCACTTTTGCCAGTTGAAAAAGTCCTGCAGATTGGTTGCAGAATAGTGTTAATATCCCCAACACTATAGAACTGTGCATTTTGTAATGGTTAAGATGGCAAATTTAATGTAATGTGTATTTTACCCTAATTTAAAAAAATCCATTGTAAGATTCATAATTGATGTGATCAATTCCTTACAAACGATCATTTAGGTATTTAGGTTGTTTCTAGTCTTTTGTTATTCTAGGAAATGCTACAATCAATAATGTTTTAGATTCTCTTATAACTGTTAGAACTTTGTAGTAAGTTCCTCTCTCATCGTTCTTTCAGGGGTCAAGTCCTTCCTGCTCATACACTTCTGAATACAGTAGATGTTGAACTTATCTATGAGGGAGTCAAGTATGTACTTAAGGTATGCAGAACCCCATTGGAGCTTGCACCTTACTTTTTTAGCTATCTTTCTTTAGGTTGAGAGGCAGGAGAAAAAGTTTGATTTAATGCAGGGATGGGGGTATTAGTGAAATTACCGTCATTATTTTTGTCAGTGTCCTGAAGCAGCGTTTGTTGTTCTATGAAAATCTTTTTTGTTGTTCTTCAACTTCACATACACTGCCAAGAGATAAAGGAGAGACAGGGAACAACCACAGTTGGGGAAAATCAACTAAGGTTGCCCTCTTTGCTTACAGCAGGACTGAGCCATGTCCACAGACACTGATGCAAATAGCATCAGTGCCATGAATTTTCTTCCTCCTGACAGATCTTTCTTATCTGTATTTTTGAAGCATTCAAATTTCATTTGGAGCTGTACCTGGAAGGGACACACTGATCCTCATTCTCATTCCCTACAGGTGACTCGACAGTCCCCCAACTCCTATGTGGTGATCATGAATGGCTCATGTGTAGAAGTAGATGTACATCGGCTGAGTGACGGTGGACTGCTCTTGTCCTATGATGGCAGCAGTTATACTACGTATATGAAAGAGGAAGTGGATAGGTAAGTGGCTGTTTGAGGTCCATTTGCTGGTCATCCTGTTAGCCTTTTCTCTTATTAGCTACTAGCTCTTGGGATTTTCCCAGGCTTTTCTTGGTACTCATTTGTAGTTAAAAAAAAAAAAAATAGTACATGCACTTAACAAAAATATCAAGAGTATTAAAGTGTTTATAATTAAAAACATGTCTCCCTACCACTCCAGTGTATGTGGACAATGAAAAATAAGTTCCCCTTTTTATAAGTAACCATTGTTAAAAGTTTCTTACATATTTGAGTAGAAATTTTATATGCATATACAAGTTACACTCATGTACATACTGTTTTTCTTTAAATACATTCACAAATGTGGCTGGGCGCGGTGGCTCACGCCTGTAATCCCAGCACTTTGGGAGGCCGAGGCAGGTGGATCACCTGAGGCTGGGAGTTCAAGACCGGTGTGGCCAATGTGGTGAAACCCTGTCTCTACTAAAAATACAAAATTAACCAGATGTGGTGGCTTATGCCTGTAGTCCCAGCTACTTGGGAGGCAGAGGCAGGAGAATCACGTGAACCTGGGAGGTGGAGGTTGCGGTGAGCCGAGATCACGCCATTGCACTCCAGTCTGGGCAACAAGAGCAAAACTCCGTATCAAAAAAAAAAAAAAAAAAGAAATTCACAAATGTTCAACACCAGTTATGGTGTTATGAGAATGAAATAAATTAACATGTTGAAAATGTGTAGAACATTGCCACAACATAGCTAGGCTTCAAGAAATGTTAGCTATTACGTCATCAATATCTTTGTGTGTGTTTTTTTAAATGGTGGTACCTGTTATTTTTAATAGTCATGTGGTATTCCATTATATGATTATACTATATTTAATCTGATCCTTATTGAAGGAAATTTATGTTAATTGACATTGTAAACAAATATGCAGTGAATATGTCTGTGTGTGTGTATAATAAAGTTTTCAGGATTTTTTTTCTTTGAAGGTTGACATTCTCTACCATTCTCCTTTACATCCTGAGGTGCTTTCTTAGCTTACATACTTCCACTTGTCTCCTAGATATCGCATCACAATTGGCAATAAAACCTGTGTGTTTGAGAAGGAAAATGACCCATCGGTGATGCGCTCACCTTCTGCTGGGAAGTTAATCCAGTACATTGTAGAAGATGGAGGTCATGTGTTTGCCGGCCAGTGCTATGCTGAGATTGAGGTCAGGGTGGTGAAAGGACTGTGGGATCATGGGAGGGGAAGGTAGGAAAAGGGTCGGCTGGGATGGACTAGGACTGAAAAGTTACAGAAAGGAGGCTGGGCACAGTGGCTTGTGCCTGTAATCCTACCACTTTGGGAGGCTGAGGCAGGAAGATCGCTTGAGCCCAGGAGTTCGAGACTAGCCTGGGCAAGATGGTGAGACCCCATCTCTATGAAAAATTAAAAAATTAGCGGCGTACAGTGGCACATGCCTGTAGACCCAGCCACTCTGGTGTCTAAGGCGGGAGGATCCCTTGAGCCCAGGAATTCAAGGCAGCAGTGAATGGAGATTGTACCACTGTACTGGAGTGGTACAATTTGTGGCCTGCGTCACAAATCAAGACCCTATTTCTAAAAAATTAAAAAAAAAGGTAACAGATTGGAAATAAGAATGAAAAAGAAACATCAGTTGGCTTAATTAGAAGTGCGAACCTTAAGATTTTTAAAACACATAGGCAAATGAGGAATCTCTAGTTCTAAAAATAGATACTAGGCAATAGCACTTGTTGAATGTTAGGTGTCCTAACTGCTGGCTATCCAGAGAAAATACATGGAGGTGGGGCACAAAACAGACAAGAAATGTCATGTGATTAATTTTAAGAGAGCTAAGCATAGAGTGCAGAGGGTCACCTAACCCAAATCAAGCTAAGCTTGTATGGGAAGATATTCTGAAAGAAGAGACATTTGATCTTAGTTTTGAAAGACAGATAGTGATAGAGCAGGTGAAGAAGGGCAGGGAAGAGTGCTTAAAGTTGAAGGAATAGCATGTACAAAGACAGAAGCAAGACAGCACAGTGTATTTAGGGAACTGCAAGTATGTGTTGGTGTGGCTTGAGAATAGACTAAGGTTTAATGGGGAGGGACAAGCAAAGGTGCTAAAGAAGTAATGTGAGATCTTGAATGTGAGGTTATGAAGGATCTTATAAACCATACTAGTAAGTTTTCACTATCCTGGAGGCAGCAGGTAATCTCTGAAAGATTTAAGTGGAAAAGTAGTATGATGAGATTTGGGGTCTAGGAAGATTGCTTTTCGTGACCTTGAGGGAGGTATGTAGCAAGTAGGGAGATCTCTTAGGGGGTCTTTGAAGTACTTTGGGCCAGAAATGAAGAAGGCGTAAACCGAAGAGATGGCAAGAGAGGAAGATTTTTGAGAAAGGTTTAGAAGATATGTCTGGCTGGGTTGGTAATTGGTAGGTAAGGGAGAAAGAGGAGTGAAGAATGATCCTTAGGTTTTGGCCTGGTTGTCTTAGATTGGATTCACTGGTATGAGGATATTAAATTGTTCCTTACTTTCTAAGTACAAAACAAATATAATCACAAATTATGCCAAAATGGTTGTAAAAGTTAGAAAGGAGAAATGTCAATAACTGTTATTAATTCCTAAAGTGAGGTACTGAGAGATTTTCTAATTGCTTGCCTTGATAGTCCCTAGGAGATGATGGTAAATTCCCATTTTTTCTTGGTCAAATTAGGTGTGGTCCAACTTAGATGCTAAGGGAAAAATTTTAGTTCTTTTAAGCACTCATCTGTGTAAAGAGAGATAAATCTGAGTCTAGTTTATTTTTCACTATAGGTAATGAAGATGGTAATGACCTTAACAGCTGTGGAGTCTGGCTGTATCCATTACGTCAAGCGACCTGGAGCAGCTCTTGACCCTGGCTGTGTACTAGCCAAAATGCAACTGGACAACCCCAGCAAGGTTCAGCAGGTGAGTAGGAAGGTGCTCCGAATATTGCTCTCTAAGAGCTAAAGAACTTGGTGGTTTGGAGAGGCAAGTGATTTCAATGCTTGGTTTGCCAGTGTTTTCTTTAGCTTTGTCCCCTATTAATCTTATGCCTTGTATTTGTGCCTGTAGTATTATGGAACTAGAGTTTGCAAGAGTTACTGTAGTACTAAGATTCTGTAATTTCCTTATGATGTTTCCTCTATTGACTTCCCTCCTGGTAGCTGGGTATGATGTCTCGATTTTGAATGATAACTCTTAAGTGCAGTGGTGTGTTTGTACCTTAGATCAAAAGTAGTAGATGACTTGATCTCTTGTTGGGGTTGACAGGCTGAACTTCACACAGGTAGTCTGCCACGGATCCAGAGCACGGCACTCAGAGGCGAGAAACTCCATCGAGTGTTCCATTATGTCCTGGATAATCTGGTCAATGTAATGAATGGATACTGCCTTCCAGATCCTTTCTTTAGCAGCAAGGTATGTATCACGTCTCCTGGGGAAGGGATGTACAAATGGGATACCTATTCTCCAAAATAGTTCCAAGTCTCATAATGATTGTTTAAGAGGGAGGAAAAGAAAGCTGTTTGGCCTAGAACTCTTTCACCTTCAGTTGTGGGACTTGAGGTCTTTAAATCCATGTTTCTTATCCTTGTCATGGACTTCACATTTAATTGTGGTTACTCCTTTTTTTTTTTCCTCGAGACGGAGTCTTGCTCTGTTGCCCAGGCTGGAGTGCAATGGCACAAACTCAGCTGACTGCAACCTCCACCTCCTGGGTTCAAGTGATTCTCCTGCCTCAACCTCCTGAGTAGTGGGGATTGTAGGCACGTGCCACCAGGCGCGGCTAATTTTTTTTTTTTTTTTTTAGTAGAGGTGGGGTTTCACCACGTTGGCCAGACTGGTCTTGAACTCCTGACTTTGTGATCTGCCCGCCTCGGCCTCCCAAAGTGCTGGGATTATAGGCGTGAGCCACTGTGCCCACCCGTGATTAGTCCTTTTTAAACTGGAGAATAGGGGCAATGTTAGATGCTTACGTTGCAATTTCAAAGTACTCTATGATAGTTGGCTCACGCCTGTAATCTCACCACTTTGGGAAGCTGAGATGGAAAGATCGCTTGAGGCCAGGAGTTTGAGACCAGCCTGATCAACATAGCAAGACCCCATATCTATTGAAAATTATATAAATTTTTATTGAAAAGAAGTAGTATATGATAGTGAATTCAGATATAGTTGACTCTTGAACAATACAGGTTTGAACTGTGTGGGTCCACTTATATGTGGATTTTTTCAGCCAAACATGGATCAAAATTACAGTATTGATGAGATATGGAACCCACAACTATTTCTATACATGGGTTCCGTAGGGCTCAAGTATGTGCAGATTTTCATATATGAGTGGTGGTTCTGGAACCAATTTCCCACGTATACAGAATGACAACTATATATCTTTTTATTTGGGGGATTGTGTTAACTTGGGTCCTATTTTACCAATGCTTTCTTTCTAGGTAAAAGACTGGGTAGAGCGATTGATGAAAACCCTCAGAGATCCCTCCCTGCCTCTCCTAGAATTGCAAGATATTATGACCAGTGTGTCTGGCCGCATTCCCCCCAATGTGGAGAAGTCTATCAAGAAGGAAATGGCTCAGTATGCTAGCAACATCACATCAGTCCTCTGTCAGTTTCCCAGCCAGCAGGTATTTATAGGATAACACTATATTTTTTTCTGGCTACCAATGCCAGAGTTTATGTTGTAGGATTCCTTCCTATTTGGATCCTCCTTACTTTTTGGATGTTGTGCTTGTATACTTTTAAGCATTGTATTCCTCACAAAACTGCCTCAGGGTACAAACCCAACAGTGAAAGTACTGTATGTGAAGGATAAGTATCTGTAGTTATGAGAAAAGCACACTTGGATCATGTATACCTTATAGCTTTGTTCCTGGGGCTATTCCCTAATTAGAGGTATTTTCATGAATTGAAAATAGAGTGATATTAGTTGATTGATTGATTCATTCATTCACTCATTGATTTAGAGATGGAGTCTAGCTCTGTCACCAGGCTGGAGTGCAGTGGCTGATCTCGGCTCACTGCAACCTCTGCCTCCCGAGTTCAAGCAATTCTCCTGCCTCAGCCTCCTGAGTAGCTGGGATTACATTCACACGCTGCCATGCCAGCTAATTTTTGCATTTTTAGTAGTCACGGGTTTCACCATGTTGGCCAGGATGGTCTCGATCTCCTGACCTCGTGATCCGCCCACCTCGGCCTCCCAAAGTGCTGGGATTACAGGCGTGAGCCACCATGCCCAGCTGTTTATTTATTTATTTATTTATTTTTGAGACAGGGTCTTGCTCTGTCGCCAAGGCTGGAGTGCAGTGGTGCGGTCATGGCTCGCTGTAGCCTTGACCCCATAGGCCCAATGGCTCATCCCACCTCAGTCTCCCAGGTAGCTGGGACTACAGATGTGCACCACTATGCCCAGCTAATTTTTAAAAAATTTTTATAGAGATGGGGGTCTCGTTATGTTGCCCAGGTTGGTATTGAACTCATGGGCTCAAGCTATCCTCCCTCCTTGGCCTCCCAAAGTGCTGAGGTTACAGGTGTGAGCCACCACACATGGCCTATTGGTAGTTTTATTTTCAGAGACATTCTTACTACCTTGGCAGCATCTTTACTCTTTACCCATAAAGCAGATGTATGTGTAGGGAATATAGGTAGATAAGTGGGGAGTGATGTTTGGATCTTGACCTTGAACAGATATTGGTAAGATGATAGTTTTTGTAATGTAGTCATTAATTCATCTGGGAAAGGGTGACAAGGGATGAAATCTGCTTGCTTATGTAGCGTGATTCTCTATATAGACTACGCCTGGTAACTTCCAGCTGCTGCCAACATGTGAGATAGGAACTGCCATGTTATAAGAAGAAGATTCCTACTGGTCGTGCTATAGAGGCTGATGCTTTGGGGCATTTTGTTGGGTTGGGCCTCATTTTTTTCCCTTTTTTATACCTTAGATTGCAAACATCCTAGATAGCCATGCAGCTACATTGAACCGGAAATCTGAACGGGAAGTCTTCTTTATGAATACTCAGAGCATTGTTCAGCTGGTACAGAGGTAGTAACTTGTAACTCCAGATTCCCAGACCTGTCCATACTCATGTCTTCCTTTCTTTCAAGTGGTCACAAAAAAATTTACCTCAGATTTGACTTCAAGAAATTGGAAAGCATCTTATATCTTAGAAAGTACCTTGTCTTTTCTAAATATCTTAGAATTGTGAGCTAACTCTCATGCTCAATATTTCTGACTTCTTAATATTCTACATTTTTTTCTGTCAATTATTTATTATTATTATTATTTTTTGAGACAGGATCTCACTCTGTTGCCCCGACTGGAGTGCAGTGGCTCAATCATGGCTCATTGCAGCCTCAACCTCCTGAGGCTCAGGTGATCCTCCTGTTTCAACCCCTCTGAATAGCTGGGACTATAGCTGTGCACCACCACATCCAGCTAATTTTTGTATTTTTAGAAGAGCTGGGGTTTTGCCATGTTGCCCAGGCTCATCTCAAACTCTTGGGCTCAAATGACCCACCCGCCTCGGCCTCCCAAACTGTTGGGATTACAGGCATGAGCCACTGCGTCCAGCCTGTCAATTAATAAGGCACAGAAATTTTGTTGTTTTCTTTTTCCTTGCCATTTTGATGAAGCTCCTAATTTTTCTTCTGTCACAGGGCCCAGTATGACATTTTTTCTTCTTAGCTTATGGAGCCTATTATATTAGGTTGGTGCAAAAGTAATTGTGGTTGTTGCTATTAATACTAAAGGGATATTCACAGAGCATATTTATTTATTTATTTATTTATTTATTTTTTTTGGAGACAGGGTCTCACACTGTCATCCAGGTTGTAGTACAGTAGCACAATCTCAGCTCACTGCAACCTCTGCCTCCCAGGCTCAAGCAATCCTCCCACCTCAGCCTCTTGAGTAGCTGGGACTACAGTCACATGCTACCATGCTTGGCTAATTTTTTTGTATTTTTTGTAGATAAGAGGTTTTGCCATATTGCCTAGGCTGGTCTGGAGCTCCTAGACTCAAGTGATCCTCCTGCCTTGGCCTCCCAAAGTTCTGGGATTGCAGATGTGAGCTAAGGCAACCGGCCTCACAGAACACTTTTAACTTTAAGATACTTATAAATTTTTCAGATATCTCAGCCATTTCAAGAGTATGGTAATAATTTCTACTTAGCAGTAGGAACTGAATCAAGGTGTTGGTAGGTGGGGCTATGCAGGATTTTGTTGTCTTCTTTATTAAAAAAGGTCTTGTCTATAGTGAGATTTCTTTTAGGCTTAGAATTTAAGTTAATTTTGTAGTTCATTTTAGGCTGTTCTTTATTCAGAGGGAAAGCAGTTCAGTGGAATGTCGTGGAGGTAAATTTGGCCTTTGGGTTTATTGCTTAATAGTGTTGGATTGTCAGGTTTTTCAGTGGAGACTTTCTATTTGCCTAGGTACCGAAGTGGCATCCGAGGCCACATGAAGGCTGTGGTGATGGATCTGCTCCGGCAGTACCTGCGAGTAGAGACACAATTCCAGAATGGTAAGCCTCTTCCTGAGGACTCTCTAGCTAAGAAAGCCTTGATTCTGATAACCAACCCAAACTATCCCTATAGGACTGTGTAAGAGCTAAGCCCCCTCCTGTCAACAACACTTCCCATTAATAAACAGTCTCCTATCACTACTCCCTTAAAAACTAAACCTCTATATCCACTAGCTCTAAAGAAAGAACAACGAAACACAGCTTGATGAAATTAGGAATCCAGTGTGCTTCTGAGAAAGGGCTGAAGTAATTTTTCTAATAGAGATTACCATTCCTGTTGATATCTTTTTGACCTTGTGTAGTGTAAGTTGGTTGAGTCATCACAGGCTGAAATTGAGAAACCCATATCTGAAGAGCTTGATTCTTGGCAGCTAATCCATGAATTGAACCAGAGGCATCTAGGAAGAGCAAGTTCAGGTTTTCCAATACTTTTTAGTATATCATTTAGGTAGACTTTATCCCTGGCTTTCTCTGAAGAGCTTCACTAAATGATAAATTGTCTCTTAAGTGTGAAATAACCTTGGCTAAAATTTTAAAGCTGTTTACTGCTGACATTGCTTCCTGCCACAAGATGGCAGTGAAACATCACAGAATTTGAAACATTATCTGAAATTTGAAACATTTTCCTTTATCTGCTCCTTTTCACTTCCTTTAAAAGCAGCCTATGCCACTCATGACCAGCAAAAATCCTCATGTAGATATCAGCAAACCGCATCCAATAACATACAAAATAATACATAACAACCAAGTTGGCTTTATCCCACGCATTCAAGGTTGATCAGTTTGGAGAAAGTCAATTAATATAATTTATCATGAAATAGATGAAAGGAGGAAAAACATGCTCATTATCTCAAGATAACAGGGTGTGGAGAGGGAGCATTTGACAGAATTTAACATCCATTCATGACAAACTCTTGGAAACTAGGAGTGAAATGGAACTTTTAAAATCTTGTAAAAGGGACCCACAAAAAAATCTGCAGGATACATCATGCATTATGGTAAAACGTTGAAAACATTATCTTTAAGATTAGGAATAAGACAAGGATGCCTGCTGTCACTACTTCTATTCAGCTTTATAGTGGATGTCCTAGCCAGTGCAGTAAGACAAGGAAAAGAATTAAAGGGTATAAGAGCTAGAAAGTAATAAAGCAATATATCTGCCATTATTAAATATGATAGGGTGTCTCTTTAGAAAGCCTCAAAGGATTCACAGATTGATTATTAAATTATTTAAAATCTAACATGATTGCTAAATACAAAAGTCAACATACAAAATTCAACAGTATTTGTTTACAGTAGAGCAATTGTTTAGAAAAGCAGTTCAGGAAAAAAAAAATTAAAATAGCAGGCTAGATGTAGTGGCTCATGCTTGTCATCTTAGCACTTTGGGAGGCCAGGACAGGAGGATTGCTTGAGGCCAGGAGTTTGAGACCAGCCTTGGCAATATAGTGAGACCCCATCTCTACAAAAAATTAAAAACAATTAGCCAGGCATGATGGCACATGCCTATAGTCCTACCTACTCAAGAGGCTGAAACAAGAGGATTGCCTGAGCCCAGGGATTCAAGGGTGCAGTGAGCTATGATTGTACCACTGCACTCAGCCCAGGCAACAGAGCAAGACCCTGTCTCTAAATAATTAATTAATTAGTTGATAAAATAGCAACCCAAAACATGAAATACTAAGGAGTAAATCTAACAAAAAATGTGCAAGCCTCTTTTGAGGAAAATTATAATCAAGAATATTATAATAGTAAAGAAGATTTAAATAAATTATCAAGGTCTTAAATTGGAATGTACACTATTAGGTGCCGATTCTTCCTAAATTCATCTGTAGATTGACATTTCAATAAAAATTCTGTTAGTGTATTTGTAATGCTAATTATAAAATTTCCATAAAAGACAAGTCTCACAATAACCAAGATACTTCCAAAGAAATACAAGGTGAAAAGATTTGCCTAATCAGATATCAAGATTTAATATAAAGCCATATTAATTAAGAAATTGTGAGATAGGTGTAGAGATAGATTTATAGATCAGTGGAACTTAATGACCCAGAAACAGATCCAGCCATATATGAAAACTTATTTTATGATAGAGGAGGCATTGTAGATCATGGGGAAAGGATAGATTTTTTTTTTTTTCAATAAATGATACCAGCACAATGGGTTATTCATTTAAAAAAAAAAAAAGAGGAAAGAAAGAAATGGAATCCCTATCTTATGCCTATACACAAAAATCAATTCCCGATAAAGACTTAAATATGTACTAAAGAGGTGAAGCTGTTAAATGGTTAGGAGAATATCGTTATAACCTCAGGATAGGAAGATTTTGTTGTATAAGACACAGCAAGTACAAACTACAAAAGAAAAGATTGATTACTTAAACTCCACTCAAGAACTTCTGTTCATCAAAATACGTCATAAGGAGTCTGAAAAGCCTGTAATCCTAGCACTTTCGGAGGCCAAGGCCGGCAGATTGCTTGAGCCCAGGAGTTCGAGACCAGCCTGGGCAACATAGCAAGACCCCGTCTCTAAAAAAATACAAAAATTAGCCAGGTGTAGTGTTATGTGCCTGTAGTCCTAGCTTCTTGGGAGGCTCAGGTTGGAGGATTGCCTGAGCCTGGGGAGGTCGAGGCTGTAGTGAGCTGTGATTGCATCACTGCACTCCAGCCCCGTTGACAGAGCAGGACACAGTCTCCAAAAAAAGAGACTGAAAATATAAGCTACAAAGTGTGAGAAGATATTTACAAAATATATACCTAAAAAATAATTAGAAGTATCTAGAGAATTGGTATGAATCATCAAGTTAAAGACATCCTAATAGAGAAATGGGCAAAAGATATAGAAAGATATTTTACAGAAGAAGAAGTACAAATAATTTATAAACTTACACAAAGATGCTCAATCCCATTTGTAATTAGAGGCATATAAACCAAAACCACAATGAGAGTGGCAAAAATTTAAAAGTCACATCATCATCTTCATTGCTTCTGTACATGGAAGTACAAATTGGTATATACCACTTTGGTAACAGTTGGTCAGTACCTAATAAAGTTGAACTTATTTGTATTCTTTAACCTAGTAATTTTACTCCTAGAAAATATACTTTAGAGAAACTATTACACATGTTTACTAGGATACATATACAGGAGTATTTGTGACAGCACTGTTCATAATCTTAAAAAAGACAAGAAACAATCTAAATATACATAGGTAGAGTGGATCATTGAAGTCTGGTATATTCCTACCATGGATTACTATGCAGCAGTGAAAATGGATGCACCAAGGCATACACTGAACAAAAGGATGAATCTCAAAAATACAATGTTAAGGAAAAGAAATGGTACAGTGATTCCATTTTTTTCAGGTTCAAAAACCAGGAAAATTAAGCTATACATACATTGGTGATAAAAGTTAAGAAAAACAAAAGAATAATTAACATAAAATTCAGCTTAGTAGTTGTTTCTGAGGAGGGGTACGCAGGGGTCTTCAAAGATACTAGAGATGTTCTATTAAAATGTAATGGCTTTAAAATAACACATGGGTGTTTATTTCAACTGATACCATATATTCTATATATTCTTCTGTATATATATTTCATAATTAAACTGTTTTGTTTTGTTTTTTGTTTGGTGTGTGTTCTTTTTTTGTTGAGATGAAGTCTCACTCTGACACCCAAGCTGGAGTGCAGTGGTGCAATCTCTGCTCACTGCAACTTCTGCCTCCTGGGTTCAAGCAATTCTTCTGCCTCAGCCTGCTGTGTAGCTGGGATTATAGGTGTGTACCACCATGCCTGGCTAATTTTTGTATTTTTAGTAGAGATGGGGTTTCACCCTGTTGGCCAGCCTGGTCTCAAATGTCTGACCTCAAGTGATCCACCCGCCTTGGCTGCCCAAAGTGCTGGGATTACAAGGGTGAGCCACCGCACCCAGCCAATTAAGTGTTTTTAAAAAAGAGTGTCTTGGTATGCAGGATCTTCAAAGTAAAAAAAAAAAAAACAAGAAAGTATCATTGCTTTCTTTCTGTTAATGTCTCCCCTCACCCCGGGTAAATGTGTTCTTTTTATTTCCCCTGGTCCTATTGCCAAAGTTTATTTGTGTTGTCACTTCAAAGCTAAGTCTTGGTAGAGAAAAATATTAATGCAGAACAGCTAATTTTTAAACAGCTTCCCTTTTGGTCTAAATGTGTCTTTTATGAAATTGGCAGCTCTCTCGATATTGTAGTCCATTGTTTTTCAAATATAATTTTATTTGGAAAAAAATTGCTTATGTCAATCTCTAATATTTAGAATAATTAAAAGCCTGGTTACACTGGTCCAGTGTACTCAGTGTTCTAGGAAACCATGATAATGCAGTTTGAACGTCACTGTTCTGGTTTGTAACTTAACGTGGAATCTGAACTGAGGTGATAATCCTTTACTGTTTTCATGATTTCATAAAATTCTGACCCTTGAGAATATTCAAACACTAATTCCTCTTTACTTGGAAATTTAATTCTGAGGTAAGCTGTTTTCTAAAGAACTGAATATTACTTATATCCCATGGCAGATATCACTACAGTGTACCAGAGGCTTATGCTTCTGTTGTAAAACATAGCTTTCCTACTCAGAACTAACCTGCCCCTGGTGGCCTTAGGGAAGGCAAGTGAAAATATGCATAACTTTAGTCTCCCTACAGACCTTTTGACTTAATGCAAGGTTCTCCTTGATCTATACCTTGGGTTGGATTTGGCGTTCCTAGGCATTGCTTAGCTGTTTCAAGGACTAACAGAAGAAAATGTTGATTCCAGGGGTAGCAGTCACACTTCTCATGGATATTGCTAAGTTTGGTGTGGTTTTATTTTTTGAGCTAAAACTGTTCCTACTGATTAGGGTCAACTATTTTCTGCAAGTCAAACATGGAATCAGAATCTCAAGCTCTGGGGGAGACCTTAAAGATCATCAAGTTTAATGATATTTACATTTCTTTTTAAACAGAAATTTCTCGTCTAAAGAAATCATGAGAGAGTTTAGAGTAAGACTGGGGTTTGAGTTATTCCCAATCTTTCAGTCTTTAAGGTACACCCACCTCCCCAATTTTTAAAAAATTTAATGAAATTGAGGCCCAGAGAGGTAAAATGATTTTCCCAGGAGCACACAGTAAATTGCTAATAGAACTAGGCCTTGAACCCAGATCTTATATCCAAATTGCCTGACTCCTAGTCCAGTGTTCCTTTTACTAAATCACATTGCCAGTTTCTGTACAAATCCATCCAAGAAAATCCTTATGATGTTTCTTCTCACTGCTCGTCTCATAAATTATAGACAGTACAAAACAAATAGCATGTAAATGTGAACATTTATACATGGGTGAGAACCAGTTCTTTTCATGGTGTGCAGGTCACTATGACAAATGTGTATTCGCCCTCCGAGAAGAGAATAAAAGTGACATGAACACTGTACTGAACTACATCTTCTCTCACGCTCAAGTCACCAAGAAGAATCTTCTGGTCACAATGCTTATTGTGAGTACCATTTTTCAGAACTTGTAAAGACCGTCAATGATATGCAAAAAGTATTTTTTTCCTTTTGATGGCTATGGCCAGAGAAAAAAAACTACTGCCTTTTATAATTATGGGATGAATGGGGCTTGAGCTGTGGATTAACAGTTTCTCACGTCTACCTTTGTCCTTGGTCTGAAGGAACCTGCTTTAGTGAGAAAATGACTCTTCTGGCCATTATGCATATACTCATTCACAGGAACTTATACCTCCTAACTCTGTTTAGAAATGCCTCGTGCTTCACCATTCCTGTGGTCATCATGACAGCAGCTTTAAAATTTCATCTTATTTAGCCAATATATTCTAATTTTAACTCTTGTTCCATAGATACAAGCAATGGCTCTCATGTCAAACTTGAAAAAAAATAAATAGAAATCCAGCACTCCCCCTCTCTGACCAGAGAAATTTAAATGTATTCTGCATCTTCATTGGTCCCTTTTTATTTACATTGAAAATCTAAGCTCGGATTATTGTATTGGTAGTAAATGTATGATTTTTTTCCCTATAACTTAGTAAAATAAGAATTAGTAGGAAGTAGGAATAGGGAGTGAGCCTGGTAAGTTTGATGAGAGCTAATGTGCATTCAGCCAGTGGGTGGAATTTTTGTGGGCTGAAGGATTTTTAAAGATGACTTGCAAGTCCTTCACTCCTAGCTCATTCTGGTTGAGTTAGTTGTAGGAATTAGTACAGTAGGACTACTCCTAGAGTCCCTCACCCCATGGTCCTGAGCATTTGCCTTGCTGCTGCATGCCTGTCTTTTTGGGGACTGTAGTGCCTTTTCACTCCTAGAGTTTTCTTTTTGTCTCTTTGTGGAATTGGGATTCTTGGTAAGTTAATTACATCATTTTTTCATGGAGGAAAAAAACATACATCTTCATGCTATTTTTTATTTCTTCAGAATGAAGGGAAACTATCTACCATACACCTCTGATTAACAAGAGTGCCACTCATTCAGTTATATGCCTAGCTGGTTAACTCTAAAGCGTATCACATTTTTTAGAATAGCCACTTTAAAAAATATGTAATTATAGGGAGAGTTCATTGCCTTTGCTACCCTAGAATAGCTAGATGGTAGGGAAACGAGAAAGATGCAGTTGAGAGGGAAAAATATATATGTTAGTACAATGTAATACTTCAACTTCCCCCAAGTGACAGGTTTCAGCTAAGAAATGATACAATCTATGGCAGCTTGCTAATTTTTTTTGTCAGTCAAAAGAAGGAAGAAAGACTATTTAGATGTTTTTTTTAATTTAATGAAAGGATTGTTAAATCTCATTTGGATAAAGCCAAGACTTTCTGTCAGAAAAGGGTAATGATGAGGAGGGTAGGAGAATCTGTCAGTTTGGACCTAGAATGGGGTGGAATTTGCCTTTATAGGAAGCTAATTATGGTGAGTTTTTCTTTTTATTGTGATTACGTTTTTAAGAACTTAACAGTTTTCTGCACTAAAAATAGACCAAAGCCTAGAATCCTTGGAGCAGCGGAAGAGTAATGATTGTCCAAGACTGTCGCTGGGTTTCTTAAATTCTAATTTGTAAGATATAGGGGCTCAGCTCGCTCCTTTTGCGGAGTGATTGTAAGTAACGCTTGCCTTAAGAATCTCATTATTGGAACACGGAGCCATATTTCCTCTGAGAATTCTGGAGTAGCTTTGAGCCAGGGCTGTTCATTTCTCAAGTAATCACGCTGGTGTGATGGAGAGAGAAAATGGCAGCTGTTCGGAGCTCAGGCCTTCAATTTTCTTCAGAGTCCAGTCACTCAAGTGTGTAATTACGCGGGGGGTGCTGCAGAGGCGTTGGGCCCTGTCAGAGAACTGGTTTGAGGCTTTGCTTTCTGCTTTTGCCAGTCAGGACAGGCAGAAGCCAATGGGACTCTGACTTTCCACGCTGTTCTTTTTTTCTCCCACCTTGTCATCCTGATTACTTCTTACCTGCATGGATAGTACCCAGACTTTCTTTCCAACAGGCTGAGCTCTTTAGGGAAAAGAGCTGTTTCAGAGTTTGAGTTTGGGTGAATAGGATGGAGGAGGAGGAGGACAAGGGGGATGGGAAGAGGAGGAGGAGGAGGAGGAGGATAAGGACGGTTGAACATGTGAACCAGGAAGCCAGATTTGTCCCTTTCTTTATTTTGGTGTCATTACATTTTTCTTTAAAAAAAAAACAAAAACAAAATGAGACCCAGTAAACATAAGAGGATCTCTAAGCTTTCATGTCATTAATTTCTTTTCAAATATCAGTTGTTTTCATTTCATCTTAGAGATTTGGAAATCAAGAAGTTAATGATATGATCAAGCTCAGGGCCAGCTAGCAGTGACTTATGGAACATGGGTAAAAGCTCAAGACGGTGCTCTTTTCTGATCTGATGTTACTGAATGCCAGACATGTCTTCCTCTTTTCCTCTTTGACAACGCTTAGCTGCTCCCCCTTCCTTCTTCCTCTCCCTCCTCCTCTCCCACATCTGCATTAATGGTAGTAGCTGGTAAGAGCCATTTTGGTTGTTTGGATTATTCTTTCCTCGGATCTTAGTATCTTTTACAGATGTCACCTGCACATGGTAGCACTTTGACTCCCCCAGCTTGTGTTCTCTGCTGGTTCCCCTTTCTTTGCATATCTTGGCTTCCTGATTGATGGTTATGTGCCCAGTATTCCATTCTCTGCTTTCTAGAAGTAGGAATGTTGATAGTATGCTTTGCTGAGCTAGATGATGATTTCTGGGGCTTTTGAACCTACAGGGAGGGAGGTATCAAGAAACTCAGGCTTCCGTGAGTCAATGTCATGGGATATGCGTTGCTCTAGTAAAGAGGTACCTTCATCCTCTCCAGGTGTTAGCATAACCTGCCCAGTGGTAACTTGCCTCATGGACTCTCAAGCAGATTTCTGGTAATCTTTCACTCTGTCTGGAAAGCAAAGTATCAGGTAAAAGGCTAAAGTCCTATCAGGTTTCCTCCATTTAAAGGGACATTGTAACACAATTTAACACAAAGTCTGGAAGACCAATAGTACATTTATTTTTTGAAAGCTCTTCTTATTTCTTAAATTTAACTTTATAGGAAAAAGCTTAGAACTCAGAACATTGTTTATGTTTGCTTAGAGATATTTAAGGAACTCTTTAATCTTTAGCCAGATTAAGCTAATTGGTACAAATACAAAGTATCAACATCTTCATAGCTGTCTAGATGGCAATGTACATATCTTCTAGCCACCTTGATGGTAAGTAGTCTTCCCCTCACTACTTGTAACTTATTTTTGATACGGTCCACATGAACATGCTATAAACCATGCTTCTGTATGAGTAATGCCATGCCTATGAACCCCTGATTTGGTTTAGATGGGGAGAATTTATGATGCTGATCAGCACCTTTCCTTCCTCCACTTAACCTGACTGCAAATAATTTTGTCCAATATGTAAATAAAGAAGAAAAGTCTTTCTCAGTGATTCCACATTCACTGAATAAGGGTGATATTAACAATTGTTAAACTTACCCTATGACATTTTTTGGGATATCAAAAAGTGCAGATATGACTAGAAGAAGCTACCAGTTCATTGCTGATCCTGGGTTTAGTGCCTACCCGGCTAAATAATAGTTAATGTCTTGAGGGCATTACACATAAGGTCACATTCTTTTCGTTTTGAATTGCCTTCTAAGATCAAGTTGGACTATGTTGGTTTCTTCTGTCAGTCAACTGTGTAACTTTGGCTATGCTTTTTTTTTTTTTTTTTAAATTAAAGATGTGGTCTCACTGTGTTGCCTGGGCTGCTGTCAAACTTCTGTGCTCAAACGGTCTCGGCCTCCCATCTTGGCCTCCCAAAATGCTGGGACTACAGGCATGAGCCACTGTGCCCAGCCTTGGCTATGGGTTTAACGTTTTATCATGTTTGTTGTATTTCTGCAAATTCGAACTATTTCCTATAGTTAGCTACCATCTAGGTCAAAAGTAAAAGCAAGAAATAACTGTTTTGTACCAGTATGGCTGAATAATAATTTTCACTTCGTTTTATGACTCTGGACAGTTGGAACAGACCTTTGGTTGGTGGATTGGGATGCCAGATTTTTGCAAGTGACCTGTAATCCCAAAATCAGCAGGTTGGCTCTTTAAACAAACCTTTTTATGTTGACTAAACACATCTGCTGACCTAGACACCATCTAAAGGTATCCTTACAAAATGTTCACCAGGATTAGATGGTGATGTTTGTTTGTCCAGTTGCCCAAAAGAAGCCTGTCTCTAGGACAGAGGGTAATAAACTTCCTGTTGGATGTTAGTTGGCATCTTAAGATGGGTGGTTCTGAAAAACCCTGATGTTTTCTTGCAGAACCTGAATGCTGTGTCTAGGTCAGGGACAAGACAGGGTTGAGGAAGTTATTCTATACATAATTTTCTGTTGCCAATTTTTTTCTAAGTATTAATGATGACAGTGGAGAAAATATTTGAATGGAAAACTTCCAAGTCAGAATAGACTAACGAAAATAGTGGTTAATTCATACTGTTTGATAATTACTTCACATTTATTTATTTATTTATCTATTTATTTATTTATTTATTTATTTTTTGAGATGGAGTTTCGCTCTTATTGCCCAGGCTGGAGTGCAATGGCGCGATCTTGGCTCACCACAACCTCTGCCTCCTGGGTTCAAGCGATTCTCCTGCCTCAGCCTCCTGAGTAGCTGGGATAACAGGCATGCACCACTGCACCCAGTTAATTTTGTATTTTTAGTAGAGACGGGGTTTCTCCATGTTGGTCAGGCTGGTCTCGAACGCCTGACCTCAGGTGATCCACCTACCTTGGCCTCCCAAAATGCTGGGATTACAGGTGTGAGCCACCGCACCCGGCCTTATTTATTTATTTTAATTTTATTTTATTTTATTTTATTTTGAGACGGAATTTCACTCTTGTTGCCCAGGCTGTAGTGCAATGACGCAATCTCAGCTCACTGCAACCTCCACCTCCTGGGCAATTCTCTGGCCTCAGCCTCCCAAGTAGCTGGGATTACAGGCATGCGCCACCACGCCCAGCTAATTTTTTTGTATTTAGTAGAGATGGGGTTTCATCATGTTGGTCAGGCTGGTCTCGAACTGACCTCAGGTAATCCGCCCACCTCGGCCTCCCAAAGTGCTGGGATTACAGGCGTGAGCCACCACGCCTGGCCCACATTTATTTTTTCTAATCTCCATAGTTCGCTTTTCTTACACATACTGTTGTTTTCTCCTGAAGCCCTTTTTTACTGCCTTTCTCTCATAGTGGAAAGATAAAATAAAAAAGTGGTTTTTAAAAAAAAGTGCTTTTACGTGTTTTGCTTTGTTTTGTCTTTTAAGTTAGAGCATGATCTGTAACTGCCAGGCGCAGTGGCTCACACCTGTAATCCCAGCACTTTGGGAGGCCGAGGCGGGTGGATCACAAGGTCAGGAGATCGATACCATCCTGGTTAACACGGTGAAACCCCATCTCTACTAAAAATACAAAAAATTAGCCGGGCATGGTGGCGGGCGCCTGTAGTCCCAGGTACTCGGGAGGCTGAGGCAGGAGAATGGCGTGAACCCCGGAGGCGGAGCTTGCAGTGAGCCAAGATTGCGCCACTGCACTCCAGCCTGCGGAACAGAGAGAGACTCCGTCTTAAAAACAAAACAAAACAGAACAAAACATGATCTGTAACTATGCAAGAGGATAACTCCATTTTTAAAAATTTTAGTTTCATCTGTAAAGGTAAACCTATATTTCTTTTAAAGGGAATGCATTCTATATCAAATCTGATACAGGTTGCGGAGGTGATTAGTGTGCTTTTTTTTTTTTTTGAGACGGAGTCTCGCTCTGTTGCCCAGGCTGGAGTGCAGTGGCCGGATCTCGGCTCACTGCAAGCTCTGCCTCCCGGGTTCACACCATTCTCCTGCCTCAGCCTCCCGAGTAGTTGGGACTACAGGCACCCGCCACCACGCCCGGCTAATTTTTTTGTATTTTTAGTAGAGACGGGTTTCAACCGTGTTCTCCAGGATGGTCTCGATCTCCTGACCTCGTGATCCGCCCTCCTCGGCCTCCCAAAGTGCTGGGATTACAGGCGTGAGCCACCGCGCCTGGCCCTAGTGCTCTTATTTTGTCATGTTGGCTTTTGTTTTTAATGTTGAGACTTTAGTCTGGCTTTGTACAGAGGAGTCGAGTTGTGGCATTACCCAGTAGACTTCTTATGTTTTTAGGCATTTTGGTGGGTCATTCCAATGCTTTTAGTAAGTACTTCGGAAAGGAGTATGTTTGCTCTATTAAGAACATTAGGAAAGGGACTTAGGTAGGAAAAAATTATGTTGGTTTCCCTACCTACTGTTATCTGTCAATTCTTTCCTTCTGTCTTTCTATGGTCCTGTTTCTGGTAGTTTTACATATTCCTTTGAAATTCTGTTTTGCTCATTAGTTCTCAGCAAAAGGTGAGACTTACTTGCATTTCCTTTCTCCTGTTTGCTTTTATGCCTAGGATAGGTAGAACAGATTCTCTAATCTGTGCTACCTGTTCAATAGAACCTCTGGGTTTATCTTCACTTTAATAGCAGCTTTTATTTTTCTCACTCAGATGAGTGAATTATCTGGGTGAAATGGGTGAAAACAGTACTTGCACTTCCTTAATTATAACTCCCATCATATGTTTTATGACTCTGGACAGTCAGAGCAGACCTCTGATTGGTGGATTAGGGAACCAGAATCTCATTATATCATTTTCTCAAAAAAAAAAAAAAAAAAAAAAGGGTTTGAGAAACCTTCCCAGCATAATGGCATTGAGTATTTCAAAAGTATTTACCTTGTGATGTGGAAGGTAGGGGTTTTGGAAAAAGCATGTCTTTTATTTATACTGCATTTATTTATACTTCTGTGATAAAGGTCTATAAAGAGTATCCCTGAGATGGGGAAGGTTAAGTATGAAATAGAAATTCTTCAAGAAAAGGGCTGATAATCAAAGTGGGGAGATTAACATGCAGCAACAAGCAGGCCCTTTGGGTCTTCTTTCATGTCCCATTGGTAGTAGGGGGAGAATAAATATTTATTAAAATACAAAGGCAATTCTTTAAAAAAAATTTTTTTTTTTTTTTTTTTTGAGACAGAGTCTCGCTCTGTTGCCCAGGCTGGAGTGCAGTGGCACGATCTCGGCTCACTGCAAGGTCCACCTCCCGGGTTCACGCCATTCTCCTGCCTCAGCCTCCTGAGTAGCTGGGACTACAGGCGCCCGCCACCACGCCCGGCTAATTTTTTGTATTTTTAGTAGAGACGGGGTTTCACCGTGTTAGCCAGGATGGTCTCGACCTCGTGATCCGCACGCCTCGGCCTCCCAAAGTGCTGAGATTACAGGCGTGAGCCACAGCGCCCGGCCTAAAAATTTTTTGTTTTATTTATTTTTATTTTTTATTTTTAGAGATGGGGTCTCACCATGTTGCCTAGGCTGGTCTTGAACTCCTGGGCTCAAGCAGTCCTCCTGTCTTGACCTCCCAAAATGCTGGGGTTACAGGTGTGAGCCACCCTGCCCAGCCAAGGCAATTATTTAAAACTCCAAGTAGAGGTAGTGATATCTAAATGGATATATTTTATATGGTGTGGTGTTAATAATTACTACTACCAGTAGCTCTGTAAAGTTCAAAAAGGACAGACATTTATAAAAACTGCATTTACATTTTTTTCAGCTTAGATGGAAATTGCATGGATAATGGATGAATTTAGGGAATAAACTGATATTCCACTGGACTCCAGTAAGGATATTTCTCTCAGAATATGATTGAGATTATTTTCTTAACATTTTTTACTTCTTAGAAGAGGAAGGACCCAATACTGAATAAACCATGGATTCTATAGTAGGAGCCTGTTTTTTTCCTCTAATTCAGCTAAGGATTCACATGTTTAAGTATCATGGAATGATTCTTGGTACAGGAAGAAGAGAAATGATTTGGGATGCAGAATTGCCAGCATATGAGATGGTGTTTTAGTTAGTGTGTGTTTATAAATAAATAATTTATTCTTGTGTTTCTGTTTTGCATCCTCCTGGGTTGCTGAAAATTTGGTTTATGAGATGAAAACCACTGGGGTGGTTCTTTTTGCCTTATATCTACCTTCTTTCCAAAAGTGGGAGGGGAAACAGGAAGGCCTTTAGTCCCTGTTGTTTAAAACTTTCTCTTAAAACTTTGAGACATATCTATTATTTCTTACTCAGAATCCCCTTGGCCCCTTTTAGTGGTCTCTAATGATTCCTTCTGCGTGTTAAAAGTATAGTGTTGATTTATAAGGAAATACATTAGGAATTTTGAATGAGGGATTTGGGCTGCCTCTCCTTAGCCAAACTTCCTCTGGGATCTTCTTTACCACATTGTTTAGGGTAAAAATAATAGGAAGTTTGCATTTTCTTATTAATCCAGCTGGGTTTACTTTGTTTTCATTCCTTTTCTCTATTTTAAAATCCTATCCACCTGTTCTTTTTAATATGACTATCTATGTTCTTTTTTACATTAACAATTAGGATCAGTTGTGTGGCCGGGACCCTACTCTCACTGATGAGCTGCTGAATATTCTCACAGAGCTAACTCAACTCAGTAAGACCACCAATGCCAAAGTAGCACTTCGAGCACGCCAGGTAAGGACATTTGTTGGTTTTCTTAAAGGAGGGATGGCTTTCATAGATCAGGCAGTCCTAGACACAATGAACTTTTGCTTAATCACTTTACAAAGAACATGTTATTTTCTATATATGTGTCACGTTTTCCTCAGAACAAATGTTTTCATGTGGTATGTTTTTTTAAAGAGAAAGGAAAAGATTAGTGCTGCGTCTCTTTAAAATAGAAGCCCTTTCCCCATTAAAAAATCCTGGTATCATTCCCTTCCCTCCCTAGTAGCCCTGTGATAGTAAACCAGGGTCAGGTGGAGGAAAGGACACTCAGGGAAGAAAATAGACTCAGTATTTCTTACTTCCCAAAGGGAGCTTAGAAGCAGATGAAAACTTCCAAGTGTACAGGAAATAATCAAGTGTGGAAAGCAGAAAGATAATGAAATGAATCTTAGGCGGCAGCAATCAGAACAACCCCAGAGAAGTCCAGTTAGTTTCACCCTGCAGTCTTCATTTCCATTCCAAAAGGTTTCAGCAGGGAAGCCAAGAGTTGGCACTCCCTTTGTGTTTCAGTGCATGGGCATTGACAAGGAAGCAGCATTTGAAGCTGTTCAGTGACCTTCTGCTTTCTCTACAATTGTATCCATGTCACTGAACTACTCAAAGCTATTGAACCTCTCAGTGACCTGCTGAGGGTATTCAGATCCTACCGTGTCACTGTTTGTTTGTTTGTGACACTGCTTTCACTCTCTCTGCCCCTCACACACTCTGGTGTTACTTCCTGACGCGTTCTCCTTGGTGCCGAGTACCTGGGGCTGTCAAAGCAGCTTTCCCTAGTCTTTCTTTCTACTTCAGAGTTGTAAAAGGCTAGCTCTGCTGCATCTACCTTTCCCACAGCTGCTCCCTGCCAGACCTGATTCCCAATTAACAGCTAGTCATGCAGTCCCTAGGACCAGCAGCTTTGCAATGGTAAATCACATACACTGATGGAACTTGATCGAAGCTGTTTTCTCTCCCTTCCCCCTACCCACCATGGGAAATTGGCCACAATGCAAATCATGGTGAGAGTCAACTGAGATTCAGTATTTGGTGGCACTGGCTTTATGTTACAGGACCTAGAAGTTGTTTTACTTGGTCTCTGTTTTATCTGTGATGCCTGCACTTACAGATTTATATTTATTGCTTTTGTATCAGAGCTGCCTAATAGGAGTCTAGAATAATCACTCCGAGGAATGTGTGCCTCCTATTTTGTTCTCACTCTAGGTTCTTATTGCCTCCCATTTGCCATCATATGAGCTTCGCCATAACCAAGTAGAGTCTATCTTCCTATCAGCTATTGACATGTATGGACATCAATTTTGCATTGAGAACCTGCAGGTATATATATATATATATATATATAACCCTTTCCTGCCTATCTGGACTCTTACCTCCTTTATTCTCAAGCATAGTTTAAGTAATTAGTCACTTAATTAATTAATTTTGATTTTCCATATAATGGAGTTTCATATCTTGACTTTCTAAAATGATTTATACTTATGAATATTTTTTTCATACAAATGCTGTTAGAATTGTGGTTTAGCTTAAAAATCAAATAGGCCTGCCTTGATAGAAGTGTCCTATTGAAGTCTTTATCTTTGTACTTTACCTAGAAAGTATTCTAGGCCAGAATTAAATGACAAGGCTGGTTGATTTCTGATATATATATATATATACACACACACATTTCTCTGATGATTTATGATATTTGAATCAGATGTATACATAGGTAGTTGTTACTCTTCTGGAGACAAAGCTATTTAAGTATCATTTAATTTTAATTTTATGTTAATGCTTATTATTAAGCTTTATAAGAAGCCCGTTTTTAAGAGATTATTGTCTAATTTTACTACTAATCAGAAGGACCACCGCAATTATTTTTTAAATGTTATCTTCTCAGGAATGACTTTATATTTTTCTACCTGGAAACAAGGATACCATTGTTATATCTGGCCCAGGGGAATCTTTAGACTTTCTGTAACATTTCTTCCTGGGGAATCTAGAGGGGAAAAAAGGATGTTTTTTCTTATTTGGTTAATAGCTGAAATCTAGGGTTTCAACTGGAGTTCAAATCTAGGGTTTACCATAGTGGAGTATTGAGACAATATTTATTTTATTTAATTTTTCTGAGACAGAGTCTCACTCTGTTGCCCAGGCTGGAGTGCAGTGGCATAATCTCGGCTCACTGCAGCCTCCACCTCCTGAGTTCAAGCGATTCTTGTGCCTTGGCCTCCAGAGTAGCTGGGATTACAGGCACTCACTACCACGCCTGGCTAATTTTTGTATTTTTAACAGAGACAGGGTTTCGCCATGTTGGCCAGGCTGGTCTCGAACTCCTGACCTCAAGTGATCTGCCCGCCTTGGCCTCCTAAAGTGCTGGGATTATAGGCGTGAGCCACCATGCCTGGTGAAGACAATATTTAGAGAGTTCAGATAAATGTCAGAAAAGAATAACAGTCATAAACACTTATATTAGCATACAAATAATGCATTGTTAATTCAGTATTCCAAGAATTTTACATGTATTTACTCATATAATACAACAGCCCTATGAGGATAGGTATTTTATTTTCTCCATTTTGTAGCTCAGGAAGCTGAGGCACAGAGAGATTATGGCATTCAGAGACAAAATTCTTAGGTTTCACTAAATGCTTCAAATGCCAAATAGTGTCCATTGAAATTGTTCTCCTTTTGATGTAAGGCTTAAGCCTGTCTTTGTATCTTCTAGAAACTCATCCTATCAGAAACATCTATTTTTGATGTCCTACCAAACTTCTTCTATCACAGCAACCAAGTAGTGAGGATGGCAGCTCTGGAGGTAAGTATTTATGGTAATGGGACATGACCTTTTCCTTTGTTTCTAGCTGGTTTCTTCTGTCTATTTGGCTGCCATGTCAGTTCTAGTTCTCTGGCCTTAAGGTTGGTTCTTAAGGGTAGTTAGTCTCTTTTCCTCTGAAACAGTATGTGCTTACTCAGATACTTTACTCAAGTGTTTCATCTGAACTCATCACCAGCTTCTAGGTTCCAATCACAGGAAAATAGCTGCCAGCATTTTTCAGTAGTTTCTATTTTCCAGGTATTTGAATTCTCCCATTTCATAATGAATTAGGATTCCTTGTAACACAAAAAGCGAAAATATATGGCTGATCAGAGCATGTGTCATCTTACCATTGTGTGATTTGGGCCAAATTAAAATTGATTTTAGTTATGTTTGGATTGTCAAGCAGCTCTTATGAAATACTTCCTCAAAGGAAAGAAAGTAATAGCATTTAATGAACTGTGTTTTAGGTATTTTATCTTTCTCATTTAATCCTACAGTTACTTTAGGAAGTAAGAAGAAAGTGAGACTCTGAGAGGTTAAGTGATTTGTCCAAAATCACATAGATAATAAGTGGAAGAGTTTGCATTTGAACTCAGGCTAATCTGACTCCAAAGACTTCTGTTTCCGCTACAGCACACTACCTCATTAAGCACAAAAATTGCAGGCCCTGAATACCACTGTAAAGTTGCCAAATAGTTGTTTTTTGAAGATGGGGAAAAAGAGTGTTTTAGATGATTTTATGTAATGTAACATCACGGTAGTCTGTTGCCAGCTCTTTTGTGTTACTTTTTATTTGTACTCTGTGGTAGAGTGTAAATTATCCTACTCAGTAAATGCCAAAAGTTTTAAAACATTTAAGTGTTTTGTAGTGTTTTTATGTCATTTAATGAGAAGCTTCCTTATATACTTCCCGTGCCATAGAATCTCAGGTAGCATTTTATGTGCATGGCAAATTTGCTGTGAAATGTGTGAGGTTGGACTGACAGTTTTTGCAGAGATGTAGCCTATTGCTGTTTCTTTTTTTAATTTATATTTATTTTTATTTTATTTCATTGCTGTTCCTTTAACTCTTGAGTCAAGTTCAAGTATTTGAGATATTATATGTCAAATTATGTCTTACTGCTTATGCCTTACTGCTTTTGATCAGAGTTTGCTGAAAACTGATTTTGAGCGGGTGGGGAAGTCGGGGAGGACGCAAGACAAAGACATGAGATAGTAAAAGAGTTGAACTGTACTGTGATTGCTTGTGTCTTCTATTTTCACTCTGTAAGTGGCTCAAAATCAGCACCTCTCATTTTTCTCACTGCTTAATCTTCTGTTGAAATGATCATGCTTAATAGATTAATAGTTGTAGTTCTATATGCTGTCTTTTGCTAAAGATTAAACCTTCTCCAGGGTTTAGGTTAGTGTGGAAGAAGGTTTACAGTGCACATAGGTGTCCAGCAGAGGCAGCCTAGTTTTGTTTTCATTAGTAGTCATGGTTATAGTATTAAGACTCCAGCTTTATTAATTAAAGCAATATATGTACGTATACATAGGGCCTTGGGACTTCTCTCCCCACAGAGCACCTTCTGCCTCAGATACCTCGTTTCAAGACTCTTTTTCTGGGCTATTTTCTTAATTTCTGTTTTTGAAATTTATTTACTGAGGGTTTCTTTTGAACCAGGTGTATGTTCGAAGGGCTTATATTGCCTATGAACTTAACAGCGTACAACACCGCCAGCTTAAGGACAACACCTGTGTGGTGGAATTCCAGTTCATGCTGCCCACATCTCATCCAAACAGGTGAGTTTGAGGTGGTATGTGCACCCGAGCCAGCCAGAGGTATACCATGAGAATCAAGGGGAGTAATGTGTATGACAATTCCATGTTTTTTTAGTTAGAAATGTAGGGCAAAAAATGAACAATATGAACCAAAAGAGAAGAGCCTTTTGGTGCCCACTTCTTTGATCTAAAGAGAAAAATTATGGTCTAAGTAAGATGAAAGTTTAGGATTACTCCATTCATTCTTGCTTGTATTATGTCACTGAGGAAATAGTTTCTTTCTTTTTTAAAAAATTAGAAAGAATTTACTAGCATTTTACTTGCTAGAACTTTGCCAGAAAAATCACTCTTTTTAACAATTTAAATCAGCAATTAGACCAAAAAAATACTTTGGGTGGAATGCTTTTCTTTTCTATATGTTTGCTATGGGTTGAGGTTATATCTGAGCCAGTTTCATTATCTCCCTAAAACAGACCACCTGAATTTAGCAGTTGAAATTCAATCAGTTTTTAAAAATTACATTGCAGAACCAAACTTCTTAATCTCAAATAAATTACTGAATTAAGCCATGATAATTACATTATTTGTCCCTTCCTGTCTTTTAAAAAATAAAATGTACATATGGACGTTTTTGTTTCAGAATTGCTTTTGTTTTAAAATGAAAATACTTTATCTTATAGACTATCTTTTAAAAAGTATTCTAAGGCAATGAAAATCTAGGAATTCCACCCACACATAGGTTCATCCCCTCCTGTACTTTCATTCTTTTTAGTAATACCACAGGAAATATAAATACCACAGCCAATCTTAACCTGCCCCTCTCCATTTCTTCTTTATGGCCTTTGGTTCTTCACTTGGTATTACAAAGTACTGTGTCTTTTGGGAACCTTAGTTATAGACACCAGAAATGGTTTTGTTCTAAATTGCCACTTCACCCAAAGCAATAGAAACCCTTTCTGGAGACAAAGAAGTCTGTGCTGAGACTTTTGGCCACTGGATGCCACTGTTGATCCAGCAGAGGTCGGCAGATGAGCAGAGGCATCTTCAGAAAAAGTACCTCTCTTCTTTGTCTCAGAATATCCTTTCACTTCTCTACCTCAAAAATACCTTATGGCTGGCAGAGAAAAGCATATATCCTTGATTTAGCAAGCATCTCTCGGTACATTTTTGCCTCCATGGATTTCAGAATCTCATTTTCTAGAAACGAATGGTTGTCCTTCAGTGAGCGGCGAAGTACTCATGGCACACATAGGCACAGCACTCAGTCTTCTTTCTTTTCCTGCATTCCTTGAATAATTGTAGAGAACTACACGCTGTACTTAATGCTCTTTGTAATTCTCAGGGCAGTTCTCCTTTTCTTCCTGCTTTTTCCTGCTTCCCTTTGGGCAGTGATTTGTAGTCAGGCTGCAGGGCTGCTTCTGATTTCCTTCCCTCCTCATCACTCTCCTTGTCTCTCTTAATTGTTCTCCCTGTCCTACTTTTTTTTATTTGAGGATATGTCCAGTTTGGTGAGGGAATGTTGGCTGAAAAATGAGAGAAATTCTTCTTGACTGCTTTGTTAAGAAATCTTATTCACCTTTCTATGTCAAGAGTATGAATCTTGGTTAGTTCAATGTGGTTACAAAACTTATATGCCAGTCCCTCCCAACATCTGGACATGCCTGTAGATAAAGATCAGACTTGAACATAACAGTAATCCTGTAATCTCCCTGAAGTCTCCCTTGGTTGTCAGTGTAATTCTAAACCTGCTGGATTATTATTGTTATTGTCATCATTATTATTGGTATAACTGTGAAGGTGAAGATAATTGCAAAATAAAAAGGAAAAATAAAATCATCTTTGTGAAAACCAGAAAAATGTTAAAATTTCTTTAATTTTTTTTTTGATCTAAAGTTCTGTTTAGGATCAAATGATCAGGTTTGATCATAAAATGATGTATTCAGTTTCAGAGTATAGCTTGTTCAGTTATTGCAGATTTACTACTTGAATTTAGTTTTATAAGATTATATACATAATATATTATAATATATGAAAAATGTGTTTTTTATATATATAATATATATGAAAAATATGTTTTTTATATATATAAAATATATTTTTCCCCCAAATGTTTTTGTTAAAATTTGGATTTATAACCTTATTATGACACCAGCTGGTGTACTGCAATTGAATTCTGACACTAGCCATCTGAAGTTAGATCAGATGCCACAGGCTAAGGGCTCAGTCCACCACCAAATTGTCCCTACTTCAGATGGGGCCATAAGTGGGGTCCCCTGGCCACTTGCACTTCTGACCAACTGGCTACAAATTTGAGGGTCCCCTCAATTTTCTCAGTTTGATAATTCCCTCAGAACAACTCACAGAGTTCAAGCACTACAGTTTTATTGTCAGGATCAGCCAAAAGCACGAGACGCTTAGGGTGAAGTGTGGGATGGTCTCAAACACAGAGCTTCCCAGTTTGTTCCCTGTGGAATCAGAGTTTATCAACCCTCTCAGCACATCCATGTGTTCACCAACCAAGAAGCTCCATTGACCTTCAGTGTCCAGAGTATTTTAAAATCAGGGCTTCATTACGTAGGCATGCTTGATTAAATCATAGCCTACGTGATTAAACTCAATCTCCCCTCCCAGAGGTCTGGCTGGCTGAAAGCCCTCAACCTTCTAATCACACAGTTGGTCTTTCTAGTGACCAGCTCCCCTCCTGAGTCATCTCATCTCTTAGCATAAACTCAGGTGTGATCCAAGGGACTTAAAATAACAATGACACTCCTATTACTTGGGAAATTATAAGGATTTAGTCTCTCTTCCAGGAACCAGAGACAATGGCCAAAGTCTTTATTATACAATAGGCCTGCTCATCTTAAACAGAAATCTAAGCTCTTTTAGATTTAGCTAGTTTTGAGCCAAGTACTTTTCTTCTTTTTCTAACTCCAGTACTTTTTTTGTATGTTATTGTTTTGATCAAGCAGGCGAAAAGCATATTGTTTCTCATTCTACAGAAAGAAGTTACAGAGGGCTACCAATATTTGTTCCACTCTGTCCTGTAAGGCTCAGTTATGTCCACTAACCTCTAGATTAATGATTCTCAAAATTATCTGAGGGGTAATTTGAAAATACACATATTGGAGTCCTGACTTTCAAGACCCGATTCATTTTGGATTAGAGTCCAGGTGACCACTTTGAAAAGCTCCTCTGAACTCTGATGAACAGCTATAATTGACAGTTACTACTTCTAAACCAGTACTGTCAAATAGAAATATAATACAAGCTACATGCTATTTAAAATTTTCTATTGGCCACATTTAAAAGTAAAAAGAAACAGATAAAATTAATTCAAATAACATCTTATTTAACCCATTATATCCAAAATACCATTTCAATATGTAATAACAATTGTTAATATTTTTTCTTTTATTCATACTGTATCTTTGAAATTTAGCACGTATTCTATACTTACAGCATATCTCAATATAAACTAGCCGTATTTCAAGTACTACCCTAGCTGCATGTGGCTAATGGCTGCTATATTAGACAGTTCAACTTAGACCAAAAATTAATTAGGACAGTCACACTGAGCCCTCTTTTTTTTTTTTTTTTTTTGTGTTACTGGTAGTGCCCGTGGAGAGAGGAAAAATTATTATTCTTATGTTGCTTATTCTTAGTAGTTACAGGAATTATTCACAGTTGATATTATAGATGTTACACTACAATATTTTATGCATGCTTTAAAAATCAGTGAGAATAAAGAAAAGGTATATGAATCATACATATTTTACTTATCAATATAAAACAGAATTTTATATTTTTCCCAATTGAGGTTAACAAACCAATTTTTTTTTCCCCTCCCATAGAGATGGGGTCTTGTCATGTTCCCAGGCTGGTCTCAAATAATTCTCCTGCTTCAGCCTCTCAAGTAGCTGGGACTACAGGCATGTGCCACCATACCTAGTACAGACCAAAAATTATTGGGGGAGAAAACAGGTTTTTTTTTTTGTTTGTTTTTTTTTTTTTTTTTTGAGATGGAGTCTCACTCTGTCGCCCAGGCTGGAGTGCAGTGGCGCGATCTGGGCTCACTGCAAGCTCTGCCTCCTGGGTTCAAGCGATTATCCTGCCTCAGCCTCCCGAGTAGCTGGGACTACAGGTGCCTGCCATGATGCCCGGCTAATTTTTTGTATTTTTAATAGAGACGGGGTTTCACCGTGTTAGCCAGGATGGTCTCGATCTCATTACCTTGTGATCCGTCTACCTCGGCCTCCCAAAGTGCTGGGATTACAGGCATGAGCCACAGTATTTTGTTTAACCAATTTTTTGTGTTTTCTTTCCTTGCACTTGGTCTTCACATTCCTAGCTAGGTGTTTTTGAAGTAGACAAAATTTGTCCAGCACATCGTTAGAAGTGTCTTAGTAAGCTGTAATATCAAAGCAAGACTGCAATCTCATTGTGTATGGAATTCCATTCCTGCAGCTTTTTTTTTTTTTTTTTTTTTTTTGAGATAGAGTTTGCTCTTGTTGCCCAGGCTGGAGTGCAGTGGTGCTATCTTGGCTCAACACAACCTCTGCCTTCCAGGTTCAAGCGATTCTCCTGCCTCAGCCTCCCGATTAGCTGGGATTACAGGCGTACACCACCACACCCCACTAATTTTGATTTTTTAGTAAAGACGGGGTTTCTCCGTGTTGGTCAGGCTGTCTCCAACACCCTAACTCAGGTGATCTACCTGCCTCGGCCTCCCAAAGTGCTGGGATTACGAGCGTGAGCCACTGCACCTGCCCTTGTTTTTAACTCCTCTTACTATAATTCCCAGTCACGCAGTTTGTTTTTGACTGTGATTTAGCCTCCATAGGTTGGGGTGAAACACGGCACTCTGTCTGCAAACTGGCAGCAGAGTTTTTTTTGTTTTTGTTTTTGTTTTTTTTTTTATTCAGGAAAATCCCTTAGTTGCTGTTGGGATTGAAGACCTGTATCTTACTTATTAGGACCTATTTTGATTTTTAGAGAAGTAGGCAAAATATATTGCAAATGACTAGGGGAGCCTCTGAAAAGGGAGAAGACACCTGTTTTTAGCACACTTGAACAGTTGCTTTGTAGTAACATATTTGGTACATTTTTGTTTTTCTTTTAATTCATCATAGGACTTTGCATTGTTTGACATGTTGCGGTTACTCTGTTTTTTGGTATAATTCGACTATTTTTAGAAAAAAAAACTCCAATAATTTTTTTAAAAAGCAGATTACTAAATAGTTTATTCCTAATCTGTGTGACTTCCTATTTCATTTCTTGCTAGGTGTGCATCAGTCGAGGTATATTATCTCCTTTTTGATCTTCTACCCAAGACTTCTAAATTTTTTTTCTGGGGACTGTAGTTCCAACTTATTTGGCATCTGTAGGTCTTATTCAGCAGAGGATCCAGTTATTAGAACTTCACTCAGGCAAGCTTCTGGTCTGGATTTACCCTTTACTTCTAAAATTTCCTTCACTTGAACAGCAGCTAAAGAGATTTTTCTGATTTAAGCATAGTTAGAAACATATATATATATATATATACACACACACACACACACACACACATGTGTGTGTATGTATATGTAACGTGTATGGGGTGTGTGTGTGTGTGTGTGTGTGTGTGTGTTTCCTTTTTTACCTTCTTAGCATTAAAGGCTGTGTGATTCTTTTTGAGGGGAGGGGATTTTTTTTTTTTAATGTGTCATTTTTTAACTGACTTGTGTTCTTGAAGGAGAAGTGACTATCTCAAGTTGTTTTCATGGTGCAGGAATATTCAGGGCAACTAGTCTATACTAAGGGAGCATTTTATTATTGTGCAGACTTCTAGAACCTAATTCTCTCATTGAAGATTCTGTGAGCCCAGCCCTTTAGTGAGTTTTACATGAATTAACCCTGGAGTTCAAACTATATCATTGAATATTCCTTTTTCTCCTTCTTTCCCTAGTGAGTCTTAGGGTTTAGAGCCCAAGTTTTGTATATGTCTGTCTTTTTTCCTATTCAGAAACTTAAGTATCACTCACTGGTGCTGGTGATGGGAAAGCTTGTTACACTGAAGCATCATCCTGAATGTCTGTATTTTGCACAATTCATTGACTCATTTGACCTTCAGGATTTCACTAAGCTTTGGGCATATTAAGTGCCTCAGGATAATCTGGAAACAAATTCTTCAGTCAACTAGTATTTGATCTTTTAAAATATAGTTATATTTATACAAACATATGTAAAGTATATTATCCCATAAATTGTGCCTATACATATGACTCTGTATAATATAATATGACAGTCTGGGAGTACACAATTTAAAACTCCAAATGATTTTTATAATTAATATACGCTAGTGAACATGAGTAATCTTTTTAACCTTTACTCTGTGATTCAAATAAGAAGCATCACATTTGATGCAGGAGATGGAGGTGTACTTTGTTGTACGTTTCTGTACATATATAATGGGTGAGGACCTATTGGTGTTTATTTCCACCTATTTCATAGATGGAAATCCATGCTTTAGTTAAGTCGGATTCCACTGTACCTTCTCTGCTGTTTGCTACTTGTGAATTTGGCCTTCTGTGTTATAATGTTTTAATTCAAATACTTCCCTTTTCTCAAGTCTTACCTCCAGAAGAGGTCGGCTGTGTTTTCCCCTGATAGCATGTGTTTTGGTCATGGCTGAGTTTAGGCTGCTTGGCATCCATCCTCAATGTTCAGCTGTCAGTGGGCGGCCTCTGGACTTTTTATTCATAAGGAAGGTTAGAAATCAGGAGCCTTCCATGTGACTAATTGGTAGCCAACTGCCATTCTCAAGAATTCTGATAATCTTTAACACCCAGAGATTAGACCTTTCTTTGGATAGTACTGAGATACTCAGAAGTCATCCAACTTGTAGCATTGTTTCTGCAGTGGGAGCACTTGTTGTAGTTAGCAAGCCAGAATGAGCTATAAATAAATGAAATCTTACAGTGCTTGCTTCCTTCATTCAGGGTAGTCTGCTGATAAGATGCAAGTATCTGGCAGAAGAGAAGATTCTCAGCAGGTTTAAGTGCTTACCAAAGTGCTTTCCTGTATCCGTGGCTCAGCTTCTAGTCTCTGCTGTGTTATTTTGGCACTCTAGACTTGTAAGATTGGAGAGTTGAGTTTAAAACTCTCAATATATCATTAGGGTAGCCCAAGGTCCCTTCTTGTCAAGGAAGACTAGCTGAGTCCTGGGGGAAGGAAAAGCAGAATCCAGGACACCTGTAAATCCCCGTAGTTTTGTGCTGTGGGTTCGTAGCTAATTATATAGCAGGCAACAGTAATATGCTGTAGCTCTGTTGATGTACTTGTTTCAGAAAGAGCAAAACCTTCCAGCAGAGCAAAGAAGGGGCTTTGGAGGGGCTGCAAATGAATGAAGTAATGATCATTTTATTGTAAACTAAAGCTCTGCAGTAGACTCAGGGCATCTGAACTGCAAGGAGGTGGTGGGGGAGATGCCAGTAGAAATACGTGGTTCAGATGTGTTTTACAGTTCTTGATTTGGATTTTCCTGCAGAAATATAGTCATGCAAAGAGACCACCACTGGTCACAGCCAGTCAAATTGCTCTTTCTCCTATGGTACTGCTGTTAGTGGCTGCTAGTAGGTTATTCAGCCGACCTCTTCTGATTCTGCTTTGCTGCCTGATTTCAAAAGAGTTGCCCTATACTGGCTTTCAGTCACAGCTTGATGTAACCACTGCTTGTTTGCATGCATCCCCATCATTTTCATATGGGCTCTTTTTTTTTTCTTCTTCAAGTTAGGAAGCAAAAGAATCAGGAGCATTTTTATATGATAAAAGATTTATATAAGGCCAGCTAGAATCAAGCCAAATGAAATTCAGCTGGAAGGGATGGTAAAAAGGCTCACAGAACTTGTGGCTGCCAGAGAAGTCAGTGTTCTTTAAATTAAAGAGGGTTCAGCTAGCAGGCGGCAACTCTGACTTTGCATTCATATTGAAGCAAGCTCTCCAGCCATTCTGGGCAGGCAGAGCAATAAAATCAGAGGTGACTTAGTGCCGGGAACCTCAGAATTCACAGGATTTCTCTTGTCTTTCTCTAAAATCTATACTGATGTGGAATGCTAACTTGGAGAGCGGAGATAAGAAAATGCCAAGTCTAGATTGTGGTTTATGACACCATATTGAACAATGTCATTGGAAAGCATCCTCTTTGGTTTTTTGGTTATCACATCTGTAAAATGGAGCTAATCTACTAGAAAGAAAGTGGTTCTAATATTCATCAAATGTTGTAAATGAAGATTCATTATAATAAGTGTTTTGAATAGCCCAAACAGCAGATAGGAAGTGAATTTATGTCCCATTTATGTATTTGAAAATATACTTGATTGCCTTATCAAAGATTGAGCAATTTTACTTTTTTTTTTTTTTTTTTTTTGAGACTTACTTTGTCACCCAGGCTGGAGTACAGTGGCATGATCTTGGCTCACTGCAACCTCAGCCTCCTGGCTCAAGCGATCCTTCCACCTCAACCTTCGGAGTAGCTAGGATTACAGGTGTACTGTGTGCCACCACACCTGGCTAACTTTTATATTTGTGTGCGTGTGTGTGTGTATGTGTGTGTGTGTGTGTGTAAAGATGGATTTTGGAGATGTTGCCTGGGCTGGTCTTAAACTCCTGGGCTCAAGTGATCCACCCACCTCAGTCTCCCAAAGCGCTGGAATTATAGGCATGAGCCACTGCGCCCGGCCTAATTTGACTATTTTTGCGTGATGAGTATGCAGTGGAATGTGGCAAATTTTATTTTCAGCTACATAAATGGAATATTTGACTCGTATACAATCTCTTCCCTTAGTTGTGTGTGTGGCTTTTTTTTTTTTTTGGTACAGAGTGTTAATCTAGCTTTCTGGTGTATCACAGTAGTGTGCGATATGCCACATTTGTCATATTCTTAAATTGACCATATAGCCCTTGTATAGGATGAAAAATTTGTAGTGGCCAGGTTTGCTGGCTCATGCCTATAATCCTAGCACTTTGGGAGGCTGAGATAGGAGGATCACTTGAGCTCAGGAGTTCAAGACTAGCCTGGGCAACATAGTGGGACCTTGTCTCTATTTCTTAAAAAAAGAAAAAGAAAAAAAAAAAGAAAACATGTAAATGATCATTATGGACATGACCAAATATTTATCTGTTAATAGACAGTTTATCCTTCCTTCCTTCCTTGCTTATCTCCCTTACATCCCCACAGATTCTTATTCTACCTAAGTGGATAAGCTGGCTCTAAACCTACTTACATGATTGATTTGGGACCATTCCTTTAAAAATTAGAGATGTTGGGAGTTTTTGCTTTTTGACCCATACTGTGTAGATGGTGCATAATTCTTATAACAAAGCAGCAGGGGGCTCTCTGTAGGAGCTTGAGAGTTGCTGATGGAGAAAGCCTGGCTTTTTGTTGTTATTGGTGTTCTTTTCAGTTCGGGCCTTTTTCTACTGAAAACATGGCCGTCATCCTGTGAAGACTCCCAAAGGGATTAGAATGTAGCTACAGAAGCAGTTAGATTATTTTATTAGATTAGGAAATTTGTTAACAGTTGAGAGAGATTATACTGGTTTCTAAACTCTAGAAACCTGGATGAATGGAACCTGAGGTTTCTTTGGTTGTAGAGTTCTCTCTGAACTGAGATTCATGCTAAGAAACTGTGCAGGCGGCCCCTTTCTTTAGCATCCTTTATATCGTAAAAGGAAAACTATTCTCATTAGCATCTGCAGTTAGTTTTCTGTTCAGCTGTACCTCCCTCTGTTCTAGAACCTGTGCCTATTTTTTCTGTATTGTTGAGGCCCAAGTGCATTATAACTAAGGATCTCTTGTAAAAATAAAACCCACTCTCCTGAGTGAGAGGCTTAAGGAATCCAAACAGCAAAGGTTCAGGTTTCTGCACTCAGAGGTTGCTCTTGCTGTCTTATGAATTCACTCTGTGATACAGGTTTGATGCAAAGAGCATTTCTACTCACAAATCACATGAGGTATACAGTTTGTGTGCAGTGATATGTCACAGCTTTTTATTTATATGGCCTGCTCAGTCTATTCTGCTCCTTCTACTGCCATGGAAAGTGCATCGTTTTCCTCCCTCTATCTTCCTTTCCACATATCATCAGCACCACCCACTATGTTCTGCCCATTAAGTCCTCTGTGTGCTAGAAAACCCCAACAGTGATTAAATGCTGATAAAAGAATGTTAGAAGGTTAAGATATCAACCGATCAGCCCCCTTACAATGCCCCTAAATTGTAGGTGGTAAGTATAACTTTGCCCATTTAACATTGAAAATAAAGGTTTTTATTTGTTTGATTATTTTTCAGTTGGGGAAATCTTTTAAAAGGAGTTAGTGGCAAAGGCCAAAGAGAATGTGGGAGATGTGCCTTGTAGTTTCCTATTCTTATCGTGGTCTTTCTTTCATGATTTGGCACATTCTTTATAAGGAAGTTCTGTGGTAGTCAAATTTAGATAAGGTTTTATTTATGAGAGGCCTAGAGTTTTTAAGCTAACAGCAATTTTTAAAATCATTATGACCCTAAACTCATTTAATTACAAAGTATTAATTAATTTTAACAACTTATCATAGAATCATTTATCATTACTTTCCTGCATGATTTTCAGTTCTTTTAAGCTCCTAGAATACAGTACCTTCCCCCCTGCTCTCCTTCATGGGAGGAAGAGTATGGTTAAAAAGACTTAGAGCAGGTAGCTGGGAACCCAGATTCCTGGATACTTTTCTTTGGTGGAGAATTTGTAGGTCTGTCACATATCCTGGATAAGCGATTAAAGTAGGAGGAGCTGTGGAATCAACTTCCCTGGACCTCCTTATTACACCTTCAGTAATAGGAACAAGAAAGAAGAGTCTCTAAGAATCCTGTGAAGAATTATATTTCTTATTGAAGCTTGAGTTAATATACCATATCATATAGCTTAAATTAATTTTCATCAGCCTGTGTTTTACCACTACTCTAAATTTTTTTTTTTTTTTTTTTTTTTTTGGTAATAGAGCTATTTTTAAAATCCATGGTAAATACATTTTGACCCTTTCCATCAACAGCTGGTGTGGTGAGGTAGGTTAGGAGCATGCCTCTTTGGAGGTATCCTGGGGGTTGAAGGGTAATGAGCACTTAATTATGTCTGCTGAATGCCAGAGCTGCCAAACTGGAGCTCCTCATGACTGGTCTATATCTGCTCTGACAATTCTTTTATTATGGCTTTCACTAACTTATCAGTAACTAACTGTGGTTGTTTAATTACAGAGGGAACATCCCTACGCTAAACAGGTACCGTATGTTTAGTTTCTTTTCCAATTAAAAGCACCTTTATGTAACTTAGAATAGTGAAACCAGGAAAAAAAAAACCACAACACTTGACAAGATAATGTGTTATCTGCTAGGGAGTCCTGAGCTCCCCTTTGGACATACTAAATTATTCTTTCTGTTTGGAAAACATGGCTTCAGCTTTTCTTCAGCTGTTCAAAAAGCACTACTTGAAAAGCCTCAGTATGGAGAAGCTCCCATCTAGCTGTATATGATAGGGGGTTTATCTGCCTTATGTCCGGCCTTGCTAGCAACATCTTCTTTTGCTAAGTTCTCTGTGTAGTTTGGGGCTTTCAGAGGAGAAACCCTTAAGGTTACTCCTATCCTGGCAAATTATTCACAGTTTTTACAATTTTTAGTTTCTCTAATTTGCTTCTCCTTTTAGAGGAGTGCAGATCCAGAAATAGCTGATCTCATGTTTTATCAGTTTGTTAGTTAATTTTCTAAAGTGTTAAAATGTTATGATAGTCAGTTTTTATTTCAGACCTATAATAAGATTAACATTGGAAAAGTATATTTAAGTTTTGATGTGTTTAACCCTGTGTGGAGGTTTCCAGGCTAATATAACATAAGTGATATTTTAGTATTTTGGGTTTCTCCTGTCTCTTGAACCAAGCAAGGCAACACAATGCAAGTTTGAGAGGATAACAATTCTGATTGGAATTGAATCCACAAAATGCAAAAGCAATAGTAAGTTGATGGCAAGGTCTTTGCAGATAATCAGCTACACGTGGAACTATTTATAGATTTACATTTATTTTGTCCCTCTCCCTTTAAAATATTAAGTAATCAAGACTAATCATAGCTTTTAGATCCCAATTTGGATGTGGAGAGGAAAGGGAATGCTTTTAATTGGTCTTGTAGTCTTCCCTTGGTGAGTGGGCTTGGCTCATTCCTGCCTGCCTTTAGCCACCCTGGTTCACAAGCATAGCAGTGAGGGGAAACTGAATAGTCGATATTTCCCATGGGGTTCAGTTGAGTGAAAAAGCTACTTAACCCCATGGTTGCCACAAACATAGTTTGTTAACTTCTTCAGAGGGAGTTCCCTTTAAATGTGGTCTGGAACCCTTTTATCTTTCCTGTCTAATGCCAAGCAAGTAGAAAAGATACAATGCCTCACAAACTTGCTTTTTTAGTAAATATATTTGGTGATCCTAGAAAAGAGGAGGATGATAGCACTTCTGTGGTAATACAACTCTGAATCCCAGTTTCTAGTGAGCACCATGTGTAAGACTTGCTTGATGTGTGTTTCATTTGTTTGTTTCATTCATTGTATCAATGGTTTCCTCTCCCACTTTGCCTTCTACTCCCAAGTACTGTCAAAAGATGATGTACCTTTTCCATAGTCATCACTCGCCAAAGGAATAAAAACCTGGAGTGTCAGTCTCTATAGTCTGTGTGAGCAGCACTCCCATCCTACAAAGAATTCCATTGCCTTGTAATTATGATTTGCGATAGGGTACAATATGTACCCAGATATCAAGTCCACGTTGTCGTCTCTCTTCCCCCTGCAACACCGCAGGTGGTGTACTTCAAGGAGATTTTTGGGGCAGTTCCCCAAATTCAAGTGCCATTGCCTTGCCCTGAACTTGCTTCAGATCAGTATGCTGGTAACATGTCAGGCAAGTCCTGGAGGCATCCTTTAGCTTGGTCCTTCCTAACAGGCTGTCCTGATTGAGCATTCAGAAACACTTTACAGTATTATTTATCAGTACATACTGTTAAGGTACATCAAGAAATATAGAGATTCATTGTTTTTAGATTGAGCAAATCAGTTCAGTTCTCTTCAGGCATCTCCGTTTAGCAGCTGCTTGTCATGCTTACACATACTTTGAGACCCATGCTCTGCCCTTTTGTATCTTGCTGGAAATTATTAAGGGCTTTCAATGGAGATTTTTTTGTTTTGGTATAGAAGTGCTTAACTATGAAAAGAAAAACGTGCAATTTGGGGTTGAAAAATAGCTCTCTTTCAAAAAGGGAGAACTGTAACCCCAATAACTATGCCTACCAACCCATTAAAGGAGAAAGTAAATTCCTCAGTAAAGTTCCTTTTATAGACTGTGACCTGTTTCTGTACCCTAATGTTTTATATAATTATTTACTAAACCATTCCAGGTGACTTAATTACAATTGTTGTTTTACATACATATATATACCTATCTCTTTATGTATCTGTGAATACTTACTCTATTACAGTTCCTAGAAAACAAAATGCCTTAAGCATTGCATAGTTACAACTCACTTGGCTTGCTTACTTCCTTTTAAAGGAGGGAATGCTTTAGGGAGGGGGAAGATGCAGGATGGTTTTTAACCCCTATGTGCTATTCATTCATTGGACATCTTATAATGTAATTGTGTTAAAACTGCCTGGAAATTCCTAACAGTTCTTAGCTTTTTATTTGAAGAAATTTTGGAGTGATGAAAATATAGTTTATTTAGGGAAATTCAAAAGAAAGGGTTAACATGAATCCAGCAAAACAACCTTATCCATAGTGGGTAAAAAAACCAAATCTGCTCTGCAACCTGACCCTACTTCAGAGTTTTCTCCTAGTTCCTTTTCCCTACTGTTACTTTCCCAGTCCTTGCTCCTACCCTCCTTGTCTAATGAACGTGATTGAATTACCATTTAGAATGTCCTTCTCCTCCAACCTCAACCACTATGGCATGACCCATGTAGCTAGTGTCAGCGATGTACTGTTGGACAACTCATTCACTCCACCTTGTCAGCGGATGGGCGGAATGGTCTCTTTTCGGACTTTTGAAGATTTTGTCAGGTAAGACATTGTGGAACTATGTCTGTACAAGGGGAGCCATGGACATCTGTGTTTTGGGGTCTCATCTTTCTGCAAAATGAATAAAGGTCTCCCGAATAGCCATGAGCCAGCTAAAAAGATGTAACCCTTGCTGTATATGCCGTTGGAGAGGTATATATCCTTGCATTTCTACCTCTCATTCAGATTCTACAAGCCTCTACTTGTAGTATGGGCCTGGTCAGAAAAAAAGAAACAAACAAAAACCATCTTTTCCTGTGGAGCTAACAGAAGAAGCTGTCTGCTCTGTGATGAGTGAAATGTCAGGAGAAATTAAACATAACACTAGAGTGAGCCCCACAAGAGACAATACATCTTTTGATTAAATGCATTCAGCATCTATCTCTTGATGTATACTGATGCATTACCCTAGGGGGAGGGGTAATTACATTGGTCTGTCACTACTCCAGTTCCAGACACTTTCTGTTACTTTAAGACCGATGATGACAGAAGTGCTCATATCTTACATATGAGGAAAACAAAACAAACAAAAAAGCTTTAGATCATTCTTTCTAAAAAAGAAAAAATATATATGGTTTATTAAAGTTTAAACAATCCATCCTCCTAATTTCTGCCACTTGGTGAAATTTTGCATGTCACCTCTAGCCACTGGTGATTCTGTTCAATTAACTATTGAGCCCAGGCTAAGATAGATTATTCTTTTAGACTCAGCTGCCAATGGCAGTGTTAGTTTCATGCCACTTGAGTTTTCATGGTGGGTGTTTCTCTTGTATTTTTTAGGATCTTTGATGAAGTGATGGGCTGCTTCTCTGACTCCCCACCCCAGAGTCCCACATTCCCTGAGGCAGGTCACACGTCTCTTTATGATGAGGATAAGGTATAATGTCCCTTTTGGGAGACTGCTTTGTTCCCCTCAGACATGGGACTTCTACTGTATACTATCTTTCTGACTTTGAACTATTATAGGAAAGAATTCATCCTTTTACCCCACTTTATAGTATTTAATTTTGTATGCCTCACCAAAGTATTTTCTGGAAACAAGTGGAATATAAATCCTAACTTAAAAAAACTATATTAATTTTGGAGTCCATAGTATAGAGTGGGCTCAGCTATGTCCATTGCAGCTGCCTCTGAATCTCTGAATGTTGTTTTAAGGATTTGGGCTTTGGTTGCTGGAATTCTTACTCAGCCATGGCTTATATTTTTGCATAGTGGTGCAATCATAGTCCTCAGAGAATGGAGGACTTTAGATTACAGAAAAAAAGTAGGCATTTTGTTGAAAACTTTGTCTTTTTATTAAATCATTTCTTTTTATTTATCAGTAAATAAATTATTCTTTCTCTATGATGTTATTTTTTCATGATTTGATACTTCCATTGTTTGATAAATTGTAAGGAAATATATTATGTGGGAACATGTCCAGATGGCTTATATCACTCATTTTCCTTCACATTCTGTGAAGAGATGTGGCAAATAGTTTCACCCCCATTTTATTGGTAAAAAAGGTGAGACATAGTGATCTTCAGCTTCATGCCAAGTAAAGATTGGGCCACCTGTTACTAATGCCTCTGCTGCCTTATCTTTTAAAATTTATATGCTTTACCTGATTTAATCTCTCTGTGGCTATTGGGCAGTGGTTTCAATTTGCTCATTCCTACTGCTGGGCAAACCAAAATATCCTGTGGGGTGTATCTCTTTTTCAGGTATTCTACCAAATATTATAACTTCTATCTGCATCTGTATTGGCCAGCCTCATAATTTCTTTGACTTGTGTTCTTGAGTTACAGGTTCCCAGGGATGAACCAATTCACATTCTCAATGTGGCTATCAAGACTGACTGTGATATTGAGGATGACAGGCTGGCAGCTATGTTCAGAGAATTTACCCAGCAAAATGTAAGTTCTTGATTGGGTGGAAGCTCGTGATGTCCCCTTTCTACTGGCTGTGTATCATAGCTATCCTTTTATCAGTTGCTAGTTTATGGCTATGTCTTTTATCATAACTCTCAGAACTATGGCTAGTTCTGCGTTTAGGGATAAAATCCCAAAGTGACTTAATAATATATAATGAATATCTTTGTGTGTCAACAGATAATAGACCTCAAATATTTAAAATGTTTTTAAGGGAAGTTATCTTCCTAAATCTCTCCCAGAGCTCCAGTCTTGAACTTCGAATCACCTACCAAGTATTTTCCTTTGGTGACTTTCCACATGTCTAAGCCTAAACTCCCCTTAGGTCCCTTCTGTGTCTTCCCCTCCCCTCCTTTGAAACTATCAGTTATACATCTATCCTCCTTTCAATTTTACGTCACTTGGATATCTCCTGTTGACATCAAACGCCATCGTCTAAATGGACATTTTCCATCATTTTGCTTCACCTCTTCTCGTCCCTCTCCAATCCCCTCATAAAACAAAACAAAAAACCTCACAACTCACTATACCTTTTACTCCCAATCATTCAAAAGTCATTGACTTTTTCCTTGACATTCCTTCATTCTACCCCTCTACCCACAATCTGTACATATTTATTTGTATCTGGTCAGTCACCAAGGTCTGTTAGTTTTTCTTTGCAGTCTTTTTTACCCTTTCTCTTTTTCTTCTTTCCAGTTTTAAAATTCCCACTGCCATCTCTAATTCAAACCCTTACTATCTTATACCTGAGACACTGCAGCAGGCTTACTTGTGATCTACTTATCTTCCTTCACTTTCTCCCTCCAAAGAGTTTCCATTCTGCTCATCACCACAAAATTAAATGTCCCAAATGTGCTCTTACCATGTTATTTTCCCACTTAACAGTGATTCTCTCTGACCTTCAGAATACCTCCTTAACTTTAGCTTCAACATCATCAGCCTATTGAGAGACTAACATGTAGCCTTTGCTATTTTGTGAAAAGACCTGTGTTCATTGTCTAATGTGCCTCATTTATTATACTTCTTTGACTTCCTCTTTCCTAGAAAGTTTTCTTTCACCTTTCTTTCTAAATCTTGTTTGTCTTAAGAACTGTCTCAAATTTCATCTCTTCAGTGAGGACTTCTGAGTAGCCCTAACTAAAATGTATGTTCCTCCTTTGAATTCCTAATTGGTCAGCATACATTTATTAGCAATAATAATGCCTTTTATTTATAAAAAAATTCTACCTAAATTTTTTATTTGCATCTTACCACGATTCCATGGGGTTAGATAAGTCAGGAATTGTTCCAGTTGTACACATGGGCAAAAGCTGGAGCTCAGAGAAATTAAGACCCCTAGGTCACCAGCTAGAAGATGATAGAGCAAATACTAGAACTTAAGGATTTGATGCCAGGTATAGGGGGCACAGATCTAGGTACTTTAGTAAATAATACATTCTTAGCCCTGAAGATGCTTATAGTCTAGTTGAGGGGACAGGATAGGCATGCTTAAAACAATAATCTACAGTTATATTTCATTATGATATGTGATAGATAGCAAAGTGTCCTCTTAAACTGCCCTTGATGGCAAGACCCATGTGTTCTCTTGGAGTGGACAGCACTTAGCCCATGGACTTCTTGCAGAGAAAGAACTCAGTAGATGTTTTCAAAATTTAATTCAGTGGTGTAGACAGTTCGTACCATTGGCATTCACATCATGTAATGCCAATGGTAGATATCTAGGGGAAAAAATGGTAAATTTGTGATGACTATGAGTCTTAGTACTTATTCCATGACGGTGTTGTAGCACTTAAACTAACTATGAGATTGCAGTGGTCAGTATGAGGAAAAGGTGCTTCCAGAGAAGTGAAAGTAGGGGATATGCCTAGGGCTTTTTCTGTAGACAGAAATTTACCTTCCTTCTTGCCCTTGGCCAGTGACCACATAAAATTAACCTAAAGCCAGTGATCAAGGTAATCTTTGCTGGAAGAGTTTTTTTGTTTTGTTTTGTTTTGTTTTGTTTTTTTGAGATGGAGTTTCACTCTTGTTGCCCAGGCTGGAGTGCAATGGTGCGATCTCAGCTCACAGCAACCCCCGCCTCCTGGGTTCAAGTGATTCTCCTGCCTCAGACTCCTGAGTAGCTGGGATTACAGACATGCGCCACCACACCCGGCTAATTTTTGTATTTTAGTAGAGATGGGGTTTCTGCATGTTGGTCAGGCTGGTCTTAAACTCCCAACCTCAGGTGATCTGCCTGCCTCGGCCTCCCAAAGTGCTGGGATTACAAGCGTGAGCCACTGCGCCCGGCCTGGAAGAGTCTTAATATTATATGTGGCTGCTGCTGCTGCTGCTTCATGAAATAATCTGTGAAAGTTTCTTCCTAGGTTTTGAGGCACTAATTGCCCATGTTTGAGTATTTTTCCATAATTTGACCACAACTTGACACTTCTTGTTGCCCTCAAATCTAAGTGTCATACTTATCAACGCATGTTGATCTACAAAGACATTTTCAGCCAGGCGCAGTGGCTCACGCCTGTAATCCCAACACTTTGGGAGGCCAAGGCGGGCAGATCACAAGGTCAGGAGTTCAAGACCAGCCTGGCCAATATGGTGAAACCCCGTCTCTACTGAAAATACAAAAATTAGCCAGGTGTGGTGGCGGGCGCCTGTAGCGCCAGCTACTCGGGTGGCTAAGGCAAGAGAATCGCTTGAACCTGGGGGCGGAGGTTGCTGTGAGCCGAGATTGCACCACTGCACTCCAGCCTGGCGACAGAACAAGACTCCATCTCAATTAAAAAAAAAAAAAAAAGCATTTTCTTCATATTCGCTACATATGTTTGTAACATTAATGAGAAATAAGAAATTACCCTTTTCCTTGACTAGGTGTGGAAACTAAGGCACAGAGAAATCCAATATCTTTGCCTAAGGCTATTTAGAAAGGTAAGGGTAGACTGTGCTGACACTCTAAGCATAGAGAAGCTATTTACTGCATCAGGTACTGTGCTTATCCAGGGACATTTGGCATTTTCATCTCCTTGTTAAAATATATGTGTATATATATATATATATATATGAAAGAAAAGGAAAGAAAAGCAATTTAAGAAAAAAACAAAAGATAAAGTGGCAACTAGTTTTGTTTTTCACTTCATGATCATGCTCCTAGCAGTTTAGAAAAAGTTTTTTTTTTTAAGGCACACATTAAACTATCAAATAGGTTGATCCAAATTGTCCAAATAATCTTCTAGTCCCAGCATGTCTTTTTTTCTCTCATAGAAATTAGGATCATATATTTGTAAATGACTTGTGGAGGAGATTGAAGCAGTCAGTGTAAATGGAGTTTCTCCAGGTGCTGATGCCTAATCGCTGGGTAATAGCTGTGGACTTGCTGTGAGACCTGCATTATTACAATGTAATCAGAATCCTGTTGCTCTGCTGTTATTGTCAGCCACTTGTGGAATTTTAAAAGCAATAACAATTTTGATTTTAAATCATGGCATTATTAAAGTTATTTTCTTCCCTTGCCAGAACATAGCTACTGATGCTTGTCTTTGAAGGACTTGACTGTAGTGGAATCTTTGTTGATGTCAGAAGAAGTATTTCTGTTCCTGGCCACACTGAGAAACCCCTCCTTTCCTTCGACACATTTTTTTCATATTGTTGTGTCAATACTTGGTTATTTACAGCAAGGTGTGTGATGGCAGTACAAATAATTTTTTAATGCAGTTAAACCAAAATTTATTTATATTTGGCCTGATAATTTATTATTTTATTATTTGCTTATAGAAAATTAATTTTTCCAGTTATCTTTTGTTTATGCTGTTAATAAAATTAATTTTATTACTCAGCAATGCCATCGCAGAATTGAAGAAATTGGAAGAAATAACCCAAGAATGTGCTTCCTTATAAGGGGAAGACAATTTAAATTTTAAAAAATATATAATATCATGAATGTTAAGAACTGGCCTATAAACATATCTCTTGGTTGGAGTTATAGCAAGAAATGTGGTCAAACTAAAGTCTGGATGTAGGCTGTGAAAGTCCACATTACTTTTCTATTTGTACTATTCATATGTTTTCTCAGGTCATTCAACTGGTGGGGTTGCTTTTCTGCTTGCTGTTATAATCCTTCTTTGTTGGGGACCTCTAAACACATGTCTTTTACTTAATTCATTAATTTGTTTCTTTGTCCCTGCCTTTTGAAGCAAGTGAACAGTATAGGGAAGAGGAAGGCTTTAGGTCCAGATGCCCAAGACTCGTATAAGTGGCTGTCTTGAAACTACTGGTGTCTGTTGACTTCTTTTTTTTTTTTTGAGACAGTCTCATTCTGTCACCCAGGCTGGAGTACAGTGATGCAATCTCGGCAACCTCTGCCTCCTTGGTTCAAACGATTTTCATGCCTCATTCTCTCAAGTAGCTGGGATTACAGGAATGTGCCACCACACTTGGCTCATTTTTTTCTATTTTTAGTAGAGACAGGGTTTTGCCATGTTGGCCAGGCTGGTCTCAAACTCCCGGCCTCAAGTGATCTGCCCATCTTGGCCCCACAAAGTGTTGGGATTACAGGCGTGAGCCACCACTCCCAGCCTTCTGTTGACTTCTAATATACTAGTCGCCTATGCCTAGTGGAGATATGAATAGTTCCTAAATTTAAAGGCCTATTAAATATTGCTTTTAACAATTTTAAAAGAGAGAGTTTTTAAAAAATGCCTTCATGTAAGGTAAGGGGGGACTGTTGTATCAAAACTGAAAGGTTACAATTTGTTAGACTGAATTCTAGGGATGCTGTATCTGATGGTAGGTAACATCTACAATCTAAACAGTTTAGGACCTGTGTTTTATGTTTTATGGAAAGTCCTTCTTTTCTCTCTACCTAATTTCATTTAGCATCTTTATCAATATTAATGTTTACATTTGAATACATGCCCAACAGTATGATTTCTATAAGCAGAAATTGTGTCATGGCCTACCTTTATGTAAATCAGTTCTGAGGTAATTTAGTTGACTTCATATCACCCTTTCTCCTCCACAAAGTTCTCTTTCAGTTTTGTCCAAATCAATATAAAATTTATTTCGTAAGACTTAGTCCTAGGAGCCAGATTGAAATTTGTTCACTTGCAAGTTTGAAGGTACTAAGCTAAGATAAGGATATCCAAAAAGGATGTTTAACTCCACCAAAGCCTTACAAGGGCCGAATGGGATAAAATTTAGAATGAATGGAAATCTCATCTATCTTCTGTTTTACATGTTTTTGCTCCTAGAAAGCTACCCTGGTTGACCATGGGATCCGGCGCCTTACTTTCCTGGTTGCACAAAAGGTACTGACATGTGAATTGTACCTCTTTAATATTTCTTATGCTGCTGCTACAACTTAATAAAAATGGGATTGTAATCTTATGCTTACTAATAGGATTTATGCAGAGAAATAACCACTTTTCTGTAAGTTTCATTTTTAAAAAACATTAGTTTAACTCATCATCTTTTACTCAATTTCTTTTTGATTTTGTTACTAATTGCCAACTTCTGCTGTCTTTCCTTCCTTTCTCTCTTTTATTTGAAAGGATTTCAGAAAGCAGGTCAACTATGAGGTGGATCGGAGATTTCATGTAAGTAAAATGAACAATAATGAAAGATTACTTACTGTTTTATTTGTCTGCCACTGATTATTTAACCAGAATATATGTTAGAAGGGCTGGACTGATATTTGATCCTTCTTCTTTTAGAAATTATTATAATAAATATTCAGTTCTCTGTAATCCCAGCACTTTGGGAGGCTGAGTCAGGAAAATTGCTTGAGCCCACAAGTTTGAGATGAGCCTGGGCAACATAATGAGACCCAGTCCTCTATTAATTAAAAAAAAATTTTTTTTAATTCTTATATCAAGTGTTCCAGCTAAAGGTTTTCTTCTTTTTTTTTTTTTAACCCTATAATGAATTCTCAATATATCTCTGAGAAATAGTTAAGAATGAACATAAGCATTTATCCAGATAAATAAGGTAGAAACAAGCTAACTAGTAATTTCTTCTGTGCTTATAGTGAATCAATAATCAAGGACAGCCAGTTGCATTTTGTGGTCTTGGATTCTTTATTGAGAAGTCTCAATTCTAAAGAACAATGATTTATTATTTAAAATGCCTTGATAGAGCCAAGTTGCTATTTTTTGTCTTATGTTAATCGTAGGAACAGGAAATAAGTAAAAATTAAACACTCTGTTGCTTATTCTCCCATTTAACTGAATTAACTGTTAATATTTATGAGATTAAAATTTTTATTGAAAAGAGAATTAAGTTAATAGCCTGGCATCCAAACTATGGTATACCCGTATGATCATACCCAGTACAGTGACAACAGTAAGGCCAGAAATCCAGTTTGGAATCAATATGTTGTTTTCAAAATGACTGATTATAATCAAAATATTTCATAAAAATTGATTCTAATGTAGCTAACTAAGATTCTAGAGGATGTTAAGAAGTCTTTTTTTTCTTTTCTTTCTTTTTTTTTTTTTTGAGAGAGTGTCTTGCTTAGTCGCCCAGGCTGGAGTGCAGTGGCGCAATCTCAGCTCACTGCAACCTCCGCCTCCTGGGTTGCAGCAATTCTCCTGCCTCAGCCTCCCAAGTAGCTGGGATTGCAGGCATGTGCCACCACACCCAGCTGATTTTTGTATTTTTAGTAGAGACAGGGGTTCACCATGTTAGCCAGGCTGGTCTCGAACTCCTGACCTCAGGTGATCTGCCCGCCTCAGCCTCCCAAAGTGCTGAGATTACAGGCATGAGCCACTGTGCCCAGCCTGTTTGGTTTGGTTTTAGCAATTAAGATAATTTGGTTGTTAAGCCTTGCTTGTTTGCAACAATGAAGATGGCACTTGAGATTCTGGAAAGGACTTTCTAAACTCAAGGACCTATGTGTGATTGCTTTTATTACCTTTTTGTTTATTAGGTTTTCAAGACTTGACATTTTGTTTTCCTTCATACAGTTCACCTTGTTGGTCTAGTCTATAGAGAAACAAGAGAGCTAAGATTTTCTGAAATGCTTTAGGAAATGTTGTGGACTGCATGACTCCCCTGTGTTATTGATGTCAGGAAATCAAGCAGAGTGTAGATATATGTCAATCAATAACTTTAGATAGGAAACGGAGTCAGTGGAGAAGTATGAGGAGCTTAAAAAGAACCCTAGGGCTTTAGGAAGAAAAATCAGGAGCTTAGAGAATAAAATTGATACTTTGGGATAGAATATGAAAGCCCATGGATAAACACTGTGGCTGGTAGATGCTGATCAGAACTAAGGTAGACATGCCAGAGCCAGGCCCTGGATTTTAGAAGAGTATTGTGCTAGGTTCTTAAATGTTACTGTGCTTTTTATCACCGACTTTAGAATAACAGCATATTCTAGGGAATAACACTAAATTTGTAAAATTGTTTTCCTTTTTGCTAATGGATTAGATGGAATCTTCACATCTATAGCACACTAACTGGTTTCTATAATAAATACACTGATCAACTAAAACTGTTCACTAAAATTTTTAGCAAACCAAAGTGATTAGTTCTCACTGACATTTTCTCATATATGTAACACATAAAAAAACCCTTTCTTATCTCTGAATCTATAGTGTATAGTTATAAATATGCCCTAGTATTAAGAGTATACTTAACAGCTTTAAAACATTTTTTTCTCTCTGCTGTCCTGATATTTCTGGATCTAGGTTTAATAGGGACATGTATAGGCAAAATCGGCTAGAAAATGAGGCCAGCAGGGGGTCTTCCGTGACAATCATTGTCTGATTCCTATATATAGTGGCATCAAGTGGGAAATCACTTAAATTATCAAGTGACTTGATTTGTCATGAGTGTAGGAAAAGCTGCTTTAGAGCATAGAGAACATTAAGGTTTAAGTGAGGACTGCATTTGCTCTGAAGAATTGAATGGCAGAGGAGTTGGGGTGTTTTTATGTTAGTCCCTTTAAAAATGATAAGTGATTTTGCAAGGTGCAAGGGCAACTATTAAACCGAACTCCATCCAGAATCTATTATACAATCCAGGATCTACACTAGCCAGGAAGCGTTGGCAGAAACTGTACAAATCTGGGGGTCACTGTCGTGGTGCTGCTGTGAGTTCTTTTGCTGATGGTAGCTTGACATTCATGAAGGATGCTTATTTAGCCTCTGTCATGTCATCTGATTGTGCTTGCCCCATAGTTAGTGTACTGTGAAAAAGAGGAAGCTTTCTGGGAGTGTCAGAGATGAATCCCTTGATCTCTCTGGCTTCTTGATAATCCACTGTGATGTATGCAGCCTCCCCTGTCCAATGCTGTGGAATCCCTATATTATTGAATGGAAGAGAGAATTTGCACTTGAGGGAGCAAGGAGAGGAGGAAGTTTACCAAGTTTGATTCAAGCACATTGGTTAGTGGAATAAAGCAAGCTGTGCTGTTATATAGTTGTTGGTCTTTCAAATTGCCTCAGAACCAGAATAAGACAAATGAGGGCCAGAGTAGAGGTTGCTAGAGAGCTGTGTATATTGTTAGGTACTGATTTGGATGACAGTGATTGCTATAAGCATTTACAATACTTCGTAGTTTAGCCACAGTTGTCCCAGATAGCTGCCCACAGCTTTAAAACATTTTTAGGGTGTCTGTTGCCACCCTAGTCCGTTGACACTGCATGGAGATTATTTCTGTGACAGCAGTCTTCACCAGTGTTAAGGAGGCTGGGAGTTGACTCTGTTTCCATAACCATCTAATTAAATCAAGTGCCCATAATGGAATTTGAATAACTGCCTAACTTTGATATTTAAACAGAAACTTTGAGGAAAAACAAGTCTCTTTTTGTAAATATATTCTACTTGTTAAGAAAAAATAAAGTAGATCATGATGTTCATCTGAAAATAAAAAATAAAAGAAAAAAATGGACAAGATGTTAAAAAAAAGAAAAAAGATCAAAGTCTTGAATGGAAAAGAGGCTTCTTGAATTTCTGCAGCTATCTAAACTGCAACTCCACAGTTTTCTGTTAGTTAAAACTTATTGACTCACTCTGTCTTAGTTTCACTCACATTTTAGGTCTGGAATTCCAAAATATTTAGCAGAAAGTGCTGTCTAATTGGGATATAATATTATGCTTTTTTTTTTTTAAGCTTTCCATATTTTTTTCAGCAAAGTTTGGCTAAGGACATCGGAATACAAATTTTCAGGACTTCTTCTTATCCCCCATTAAGTCCTAAAACCATGATAAGATTCTAAATCAAACAGTTTTACATCTGTTAATAAAATGTTACCTTTTGTTCTTGTAAAATTTCATGAGATTTAAAAAAAAGATCTACATATCTCCCGAGAGAGAGTTGTTGTTTTATGACTATTGTGTGATTCCCACTTTAAAATGAAATGTTTTGGATTATTTGGACCTTGAAGGAAGAGCTCACTATATGAGCAGTTATCATAATTAGTAGTTCTTTTTTTCTTTTTTTTTTTAAGATAGTTCTGTTTGGTAGTGGACCAACTATTAGTTTTCAGAAGGGTTGGTTTGGATTTTTGTTTTAATTACAGTCTATATAATTAGTTCTCAGCATGTTGAGGTAAAAGAGAATTGTACCAGCAAGCTCCCAATTTCTTCATCTCATTAGGTTTTTAACACGATTATTAGTATCATAATCAGCTATGATGTTTTTTGTTGCAGGTTTTCACATTCTCTGATTTGCGGGGTGTCTTGATTGGCTAATTTGGGCAAATTATTTTGATTGTCTTGATGATGGTTGGCTGATTAGAACACAGCAAGGGCATAATTTCTTCCTGTGAAACGTTGCATTCTTTTGTTTTTTGGTACCAGAATACTAAGAGGGTTTTTCTTTGTGTACATTCAATTATGATATTCGCCCATGACACTAGTAGAATACTTGGAAAGCAAATACATTGATGATGGAATAAGCATGAATGCTTTCAGTGGAAAAACTGGCAGTATGAGGATGAGATAGGATAAAAGAATTTACTAAAACTGTAGGATCAGACTTTTAGATTTCTTCTTTTCTGTGTTTTCTGTGATTCTGTGGTTTTTGAGTGCCAAAAGAGATTACTTTTTGTAAGAGTCTTCAGACTTCCATGTCACTGAAGAATTGCTTAGTAGTTCCACTTTTCCATTGCACAGAGGTTCTTGCCATCTCTTGTTCTGAATGTTTAATACTTAAATTGAGGATTTTACCGGGGAGTTACAAATTTACTCAGAAGTTTAAAAAAAAAAAGTTGTTTATATGATCTCATGACAACTTTTCTTAGCTAACCTTAATGAAAGTGGTTTTTCTAATTGGTAGTCATTGCCCACCTCTGCCAAGAATTAGTCAGTTTCTTCATTATTTGTATTAAAGGCATTTCCATTCAAACTGCTTTATATGCCTTTCAGTTACTACAAATTTTCTTAATTGGTTTAGTGGAAAAGAAAGCATTTTTTATTACTGTTTTGTTTTTGAAAGGAAATGGTTTTGATCCTATAAATGTACATAATTAAATAAATGGCATCCTAAACAAACATTTTAATTAATTAGCTAATAATAGTTAAGGCGGAATAGAAAAGTGTGTGCGTAAAATATCATATTATCACTTTCCTTGACTTTTCTTTCAGAGAGTTCCATGGAAAGATTTTGTCATTCTTCCTTTTTTGACATTTGTTACTTTTTAGGTAATGCTCTGAAAGCTGTACCTCACTAGAATAAAACCAAAACTAGGTTATATAAAACCATGAGCATGATATTTATCGACACCTCAGCTGAATGCATCTTACTTAACCTTGAAGTCAGTCCTATGTGCTTCACTCTCATAACGGGTGGGGGCGGTGTCAGAGAATTATTTAGAACAAAACTTGAGGAGAAGTTCAGTCCTGTGTAAAATCCACTTTAAAAAGGCTTTTAAAAAAGGATTTCCCTGAGGTTGGTAAATGAGCTCCTAGGAACCTTTTAAATGCAGTCTTACAGTTAAAATACCAAGGAAAAGATAAAAAGATTTATTAACTGTGCAAGCTTTAGTTAAGGTGAGAGTGAGGTGTAACACTTATGGAACGTATTCAAGAAATTTTCAGGAAATTCAAGAACCACAGGTTTACAGCATGAGTTTTGCTTTGTTTGCTTTCTGCTTTTTAAATTTAAAGTCTTAATTTCTGTGTTTTTGTCTCATCAAAGAGAAATCCTCTAAATGAGGAATTTAGATTATAATAAAAAGAGAAAGGTAATACTCTGCCCTTGAGAGATCAGAGGGCATGGGCTCTGGCACTAGAGAGACCCAAGTTTATCTTCCAGCTCTGTGATTCTGAGCATATACTTGAGCCAAGGCTTCTGCAAGATGAGGGTCACAATATCTACCCCTAGAGGTTGTTGAGAGCATCAGATAGGACAACACATGAGAGTACCTGCCACCAGAAGATTTTCAGTCCATGTTTCCTTCACATTTCCTAAAGCTCATTGAGGATGTGTAGGCAGCTAGTCCCGGTCTCTCTGCCTTGTACTGATAAGTGTTTGATTATATTGCACTCATAATGAAGAAGATGCCTAATGAAACCTCCTATAGAGGCAAATAGTAATGATTTGATTCCAGCACTGCCAGTAGAGCTTCCCATCCGAGAAACAGGGGTATTTGGCATTGGTAAGTTAAATTTCAGAAACTAATGAACTCTGCTAATTGAATTCATCTTTGTTAATTAATAAGGTTCTAGTAAATTGGGTTTTTTTTTGTATAATGCCCTACAAAAAAGCAGGAAGACCTAATGATTACAAGTTCACTAGTTCTAACCTTATTCTTTCCTATACATATAGTGGTAGTGACCAAGGTAGAATCTTATATTTTTCTTCATCTTCAAATGTTATCATTTAAACCCTTGACATTATTGACTTGAGAATAAATGTGAAAATCATGGACTGAGCACTCTATACTGTCTGAGTAGTTTATATTTTAAGAGTTTCTTAAAGAGTAACTTGGGAAATCAGTCCATTAACTACTATTGCAGTGACTGTGGCACAAGGGTATATTGGTTTTATTTGCTGGGTTGTGCCAAGAGCAATACCTAGCAAAAAAATTTTTTTCACTTGGGAGATTTAAAAAATTCATACATTTTTTTTCCCCTGGGAGAGGGTAGATACTAAAATTAGGTTTATAATGTGGTGATTCTCAAATTTGGAAATGGGGTCAAAGTGATGGTTATGCGGAGGATCATTCATATATATTTCCTGGACTAAGCTTAGGTAAGAAGCATGTTTTTCTAGAAAACTGGCTTCTAAATGCTTAACTGTTTCTATACTGTTTGTTCTCAAAGAGCCATGTCTATGAACTACTGACACATTTTTCCCCCTTCTTTAATACAGAGAGAATTCCCTAAATTTTTTACATTCCGAGCAAGGGATAAGGTAAGGATTGATTTCTTTCCTATTTAAAAAAAAAAATTACTTTTTCTTAAAAGCCCAAGAGCGGCTTATCTTTGCCATACGTTCTTCTTGCCATTCTTTTTTCTCTTATTGAACTTGTGCTTCCTGTTGCCTTACGTGTGTCTTAGAACTAAAGCCGATTCCTTTCTGAAAGGGTTTGGTTTGGGAAACAACCAAATGTATTGAGCTACTCAACGAAGGTGATACCTTTCCAAATCATCCTTGTCCTGTAGAATGATCCTAATGATGTGATATTAAAGGACCATTCTTGTTATCTACAAATAGTTCACTGATACTCAACTCTACTTTATGTGAATTTGTTTTTCAATTTTAAAATACAAAACTTCAGACCATGTTGCTTTCTTCCTGTTACCGGCTTATATATTTGACTCTCTCTCTCCATTCACTCAATTGACATGTATTCCAGAAAAATACTTTAGTTTCACTGAAACATACAGTACATATACAGTAAATACAGTAAAGTTATATACTAATACAACTTTTAAAAAACATATATAAGTAATTATATATCTATGGATATAGTGTTCCAAAGCCAAATATCTCTTTAATTAAAAAATTGTATGATGTTTCTTTGTTGAGTATTTATTATGTCCTTTGTACTTATCATAAGTGAGAAAATTTTTAGATTAGTTGGGTAAGCTCAAAACATTGGCATGTGAAGTAGATATTAATGTGAAGCAGCCTGTAATTAATATAAAAATGAATTATATAAAGACATTAAATGTTGTAGGAGTTCTAAGGAAATTGAGGATTTTTTGTTTGTTTTTCATGTATATCATCACCACTTGTAAAATCATAAATGATGAAAGTTTAGGAATATCATCCTATAAAGTACCTATATAATAGGTACTTTAGTGCCTAATCTTATGTAAGCTGTAGCATTAGCCTTGAATGTAGCTCATTTTTGTTGCTCATTAGCACATCATAGCTTATGTTTCTATTTTCAGGCATCTCTTTTACATTCACATTCATAGTATAATTTTGTAACTGCCTCTTGTGAACTGTTTTTTCTCTGATTCTTGTACTCAGTTTGAGGAGGATCGTATCTATCGTCATCTGGAGCCTGCTCTGGCTTTCCAGTTAGAGCTGAACCGGATGAGAAATTTTGACCTCACTGCCATTCCATGTGCTAATCACAAGATGCACCTGTATCTCGGGGCAGCCAAGGTGGAAGTGGGCACAGAAGTGACAGACTACAGGTTCTTTGTTCGTGCAATCATCAGGCATTCTGATCTGGTCACCAAGGTGGGTGCTGTACTTTAATGGGATGTTATCCCTGAGGGAAGGGACAGAATAATAGATATGATTCAAAATTAGGTATTATGCTTCTGCTGAGAGAGAACATAAAAAAAAGATCAGGTTTTCATTTTTTGAATCAAGGTTCTTGTTCTATTTCAATGTTTACAAAAGTAAATATTTCATATAATAAAGGCTTTTTTTTTTTTACAAAGCAGAAAGTGCATCTGAAAAAAAATAAAAAATGAAGGCTCTTTTTCCACTTTAATTTGATTTTTCTTGGTAGCAGAAGCATAATAACACTCAAGAAAAGAAAAAGCATACAAACAGAAAAATCACAGGAAGAATTGGGTGATGGTAGAGCATAAGGAGATAAGTTAGGAAAGAGGTGATCCCATTGTACACCTGTCTAGAAGTATGGGTAGTGTCTGTATATAGCAAGGCACTTCCTGATGTGTTCATTATTATTATATCCCATAGCCGTACCCTTTCTTCAGCTTTTCCTTTCTAAATAGCTCTGTTTGGCATATGTGAAATATCATCCTATTGAACTTACAGCTATGGGGATGCCCAGTATTTCTACCTCTTGGAAGGGAATGATGCACTAAAAGTAAGGAGGAAGGGCTGACATGGACTCTTTATCTGGCCCTTTCCTGCCCCTGCTCCCTGTGGTTACTGGACTGACTCTAGGGAGAAAGATAAACAATCTCTTCACCAAGTGCCTTATGATTCATGATATACTGCTGCTTAAGTGATTATAATAGCCATTTCTTTATTGCCTCTTTTAAACTACATTAATGTTGATTATTTTCTTCCTGTATAGGAAGCTTCTTTTGAATATCTGCAAAATGAAGGGGAGCGGCTACTCCTGGAAGCCATGGATGAGTTGGAAGTTGCTTTTAACAATACAAATGTCCGCACTGACTGTAACCACATCTTCCTCAACTTTGTGCCCACGGTTATCATGGACCCATCAAAGGTACATTTCTCCTTAGCTTCTCTCCCAGCACTAGCAAGCATAAGCACAGAAGTTCATTCATATTTATCTCACTTGGACTTGGAAACAGGTACTCCTTGTTCAGGCTGTTGAGCCCTTAATCTGTAAAGTTTATAGAATGTTTATAAGATTGAGTTTCTGGGACAGTGTCAAAAATTTGATATAGCCATTGAAAAAACAGTTCTCAAAACTGAAGGTTTTGGTGTTAGCTTGCTGGTCACTTATAAGCAGTACAAAAACGTGAAAACATTTTCTTTTGTTGGTACCTATTTTATATTTGCCATAATAGTGGTCCTGTTTTGTATTATTCCCTACTATTTCTCATCTGGAATTATTAATTTTACTGTTACTAAGCATTTTGGCTAAATTACTGCTTCTGTGCACTAAATGTTAATCACCTGGTGGCCTTAGTGAGATAATGCACCTTCTCAAAGTGTCTAACCTATCTCTCTTTAGTGTTTTTCCACAGGGAGAGAATTTGGCTGATAAGGAATTTCTCATGTATTATGTATATTTTCTTCCCTGAGGTTCTATTCTGAAATGCATTCTATATAATTTAAGGAAGAAAAACAAGGTGATTTTGTACTTGACCTTTTATCCCAAGTGTAATAAAGACAGGCTGCTCTCTGTTTCTGCTCCCTCTAACGCTTTCTTTCTTTCTTTTTTTTTTTGTTGAGACAGAGTCTTGCTCTGTTGCCCAGGCTGAAGCAGTGGCACCATCTCAGCTCATTGCAACCTCCACCTCCCAGGTTCAAGAGACTGTCATGCTTCAGCCTCCCCGAGTAGCAGGGACTATAGGCATGTGCCACCACGCCCGGCTAATTTTTGTATTTTTAGTAGAAACGGGGTTTCACCATGTTAGTCAGGCTGGTCTCCAACTCCTGACCTCAAGTAATCTGCCTGCCTCAGCCTCCCAAAGTGCTGGGATTACAGGTGTGAGCCACCGTGCCTGGCCCCTTCTAACTCTTTCTATCATGATACTGTGGAATTTGGATAGGAGAACCAGTATCTCCCTTTTTCAAGATCAGCTGTAGGCATGAATTTTTGCTGCTGCTGCTGCTTTTTTTTTTTTTCTTTTTCTTTTTTTTCTTACAGAAACAGGGTCTTGCTATGTTGCCCAGGCTAGTCTTGAACTCCTGGCCTCAAGCGATCCTCCTGCCTCAGACTCCCAAAGTGCTGGGATTACAGGCATGAGTCATCATGCCTGGTAGACTTTTGCTTCTTGAACTTAGTATCTGAGATCTGAGAAGTAGTTTTCTACCTTTTTCCCTTAAAAATTCCAAGCTAATGATGGGTTGCTTTAGTTTGTAAGGAACGCCAAGGACAGGGCTACTCATTTGACTCAAATCTCATCATCTAGTTTAAGCAAAACTTCTCCTAAGCATTCTGGGACTAATAAGCTGGGAAACTTAAAACATGGCATGGACACTGTACAGCTGTATTTTTTTTTAGATTTGGCTTACCTTTTCTCTGAGTTTTTCAGATCAGCCTCTGCTTTCATTCTAACCACCCATATACACTGGCTCTGCTTTTCTAATGATAGATAGCTGCCAATTTTCTGTACATAAAGATTGTTGGCTTTTGTTCCCTCAAGAAAAGAATGGGTAAATATCTCTTGGTTAACAAGCAAGTATGATAATAGAGAGGTTAACTCCCTGAAATTCATTCTAACTTAAAATTTTGTGGTGCAGAAACAAACTGCAAGGGTGGCACATGCTACTAAAGAACCACAAGAGAAAGGGAATGTAAGATATTCTTGAGATTTTCTAAGAAGTTGAGGAAGCATTTTAGAAAGATACTTCATTTAAGGATACATTAAGTTCGAATAGCATGTTCTAGCTGCATTATGTTCTGTGCAGCCATGTTGGGGAAAAAAAGTTTTGCTTTAGCATGTAAATAACAAGAAATCATGTCTAAGGCCATTTAGTTAAAATAACTGTCCTACCCCTAAAAACTAAGAGCATTAAGCTGCCTTGGTATAAACTTAGAGAAATGTGGGAACATCTGCCCCATCTTATTAAATCCTAGGTGGACTTAGCAGTGGCCAAGCTTCAGAGCTCTGTTTAGAGAGAATGTTCTAGCACCACCTACAAATTGCCTTTCTTTAATTTGTGCAATTTACCAAGAGACATATATTATAAAGTTTAATAAAACTGTATGAAAAAAAGCTCATGGTGGTAATTGCTGTGTTGATTTAAAGTCCTGTAAGTGCAGTGAAACATAGTTACCATGCATATAAATGCTACTTAATAGCTATTTAACTAGAGATTTTATTCTTATTTGGGGCTTCCTCTTAAATCCCATGGCTTGTAATTTTAGATACTGCAGATCTTTGATATAGAATATGAATATAATTGGGAAAGGGGAAGGAGTTGCAGAGATTTGGGTGTTATTATCGAGAGAAAACCACTCAAATGCCAGGCCAGCATGAAATTGTCCCTGACTTGTTCCAAGAAAGAATAGTTTGGGGAGAAACTATCTGACCACTTTTTGTAAGGTGTGCATCTCCACAAACCAACCTCTTTTTTTTTTTACCCCTTCTTTCTCAAATATGAGCAGACCTGAAACAGGTCTTAGTTAGAAGATATTTAAGTTTTGTGCTTGGTGATGTGTCTGTGTCAGATTGAGGAATCCGTGCGGAGCATGGTAATGCGGTATGGAAGTCGCCTGTGGAAATTGCGCGTCCTCCAGGCAGAACTGAAAATCAACATTCGCCTGACGCCAACTGGAAAAGCAATTCCCATCCGCCTCTTCCTGACAAACGAGTCTGGCTATTACTTGGATATCAGCCTATACAAGGAAGTGACTGACTCCAGGACAGCACAGGTACAATACTCAAACAGGCTCCTCAGAGTTTTGATTTGGTCCTACAGATAAGACACTCGTCCTTGTTATAGAAGACCCACACTCACAAATCCCATTGGTTCACCTGGTGGGATTATCCTCTATAAGATTAAATGATTGTATGAATTTGAAAAACTTCATCTGCCTTATAAGATTTGCCTATGTTCTCTATCATGGATGTTATAAAACCCTTAACCATTTGTCATGTATTGGTAAGCACTAACAGATGCCAAGTGAACCTGACTCCAGAGGTTATTCTGCAATTTAGGCTCTTTTTTTAGAGGGCTCGTGGGTTATTTCAGCAATCTAATCTCTGGTCTGATGCGTCCTTTCCGTTTTCACCATAATTAAACTACTCATTGGCAAGTGAGGAAAAGAGAATTGTTGGATTTATGTCACCAACTTCTATGTTAAAGAAGGAAAATTTCAACATAGTATAGTGGCATGAGCACTACCATCATCAGTGTCTATCATATTTATCTATTGTGTTCTGTTTCTGTTTTTATCATATTTATTGTGTTATCTATTATGTTGTTCCCTTTCCTTCAAAGATTTCAGGGTGTCATATATTATACAAGAGCAAAGTGGCAAATTTAAACCCGTTTTCAGGTAGGAAAACTGAGAATGTAAAAATAGAAAGTGAGTCAGTACACTAATTCTGTGAAACAGAGAATTCCCTTTTAATCTTTTTTACTACGTTGGTTTCTAAATATTTGGGCTCTTTACTATGATACTGAAATTAGGTTGGTTCACCATTGTTCACATTTTTGAAGAACTAGGATATTTTATGGCTTTGGCCTGAATTCAAGAATTGCATTTCTTCTGATTAAAGGATGAACCTGCTCCAGTATACATAAACAAGGGTTTCAGTCTATTCCGTGCTTTGGGTGCCAGGGAGAGATTATGTGTCTCTTGTTTTTATCTATATCCTTTTAAATCCAGGAATAGAGTCAGGAAAATATATTTTTCAGTCTTTTGAAGATGAATTTTTAAAAATCTCAGTTTGGACAGTAGTCAGAATGACCTTTCATTTTGTGCTTTGATTCCTAGTGAGGTGGCTAGAGAAATCTATCCTATGAGAAGTGAGCAGTTAAAAACAGAGAGAGAGAGTGCGCAAGAGCGTGAGTGGTGACCAAGAGAAAGAGTGTTCAATATTTTTTGCTGTATTTGATGTTTTTTTAGTGCAACTTTAAAGACATTTTCAGTCAAAGCTTTCAATGGGTAGGGATGTTTTTAATTAACTTCTACAATAGCTTCAAGGCAGGTCTATTCTTGTGAAAAGTAAGATGGCCACTTGAGATTTTAATGTTTTTGATAAATATGTTTGTTCTTCATAACTACTTTCTTTCTTTTTTTTTTTTTCCTTTCCTTTATTAGGAAACTCTGAGATTTCCCTCATGCTAGCTAATGGTGACACAGGAGTGTGAAAGGCACAGATGCCTTCAATCAGGGTTTAGTATTACACATGGTACAAAATAAGCACACAATAAGCATCTGAAAGAATGAACAAACCACCTTCAGCCTGAAGGAAAACGCTTTTTACCTAGGGTCCTGCATATTTTAAAAGCCCTGAAGGAAGAGGTCTTCTACAGACTCTTCACTTGAGAGAGTTCAAGAGCTACTGCCATATGGGAACTAACTTTTGAGCCTGTGGCTAGACGTGGGAACTGACAAAAGGAGCAGCCTCCAACCCAGTTCTGGTGCTCCTAATGCCTACATGGTGCTTATTGTCAAACTGTTTTTCCCTTTCTTTAATGAATCATTGTATGAAGTTAATACAGAACCATGTCTGTTATTCGTTCATTTGTTTTTTAATTTAATATTGATTGACTACTTATAGTATGTCAGGCACTATGCGTATAAAGAGAAAAAGCAAACTGTACTCAAGAAATTTACATCACAATGGAAGAAGACAAATGATTTGTTTCTCTGTGGCAAATATGTGCTATTATAAATAAATACAGTGTTCTAAGGGAGCAGACTATGGGTCAGAAATTATTTTCTAAAATAATTTTGATGGCTTCTGGTGAAAGGTGTGTGATATATAAAATGTGTACATATTTTCATGAACTTCTAAAACATACTTTACAGTTTTTAGTTACTGCGTTCATTATAGTAGAAAATGGAACTAACATAGATAGTTGAGTATTCAGGAACTCCTATTACTATCAGCCTCTTGCCCTAGCACATCATTTATTCATTCTGCCAATAAGGAACAAGGTTGATTGGCTTGAGTTTTATTTTTCATTTTCCTTGTACAGTCTTTGTAGTATAGGCTGTAATGAACACTGATGTCAGGCAGTCATAATGGGGAGAAGAGATTTGGGTAATCCATTGCATAAGTGAATTGATTTCCAATGTGCAGTGTAAGAGAAAAATAACATTTTAGGCTGGGCGCAGTGACTCACGCCTGTAATCCCAGCACTTTGGGAGGCCAAGGCAGATGGATCACCTGAGGTCAGGAGTTCGAGACCAGCCTGACCAACAAGGTGAAAGCCTGTCTCTACTAAAAATACAAAAATTAGCCGGGAGTGGTGGCAGGGGCCTGTAGTCCCAGCTACTCAGGAGGCTGAGACAGGAGAATTGCTAGAACCCGGGAGGCGGAGGTTGTAGTGAGCTGAGATCGTGCCACTGTGCTCTAACCTGGGCAATGGAGCAAGAATCCGTCTCAAAAAAAAGAAAAATAACATTTTAAAATCATCTTTGGGCTGGGCATGGTGGCTCATACCTGTAATCCCAGCACTTTGGGAGACCAAGGTGGGAGGATCACATGAGCCCAGGAGTTTGACACTAGCCAGCTCAACAAGGCAAGACCCTGTCTCTACCAAAAAAAAAAAAAAAAAAAAAAAAAAAAAGAAATAGCCAGGCATGGTGTCATGCACCTGTAGTACCAACTACTCAGGAGGCTGAGGCAGAAGTATCACTTGGGCCCCAGAGTTTGAGGCTGCAATGAGCTATGATTGTGACACCACACTCCAGCCTGGGCGAGAGAGTGAGACACTGCCTCTAAAAATAATAAATAACACCTTTATTGAAGTGCAATTTACTTATAATAAAATGGACTCGTTTTGTGTGTGCAGTTCAATTCATTCTGTCAAATGTATACACCGTGTAAGTACTATCACAGTTGTGGTAGATACATCACTGCAGAAAGTTCTCTTATTCGCCTTTGCAGTCAAAGGTAGAAGCACCAACCCCGGCCTTAGGCAACCACTGATCTGCTTTCTGTTACTATAGATTAGTTTTGCCTATCCTAGAATTTAAATCAAACAGTGTGTACTATTTTGTGTCTAGCTTATTTTACTCAGCATAATGTTTTTGAGGTTCAGCCATGTTGCATAGATTATGTGTATGTTCCTTTTCATTTTTGGATAGTATTCCGTTTCATGGATTTTTTTTTTTTTTTTTGAGACAGGGTCTCACTATCTTGCCCAAGCTAGAGTGCAATATTGTAATCATAGCTGACCACAGCCTCGACCTCCTTGGCTCAAGCAGTCCTTCCACCTCAGCCTCCTAAGTAGCTGGGACTAAAGGCGTCTACCACCATGCCCAGCTAGTTTTTAAATTTTTTTAGAGACAGGGTCCCACAATGTTGCCCAGGCTTGTCTCAAACTCCTGGATTCATGGGACCCTCCCACCTTGGCCTCCCAAAGTGCTGGGATTACAGGTGTAAGCTGCCATGCCCAGCCCCATTTAATGGATTTATCGAAATTTTTACATTCATTTATCAAAATGTTTATATTCACAGATATGTTTTGGCAGGTAAGGTGACTAACTGGGAGCTCTGACATGTTCCAAGGAAACAAGGCTTTCCAGAGTTTCCATCAGATATAGCTTTGACTAGCAAGGGGCACCCCCAAAGGGCAGGCAATATCTTGACACTGTTTTCATTTCTATTTCATTTGGGGATGGGTGACTGCCAACTCAGATATTAGATGGTTCTTTATGAATTAATGGGAGGAATGATGAGAATAGAAGTCTCTATTGAGTAGGAGAGAGTAAACTAAGACCACATGCTTGTGATGATAGTTTACAACGATTTGTGTGAGGAGTTACATGTATATTTCCTAAGTCCATATTCAAATTATGGATATTAAAAAAGACTGGCTGGGCATGGTGGCTCACACCTGTAATCCCAGCACTTTGGGAGGCCGAGGTGGGCAAATCAGCTGAGGTTAGGAGTTTGAGACCAGTCTGACCAATATGGAGAAACTCCATCTCTACTAAAAATACAAAATTAGCTGGGCGTGGTGGCGCATGCCTGTAATCCCAGCTACTCGGGAGGCTGAGACAGGAGAATTACTTGAACCCAGGAGGCAGAGGTTGTGGTGAGCCGAGATCGCACCATTGCACTCCAGCCTGGGCAACAAGAGTGAAACTCCGTCTCCAAAAAAAAAAAAAAAAAAAAGGACTGAAACTCTAGTTCTCATTTTCTTTTCTTTCTTTCTTTTTTTTTTTTCCTTTTGAGATGGAGTCTCACTCTGACGCCCAGGCTGGAGTGCAGTAGCACGATCTCGGCTCACTGCAACACTGCAAGTTCTACCTCCTGGGTTCACACCATTCTCCTGCCTCAGCCTTTTTTTTGTATTTTTAGTAGAGACGGGGTTTCACCGTGTTAGCCAGGATGGTCTCGATCTCCTGACCTCGTGATCTGCCTGCTTTGGCCTCCCAAAGTGCTGGGATTGCAGGCGTGAGCCACTGCGCCCGGCCCTCTAGTTCTCATTGTCTAATTTTCCAAGATAACCTGTTGATGGACATTTGGGGTTTTATTTCCTAGTTTGAGCTATTAGTAGTAATAAAGCTGCTGTGAACATTCATTTACAAATCTTTGTGTAGATATATTTTTATTTCCTTTGGGTAAATACGTAAAAGTGTAATTGCTGGGACACAGTAAGCATATGCTTAACTTTATAAGATATTGACAAACTGCCAAAATATTTGTACCATTTAAATTTCTGCCAGCAATATACATATGTAGCTAGATTGTTTTCTCCAATCCCCTTCCTCAGTGCACAATTATGTTGCTTAACTATGACCAGCCTGTCTTCATCACAAAGCTTGGCCAAACCGAGTCTCAAGGTCTTGTCTCTCTTAACAGACGAGAAATGTAGTTCTAGGAACCTGCTGCGTTTACCCCATTTTCTTATTTTGATTCAGCTTACTTGCTCTGAGTACAGTTTTCTCATACTGTACCCTTGCCTTACTTAACACTTTGAATCTCTTAAAACATTATTGCTTTTACTGACACATTCCTAAGACATTACTAATTCTGCTTCCCCCCGGGTGACTTTTCCTATTGATCTTGTGGAAGAGGACTGGGAGCTCCAATCTCTGGGTCTTTAAAACAGCCTGAGACATGTTTTCCCCAGAACAGGACCTGATTGACAAATTAGCAGAACATTCATTCCTCTGAGCTAAGGGGCTAAGGATTTACAGATGAACTGTACCCACGATTTAGGAAGGTACTTAATTCTATTCCTGTGCATATATATCAGGTCCACAATCTATTCATTAATGGTAGACTTGTGCTTATTTTGTAGGTCTGAATAGATATGTAGGTATACACATACCCTTACATCCCAATCTCCATTTGTATTCACTGCACTGGGAATTTATATTTTATGTATCCATGCATGAAGTGCCTAGTTTAGTGTTATACAACCTCTGGGCACTCAATAAATATTAATTGAATTGAAATAATGGCATCCTTTATAAATATTCATAAGCAAATAAAACTATCTAAATATATGGAGTATGAAGCACTCCTCTAGAAATATTTGAGTTAAAATGATTAAAAACCAGTGTAGTGATTTCATTATGTGACAATATAGGTATTGCAGGAGCTATTCACTAGTTGTAGACAGCATCTTGAGGAGAAGTAAATACATGTATATATATATATATGTTTTTTAATATACATAATTTAATATAATATGGTTATTTTACTATATGTAAAATATGAGGCTGTGTCTCATGGGCTAGTGAGAATTAACTATCTAGATGGATGGATGAAATCCACTTCTGGCAGAAATCTTTGAAGCCTTTGCATAGCTAGTAATACTTATGAAGTACCATCTAATCAAGTGGGTTAAAGGACTAAAGCACAGATGATATACTAGAGTCTTGATCTGGCCTTCTGCCATTGAGGAAAGAAGAGAATTATCTTTACTGCATAGCTGTTCTTCAACTTCAATACCAGGGCTGCTCAGACTGGTTAGTTGATGTACTTCATTTCTGAGTATATGAGATTCAACTCACTTTAGATGGCTAGCATGGTCAGTCTGTCTTTGAGATGCGAAATGTGCACCGTGCTTTCTTGTTTATTTCCTTTTTTTTTTTTTTTTTTTTTTTTTTTTTGGATACAGAGTCTTGCTCTGTCGCCCAGGCTGGAGTGCAGTGGCGCAATCTTGGCTCACTGCAAGCTCCACCTCCTGGGTTCACGCCATTCTCCTGCCTCAGCCTCCCGAGTAGCTGGGACTACAGGTGCCCACCACCACGCCCAGCTAATGTTTTTGTATTTTCAGTAGAGACAAGGTTTCACCATGTTAGCCAGGATGGTCTCGATCTCCTGACCTCATGATCCTCCCGCCTTGGCCTCCCAAAGTGCTGGGATTACAGGCGTGAGCCACTGCGCCTGGCCTTCTTTCTTGTTGATTTCAACTAATCTAAAAGTGAGAGCAGTTATGGTATATGGCTGGTTATATATATATATTTTTTGGAGTTGGTTAATCTGTGGAGAGGTGAGAGCACCAAGTACCCAGTGTTAAGAGGCATATCTCAGCTACTCAACCTACCAAAAATGTTTTCAAAGAGATAATATTTGTGCAAAAAAAGCCCCTCTAGGCAGCTCTCTGATTTTTTTCTGTCTCTTAACTCCCCATGCCATTTTTTTTTCCTGCAGATCATGTTTCAGGCATATGGAGACAAACAGGGACCACTGCATGGAATGTTAATCAATACTCCATATGTGACCAAAGACCTGCTGCAATCAAAGAGGTTCCAGGCACAATCCTTAGGGACAACATACATATATGATATCCCAGAGATGTTTCGGCAGGTAAGATGCCTAACTGGAGGGTCTGACATGTTCTAAGGAGGCAAGGTTTCCCTGAATTTCCATCAGATGCGGTTTTGGCTAGAAGGGGGCACTCCAAAGGGCAAGAAATATCTTGACACTGTTTTCATTTCTATTTCATTTGAGGATTGGTGACTGCCAACTCAGATATTGGATGGTTCTTTATGAATTAATGAGAGGAATGGTGAGAATAGAAGTCTCTATTGAGTAGGAGACAGGAGAGAGTAAACTAAGGTTATGTTCTTGTGGTGATAGTTTACAGTGACTTGTGTGAAGAGTTACCTGTGTATTTCCCAAGTCTATATTCAAATTATGGATATTAAAAAGGAGATCTGATACTTTAGTTCTCATTTTCCAATATAAACCTGGTTCCTAGTTGATACCCTAGATTAATATGATGAGAATCAATATAGATAGCATAGACAAATGGATATAGAGTTCATGGTACACAGTTTAGAGTATAAGTTCTTTTGTGGGAGATTTGTTATAGCTGAATAAAAACTAGCATGAGAAAATATGACATTATGAATCTCAGCCTCTATATGAAAACAAATTCTTTCAATCTGTATGGTGAATCATCTCTATGCTGCAGATTTTTCTTCTATCAATAGAAGGCAAGAAAAGTGTATCACCAGTAGAAAATGCAACCAGTAAAGAATAAGGTATCAAAAGAATACTGAATTTGTCCTTTTTAAAAAAATCTATGAATATAGGATTTTTCCAAGTCTCCTAGTCAATACTACCAGTATTACCACATTTGAATTTTAGTAAAGTAATATATGTAGTCGTAGTAAATAGTCTGTGTAGAATTCCTGTGTTATTCACAAATACAAGAGATTACCTTTATGCAACCATTTGTTTACAAGTTCTGTCTCCTGAAAGATACCTTCATTCGGTATTTCCCTTTTATAGCATTGCTAGCCTAAAAGCTGAGTGTTACTTCTGTTTCCCAATGCCAGTGCTATAAATATAATATAAATCACATTCTATATAAATATAATATAAATCACATTCTAAGTAATTCTTCCTATATAATAGGCATAAACACAGTGATTAGGACACATAGGTATGTATGAGTCACTTGGGATTCAAATGTTGCTTTGAGGCAAGCAAAGAAAGAGCTGAATTAGCTCCCACTTCACAAAGGATTTACTTACAGGAAGTTGGAAATGGAAATCATAATATTTTTTAAATGAATTGGTATGTCTGTGTCAAAATTGAGCAGAATTGATCTGCACATTTACAAATAGTCACACACATCTAGTGAGCTAATTCCTGTGTATGGTCCTATAGCTATGAAAAATATTAGAAAGAGGTTTCTTCCCTGGAATTTCTAGTAGAAGCTTCATTCTGGCCTTCTTGGATTTTCTTTTTATTAGCTGAGCGTCATGTCATTTTCCTGGATATTCCTTTGTTGTCAAGTTTCTTTAGGATTTTCCTTTTCTTTGTTTTAAGGAGTCGATGCTACTTATTTAGTTTTTTAATTTTAATATTCCTAGGATAGTGTTAGGTCTTTCCTGTTTGTTAATGCTCTGGTGCTGATTTGGAATCACTCAGTAGTTTGACTTTTTGGAAAAGTGCCTGACTTTTGGCATGTAAAAAGTAATTACAAATCTATTTTAACTGAGAATGGGAGCTGGAGAATTTAGTCTAATGTTTACACTCTGCAGAACACTTGGAAAAGAAGGCAAAACCAGATTGACTGAATCTTAATAATTATTTTTGTCTATATTGAAATTATTGTGACTGATTAGTCAAACTTCTTTTCTCCACTAGTCCCTGATCAAACTCTGGGAGTCTATGTCCACTCAAGCATTTCTTCCATCTCCCCCTCTGCCTTCTGACATGCTGACTTACACTGAACTGGTACTGGATGATCAAGGTCAGCTGGTCCACATGAACAGGCTTCCAGGAGGAAATGAGGCAAGTAGTTGAAACCCCCCTTCCCTTTCTTATCTCTGTGCCCACTAGTACCAGCTTTCTGTGAGGTGGTCATTAAATAGCACTGGAGCATGGTAGTCTTGTTGGGAGAGTTCTTTAGAGAGAGCATTGACTGAGTATCAAGAAATTATTAATTTTTTAGGTGTGATAATGGTATTATGATTTTGCTTTTTAAAATAGTATTGTTTTAACACAAAGGACTCAGTTTTAAAAAAATAAAAAGGAATATTGTTTTCTTTTAGAGATACAGACTAAGACATTTACAGATGCAATGATTTGCTTCTAAATAAAGAGGTGTGAGGGTGGGTGTGTAGATGAAACAGGGTTGGTCGTGAGTTGATCATTGAAGCTAGGTGATAGGTACATGAAAATAGATTATTTTCCCTGTTTTTGTCTATGTGTGAAATTTGGGGATTTTCTTTTTTTCTTTTTTCTTTTTTTGAGATGGTGTCTCGCTCTGTCACACAGGCTGGAGTGCAGTGGCTCAATCTCAGCTCACTGCAGCCTTGACCTCCATGTCTCAAGTGATCCTCTCACCTCAGCCTCCTGAGTAGCTGGTACTACAGGTGTGCACCACTACACTTGGCTAATTTTTGTATTTTTTTCTTGAGATGGGGTTTCACCATGTTGGTCTCAAGCTCCTGAGCTCAAGCAATCTGCCTGCCTCAGCCCCGAAAAGTGCTGGGATTTTAGGTGTGCACCATTGTGCCCAGCCAGGATTTTCTATAATGAAAACATTTAAAGTATTGTTTTGCTTAATGTTTTTTCTTATTTGGATTCATATTAATAAATGCATTTTTCAGTGTCTTTTCCATGCTCAATTCATTTGATCTGGTGCTGTTGTGAGCATGATAAATGTGTTCTTGAAGGGGCTCAATCAGAATTAGGGGTTCAAACATAAAAAATGTAGCAAAGAACCCATTTTTTGATAATTATCCCAAGAATGCATTTTCTAGCCTTGGCATCCTTTCTCTCAGAGTAACCTATGAATAGTGATATAAAGTCCTATTTTGCCCTATACTCTTATACTCTTGTCCATGCATTATGATTCTTTCTGATTTTAACTGTGCTCCTAATGTACAGTTATAACAATGATAATACCAGTAACAAACCTAAAAAGAGAGATATTTTTATTTCAACCTTAAATATAATCCCTAGAAAGATTTCATTCCATTGAAGGAGTAATCTTTACCTGTGTTTTCACCACAAATAGGCTGGGTAGACCTTTGGAAATAATAAGCAGTTTGTTTCTATTTTGCTCAATCTTTTTCAAAAAATTTCACTATATATACAAGGTGTGTGGCTATTTCAGTAATATGCCAGTGGATGCCAACAGTAGATGATTTGGTATCAAGATGGATGCAAGCATTGGACCAGATGGAGAGTATCAGACTTGTAGGAGTCTCAACAAATAGCAAAGTCAAGAGGACTGGGGTGGAAGGATGCAAAACATTTTGACAAGCATAGATATATACTCATCAGCACACGAAGTTGAAACAGAGGTTTCTGCCACTGTATGTAGCATCTGCCTAGTGAGCCCCTCAGCAGCAAAGAAAAGCTTCATTGTGCTAGACTTAAATTCTGATTCATTGAACAGTGTAGTCTTCAGGAATGGAAGGCACCCTTGTGAACATGGGGCTGAGAGCAAAATGGTTTTAACTAATGTAATTAAAACACAAAATGAGATTTTTGGCCACGTGAAAGCTAGCTGCAGTGCTGTGTGAAACCCCTTGCCATGATCTTTCTTTCCTGCTTTCTTTCTGCCCTCATTCTGTGTTTGAGCGAATGGAGACTCAGGGAATAGTGAAGTCCCAGAGGGACAGAGCTCTGTTCTTGCTGAAATTACAAGCACAGAGCTGCCTGGGCATGAACATGTAGTGTTTACTCTGCCAGTATGAATACAAATAGTCTTATTATACGGGCCTCTGTACCCAAAGACCACACACACACACACACACACACACACACGAATTTTTTAAAAATTAAAGGTTTTTTTTAACCCCTTTAAGACCTAACAAACCTTAGTGGAAAAGATATGTCTTAAACAGTTGCATAGGACTATAGCTATGACTAGTAGTAGATCTAGTATAGGAGCCACATGTTTTCCTTTGTCCAGTGCTTTAATAGTTTTGAAACCAGAAAGTGAATAGTATTTCTTCAAAAGATTTTGAGTTTTTGTCAGTTCTCACTTTCTTCTTGTTCTACAGTTTTCCCTCCTTAGTTGCCTATTTTCTTTGTTCTGTTTTTCTTTTCAAATGATTGACTAGGATTGAGGCTGAGTGTTAGCTTGCTGTTTCTGAGCCTTTGAGCTTGGGAGGAGTTAGACTGATGTTCTTTTGTGAGCAGTTAGTGACTAATGCCCAGGATGGCTGGTGAAGTCAGTCATTGGCCTTAGCTAGATTATAGGGCACTGCACAACAGGAATGAGGTTGGGGTGTTAGTATCAAACTCTGCTACCAATAGCTTGAACATACAATGGAGCATGTCCACTGAGAGACTGACCAATCTAAGGATGGAGTTTCAGCAGTCAGAACTCTGAGGGACAGCTGTGCCTAAGAGATGACAAAGTGTCAGTAGGATGTATTTCCTCGTGCTGAGCCCAGTTTTATCAGGGCAAGTTGACTTTCAGCTATTGCGGTTTAATTTTCTTTGGCCAAAGAGCAAGTTTGTCATGAGCCTGGCACTCTACATATTACCCCAAGAATGATGTGAAGGGAATGAACAGAGCTCATGCTGATGAGATTTGGAGTAAATCTGTCCTGTCCCAAAGAGAATGGGCATCTGGACAGAGCCTTGAGAAATAGTTTTATTACAAAAGAATAAAAAATTGACCTGTTAATGTTCTGAAAGCCAAGGCTCAATGTAAATGCATTGGTGCTATGTAGACATTAAATCATCATAATGTGGTGTTCTCCAAAAGTGACGGCTCTACCAGGTCATCATTGTGGGTGGTATTGCATTACCTTCAAGGATTGGAGTTTCTGAGTTTGAAAACTAGCACATGGATGTAAGGAGTAAGGGTAAAATGAGAGATTCCTTCAGAGTTTTCCCATGAATTGAGGTGCTTTTCTCCATGATCGAAGGCAGAAAACCTGCACTTATCAGACCATTGGCTGTATGGGTGGCCAGTCTTTCTAATTTTTTTTTCCAGGACAGTAAATAGGTAAAAAGGTGATGGGACCAGGACTTGGACCAATTCAGTTCCATTTAGTTTTAGGTAACTTCTTTGCCATTTGAGGAGGAATATTGGCTGTTTCAGTAGAGATGTGACCTGCATTTTGAACATTTATGCCTGTGTTTAGAGCAGGAGACAGAGCTTTTCTGATGCTGTATTAGCTACTGTCTCCTTTCTATTTTCCTAGTTGTCCCTTCCCCATAAAGAAAGATGTAACTAAAGGAGTACCACCTAATGCATGATGAAAGGTATAGGAGAACACATTTTTCTCATTGTCATATTTGAATGGCATTACATTTAGTATGACTTTAGAGTAGGAATAAAAAAGATGTAGACTAAATCTGTGAACTACGTTACTTGCAGATAGCTCCAAAGATGAGTTGTCCAAGATTTTTCTTAATAGTTTCAAGTAAAGATGAAAATTGAGGAAAATGTGATTGCAGCATAGACTAAACGGATCTCATTTCTAGCTGCTGTGTTGGTACAGTGATGGGCACTGTATGTAAATACACAGCTAGATGAATGTGTGCTGTTGAGCCTGGATACAGAAGAAATGCAGCTATCCAACAGTTCTACTTTACCACTTCTCAATTTTGGAGGAATTGTTTTCATTTTCCTGCCAGTTTACTAACCTGTTTTGATCTTTTGGTGGAAGCTATAATTGCAGGTGGGGACATTTTGAGTAACAGTTCGCAATCCAGTACAGCTGCTTTTCGCACTAAATCCTGTTATTAAAAAGCTCAGGCTAAGATCAAGCCAAGGGCTGTAACGGACTTGACAGAGAACAACTTAACTTTGCCTGGTAGGACAAAGAAAATCCTAGCCTTCTTGAGACTATGCTCTTGTTTATTCTGAAATAAGTTACTAGCATTCTTTTATTTTATTTCTTTTTATCAGCTCTGCGAACTAGACCAGTAATCTCTAAAGTGGGCAATGCTGAAAGATATGTTAGAGAGTCAACTACCATAGTAACTTTAGTGCTAGTAGAAATTAGGACCCTGTTTTTCTTACTATATCAGAACATGGGCAGCTTTTTAACATTCTGTCTCATCATGCCTGTCATAATGAGAAACTGAGATGAGAAGACGATGTTGCGATGTTGTATTTGGAAGCAGTTATAATAATTAGGTACAAGATGTATATCCAAAAAAGGGGTTGGTATTCAGAGACTGGAATTCTTGGTATAAAAGTTTTTCTGGGAGGAAAGTATATTGAAAATTGAATGCAACTGGGGCCAGGCGTGGTGGCTCATACCTGTAGTCCCAGCACTTTGGGAGGCTGAGGCGGGCAGATCATGAGGTCAAGAGATCGAGACCATCCTGGCCCACATGGTGAAACCCTGTCTCTACTAAAAATACAAAAATTAGCCAGGCGTGGTGGCGGGTGCCTGTAGTCCCAGCTACTTGGCAGGCTGAGGCAGGAGAATCGCTTGAACCCGGGAGGCAGAGGTTGCAGTGAGCCGAGATCGCGCCACTGCACTCAAGCCTGGTTACAGAGTGAGACTCCGTCTCAAAAAAAAAGAAAAAGAAAAAGAAAAAAAAATTGAATGCAATTTGATGGTCACCTCTACACACACTACCACTCTTAAGAATTGTGGTAGCTCTGAGCCTTCATTTTTTCAGATGGGCGCTAGGTGTCAGGGTTTTTCCTTCTCAGCAGCTTAGCATTCACATGAGCCTTGTGAGTGGCCTTGTTTGTTGAGGCAGATTCACTGGTGTCCTTCTTTTTTCAGTTGGTATAGTAGCCTTTACCTAGTGTTCCTGCAATAAGCAATTGCAATTTTAACTCTTTGGTTGAAGATCCTTTGAACCTTGCATTAGGGATCTATTTTTTTTTTTTAAAGAAGAGGATGATTGAAGAGGAAATAAAGTAGTGTAAATTAAAGTTTAAAGACTAGCTGACAGCCAGGCGCGGTGGCGCATGCCTGTAATCCCAACACTTTGGGAGACCAAGGTCGGCGGATCACTTGACGCCAGGAGTTTGAGACCAGCCTGGCCAACATGGCAAAACCCTATCTCTACAAAAAAAAAAAAAAAAAAAAAAAAAAAAAAAAATATATATATATATATATATATATATATATATATATATATATAAATTAGCCAGGCGTGTTGGCAGGCGCCTGTAATCCCAGCTACTCAGGAGACTGAGGCACAGGAATCTCTTGAGCCCAGGAGGTGGAGGATGCAGCGAGCCAAGATCGCACGACTGCACTCCAGCCTGGGCGACAGAGTGAGACTCTGGCTGAAAAAAAAAAAGACTAGCTGCCATCATGACTGGTATTTTGGTTTTAGTCCTGCTTTATGTTCTCAGGGGTGAAATGGTAGGGACAGTGGGGATTAGGGGTTCAGTTTTAGAACTGCTAGCCCAACTAATACCCATATTTAATTATTGTTTTAATTGTTGGCAATGTACTGATATCCTATGTCTCCCAAAGTATAGCATCTCATTAATTTTTTTATTTTAAACATATAAAAAAATACACAGTGATATGACAAATACCCCTGCATCTACTGACCAGCTTAAACAAATCTTACCATTTTGACTGGGCTCCTCACTTACATGTTACTATAATCCTTTGAATCTCTAATTTGAGTATCAAAAAAACAATTTAGGAGTTGGTAGGGAAAGGAAGTTGGTAAGCTTATATAAGCCTAAAAGATTAGAAGAAATTAATTAGTAGATCCATTTTGACAGTTCTTAGGCTGGACCTCTTAACCCAAAGGACCTCTTATTTTAGAAAAACCACCATAACCCTCTGTCTTAATTCACTTGGTTGACATTTTCCATACCCTCAAAGGAATTGCTTGGGTTATCCTGGACTCAGATTCTAGTGGAAAGCATTATGTTCTAAAACTCTGCCTGTAGAGAGTGTGTATATGCTTACGGGTTTTGGTGGTGAGAAAAGGGTAGGCCATTTCTCATGAACACAGGACCCAAATATTTAACATTAGATTTTTTAAATTGTTTTACTCAATTTAACCTCAAAATAGCTCCATGAATGTGATGCTAATTTGGATGTACTTTACCTTGCTTTTGTTTCATTCTTTTGAAATCAGTTTGCCTTTTCATGCTGTGTATAGAAATTGAGTCAGTGTCAGTCTTTTAGATATGTGTTAGAAAAGAGGCATATTTAAATTGTACTATGCTGAAGGTGAGTTCTGAAATAGACCTAAGCGAAGCGGGTCTGTAAAACAGGACCATGGTCTATGCATTGATTGTTCAACTTATAAAAAGGGTCTTTGCCATTAATCTGTCCCTAAAGATAGGAGAATGTTTATAAGTGCTTTGGGATCCTCAGCAGAAAAGGGTCAAATACATATGATTATGTATAATTATGATTATCCATAAATGATTATGATTATACATAAGTATTCATAATTTGTGCTTGCCTTATTTTTCATCAAGGCTTTGAAAAATCAATTTTGAATCCTTGAGATTAAGTATAGAGAAAGATATATTATGGCATATATGGTAAGATAATTTTATGTTAATTCTATGTTTTTGTTCTTTTATTCCCATTCTAAGTAAGTATATTTGGCTGCAAGTCTTTGTCTAAAATGATCTTCCAAACCAAACTTGGATCCCTCATTAGAAAAATATGGAGGCTAATTTTGAAAAATAAGTCTTCCTACCATGGAATTACTTCTAATGAATTTCTGACACTGTTCTTTTGGGATGTATATACTTTTCTCAGAATTCCTTCTGAATGACTATTATTGGTGTTGGAGATTTCTCATCAGGTTGAGTAGTTTTTACTCATTTTTTTGATAGCAAAATGAGGCTCAGTAACCTTGATTGACTTTGAAAATCCTAATGCATCCACTGGCTCACTAAAGTAGTACTTGTGGAGGGCTCCTCAGTTTCTTTCAAAAATAAGTCTAGAGATAGCCTTCAAACAAAAGAATGTACTTGCCAGCATATTTATACCTGTCTTAAGTTGTAAGATTTTACTGAAAAAGAATGTGACATAGTACCCTATGTCAAGAAACTTTACAGCTCCAACCAGAGGCAATAATGAACATCAGGACAGCAACAGATGACACCAGAGAATGAGGAGTAGCGGGGGGCACCAGAGTTCAGCACTCATTCGTATGATTAATGGACAAGGCTTCTGGGACTATAGTAGGCCAACTTGGTTAATTTCCATACCAACCAATTAATCCTGGGCCCCATTTCTCAAATACCGCTGGCTTCTATGTGCTCCACTGCATGTTTGTTAAAAAATAATTCCTATGCTTATTAAATTACTGTGTGTACATGTGTAAAATTACTGTGGTTTCATGTATATAAATGTTACAGGGAGAAATAATTTCCCTGTTCAAAATTGTTATTTCTAATCTTTGATAACATTTTCAAAGAATTACCTCTGGGATGAAAATTTTTTGCTCTAAAAGTTATATTTTTCTTACCCTTTTATCGCTGTTTAGAGAGGTTGAGGTGAGTTTGTTCAGCCATTTTTGAAGTAAGCCATAAGGCTTAAAATACAATATTTGACTTAATTTGTGCCATTTGGAAAAGCCATGCTGAAAAATATGTCAATGCCTTTCCATATTGTATTATTTGCCAGATATCAATGTTCTATTATTTAGTGTTCTGTGATCATGTGAAGGAGCTCAAAATAATTTTCTTAAGAGCTGAAAAACTCTTTTTTTCATGCTTGGATACAAGATACAAAAGGGGGAAAGAGGTAACATTTTGTTATATATCTGAGAAGGGACTCAAGTTCAGATTCCTGCTCTCTGGATCTTAGTTTTCTCATCTTTATGATGCAGATGATGCCCAAGTCTGGGTTAGCGCTAACATGCTTGGATTCTTTGTATTGCTGCTCAAGGGCCTTGCAGGGTAGTCATCTTCCTGGCATTAGCAGAATTAGAACAATAGGTTTTACAGACTCTTCCAAAAAAAACTCAAGATCATTTTAGCATGAATATAGCAAGGCTTTTAGCATGAATATAACGAATACAGCTTCAACATCTCAGCCACAGCCTAACCTGTATTTAAATCTGTATGGAAAGGTATTGTTAGAGCTCAAGTCAAAGTGTGGAGATGTAAGAAAGGCAGCTGTGGCAAAGATATTCTCTTTCTGCTTCCCACAGCATAGCTAGAGTTGATGGATATGTCTTTCACCCTTAAAAAACAAAATCCTGGCATGTTTTGCCCTTAGCTTTTCCTGCAAATTTCTTTGTTGAGCTTAATATTGTTGTTTTATTTTGTAGTAACAACAGCAGCTTTGGGAAGTGCCTGTGTGTGCTTGCACATTCTATTCACATTGATAGTACAATTAATGTTGATGTCAATTTTGGTGTTAATTTTGGGTCATGATTAGTGTTGACACTTTGTGTCAGACTAATGGCATTTATGGGCACCATCAGAATAAATGTTAATATTATCATGTTTTCACTATCTGTTATAGTAACATTAAACCAAGGTCCTCCCAGCAGAAAAAATACATATATGGATAGATAGATAATGCCTTTCTGTATCGCTGGTGTTACTCAGCGAGAAAATGACATCTCAGGGCAGAATCCTAATCACTGTTTGGAGCATCAGAAATAATGATCACCTCTGATCGGAGGTTGTGAATAATTCATTTGGTTTGATTTTCACGTCCTGTCCAGTGATACTTTTCAAACCAAATGTGTTTCTACAGGAAAATAATGGTCCCACTTCTTATGGAAATACTGTGGCACAAATCATTTTACCCACATAAAAACAGTTAAATAAGACTGTTCTCTTCTGCTTGCTTTCTCCTTCCCATCCCCTCCTCCCTCACTTGAGCTGTTCATTCCAGAATCAGAATGTAGCCAAAGAAATATGTTCTGCCTTAGAACTTGTATAAGGGAAACAAATATTTATTTCTGCTTATCCTTAGCTTATTCACTGTGGCTCTTTTCATCCTCTTCCCTTTTTCACTTTAAGATAATCAGCTTAGGTTGATAACCCTAAACCTAATAAACCTGCTCGTTGGAATGTTCTGTTATGAAAAATGATCTGAAATTAAATATTTTAAAACTTATTCATGGCTATAGTAATGACAAAATAATTTGTAGTAAGTACCTAGGACCACTTGTTTAGTCAGTGCATGAGAGAGGCAGTGATCAGAGAAGACGACACTGGCACTGCCCGTTTGAGTCTAAAACTCATTAGACCATAAACCCACCCACTTACATGCGGGCTACAGGGTACCTTTTTGTTAATTTCTTAGCTCTTCCATCTTCCTTCAGCTCTTAGTCCTGGCATGTCATTTTCACTGGGTTTCACCTGGATAAAAATGTTGGAGAGAAAGAGAAGACCCCCAAAAAGAGGGATTTAATGATGGGGTCTCCGTTAGTCATTATTCTTCAATTAATATACATGCAGATTGGGCTTAGGTGAAATCAATGAATGTCACATTGCTAATCACATTGTCACACTGTGTATACTTTTATAGTGATTGTAGAATTTTCGATATGAAATCTCCATTATGTATATAATATAGATAGACCCATCTATAGAAAGTAATTTGACTGAAAAACTTAACAGTGTACTAATTAGAGAGTGAAATATGACTCTCTTCCAAAGCAATGATCTAATCCTTTGAGATGAAGCTATTCTTAGGTAGAATATTTTGAACCATTTCTCCTGAATGTTGTAACCCTTTTTTATTTTTCCTAAATCTAACAAGGGCAGAGGGAAGCATTTTTCAATCTAGTTTTCATCATCAGACAGAAAGTATTTTGCATTCAGAAACCATTTCCAGTATCAAATTCAATTTTGTCAGGTGATTAGTTGAGTTGGGTAGAGAATAATTTAAAAACACAAAGCTGGAAATGGCTATGGTGCTTCTACACTGGAGGAGAGCTGTTGCTATTCTCAAGTTGCAAGCTTCCTCTCAGTGACTGTGCATCACAACTGGATTATTGTGTTGTATGTCTTTGCAGCTGTTACAGACCTGCATCTGTTGACACCATGTGTTCCTACCCAGGACTGGTAGAAGAAATAGGGGAGTGGGTGAATGAGTACCTTCCCTGCCTATCAGTGCAAACGTCCTTTTATGTACATATGTTTGTAAAGTTCTTTAGCCCTCTTCAAGATGAAAGGTTCTGTATAAATAAAAGCTTTCGATTTTAGTACATGTTTGTAATACATGTGGTACAGTCCTAAATATGTATTTAGCTGATAGGCACTGTTCTTGTCTATTGTACAAATATTGACTTTAAAAATATAAATATGTATTTAACCATCAGACCAGAAAAACACTGAAGCAGTTACTTCTGAGGTAGAGACATTAATATTGTATAAACCTATATATACATATGTTTACACTCTACCACATCATTGCAGAGCATTTCTTTTTAGAAAATGAAATGATAACCCAACAAACTAACGTAGTTCTTGATATTTCTTTCTCTTTAAAGTGAGTCTTGATTTTTAATTTTCATACATTTATCTCTTTCAAATTTTATATAAATAAGATCGGTTGTAGTATGACTAAAATCTAGAATTAGTTCCTCTAAAATATGGGAAATCAATTAGGCTGGTGAGATTTTTTTCCCCCCTTAAATTTTTTTTTTTGTTATGGAAATGCTCAAACGTACACTAAAGTAGGCATAAATAATATAAACTCCCATGTACCTATCACCCAGTGAAGAGTATTTGGTAGTTTTCTTTTCTCAGTTATTTTTTATTTTATAAAAAGTTAAAGTTATCAATGCAATATAAACACAAAAAAGAAAATTTGGAGAATGGAAAAAAAATACAATTTCATCATCCCAATAATTATCACCTCATTTTGCTGTTTCTTATTTATTTTTGTTTTTACCCCGCAAAGTGCTTTTCAATTGATGAAGTTGTCATTCATACTATGCACTTACTATATACCAGGCACTATCCTAGGACTTAACATGTATTTAATCCTTACAACAAACTTATGCCGTAGATTTTTATTACCCTTGTTTTACCAGTGAAGGAACTGAGGTACAGGGAGGTTGATAACTTACCTTAGCGTATATGGCTAGAAAGCTGAGTCTCAGTTCTGTCAAATTATCTTAGATTCAGATTCAGAGTCTCAGAATGTGGCTCCTGAGTCTGAACCCTTTTCTAATTTAGTATTACATCATGGGTATTTTTAAATGCTATTCATAGTCTTCATAGTCATCATCTTATAAGGCTGTACAGAACACTAACAGTGATCTTACTATCCAATTTACTTCCCTCCAAAATAATTTTAGATTTTCAGGAAAGTTACAAAGATCATATTAGAGAGTTCTGGTATACCCTTTCCCAGCTTCTCTTAATGTTAAAACACTTTATGTAACCATGATATGATTACCAAACTAAGAAATAAATATTGATACAATTGTATTAAATAAACCACAGACCTCTTTTTTTTTTTTTTTTTTGCCAGTTTTTGTACTAATATCTTTTTAATTAAGGAACATACTTCCTTAATTTCTCTAGTAAAGAAAATGCCATTTCTTGGCTGGGCGCGGTGGCTCGTGCCTGCTATCCCAGCACTTTGGGAGGCCGAGGCAGGTGGATCACCTGAGGTCAGGGGTTCGAGACCAGCCTGGCCAACATGGTGAAATCCCGTCTCTACTAAAAATACAAAAATTAGCCGGGCGTGGTGTTACGTGCCTGTAATCCTAGTTACTTGGGAGGCTGAGGCAGGATAATCACTTGAACCTGAGAGGCGGAGGTTGCAGCAAGCCAAGATTGCATCACTGCACTCCAACCTAGGCACAGGTTGCAGCAAGCCAAGATCACGCCACTGTACTCCAGCCTGGGCAATGGCCTGAGACTCTGTCTCAAAAAAAAAAAAAAAAAAGAAAATACCATTTTTGTGTATGTGAAACTCCTTTTAAAAAATAAGCACTTTGGGAGGCCAAGGCGGGCGGATCACAAGGTCAGGAGTTCGAGACCAACCTGGCCAACATGGTGAAACCCCATCTGTACCAAAAAAAAAAAAAAAAAAAAAAATGCAAAAATTAGCCAGGCCTGGTGGCATGCACCTGTAATCCCAGCTACTCAGGAAACTGAGGCAGGAGAATTGCTTGAACTCGGGAGGTGGAGGTTGTAGTGACCCGAGATCACGCTACTGCACTCCAGCCTGGGTGACGGAGCAAGACTCCATCTCAAAAAAAAAATAAGTAAACAATTCACATTAGCTATAAGGACAGGTTACTTAATTCCTCTGTGCCTTAATTTCCTCATGGCAATAATTACAGCTACCTTTGAATTAATACTGACTACCATTTGAGGGCTTTTGTGTGCCAGGCTCTGTACTAGTTTAACATGGTGTTGCTCACAACAATACCTCCAGAAAGGTGCTGTCATCCCCATTTTATAATTGGAAAAGTGAAACTGTAAAAGGTTAAGTGTCCAAGGTTATACAGCTAGCATAAAACTGAGATTTGAACCAAGACAGCTTGACTTTGCAGCTTAAGCTCTTAACCACTATCAGTAGTTGTCAACTTTTAGAACAGTACAGCAGATAGTAAATGTTCAATTAATGGTAGTTATTATGATAGCTATTGTTATTTTTAAAATAAAATAGTTTAAGAATATTCAGGACTCTTATTCTATGATTCCTAAAATATAAGTGGCAATGTTCTAAGCCCTTGGTGTTAAGTATTTTTCAAGTGTTATTTTTAAAAGTGAGGCAGGGTGCAGTGGCTCACACCTGTAATCCCAGCATTTTGGGAGGCCGAGACAGGAGGATCACTTGAGTCCAGGAGTTCAAGACCAGCCTGGGCAAGATGGTGAGACCCCATCTCTACAAAAAATAAAAAAAATTAGCTGGGCATGGTGGTAACACACACGCCTGTGGTCCCAGCTACACAGGAGGCTGAATGGGAGAATCACTTAAGCCCAGGAGGCCAAGGCTTCAGTGAGCTGTATTTGTGCCACTGCACTCCAGCCTAGGTGACATAGCAAGACCCTGTCTTAAAAAAAAAAATTAAATTGAAAAAATAAAAAGACTCTGGAACTAGCAAACATTTATTACTCCCAGACTATGTTTAATGTTCCTGGGAAGCACTAGAGGAGATGCTATAATCGTTCAAGATGGTAAGCCAAAAGCAATCCTAGGCAGCATATAATTAGTTATCAGAAGAATTCTCAGGCTGGGCAAGGTGGCTCACGCCTATAATCCCAGTAATTTGGGAGGCCTAGGCAGGAGGATGGCTTGAGGCCAGGAGTTTGAGACCAGCCTGGGCAACATGGTAAAATCCTGTCTCTACAAAAAAATGCAAAAATTGGCCGAGTATGGTGGCACATGCCTGTAGTCCCAGTTATTTGGGAGGCTGAGATGGGAGGATTGCCTTGAGCCCAGGAGTTGAAGGTTGCAGTGAGCCAAGATTGTGCCACTACACTCCAGCCTGGGTGACAGAGCGAGACTCTGTCTCAAAAAAAAAAAAAAAAAATTCTCTACACAGAGGTCTTAGTAGGAGATCAGAAAAGATAGGAATTACTTTAGGCTGGGAGAAGCTTTACTGAGGAAATGGAATTTGGATGAACCTTTTGGAATGGGTAAGATTTGGACAGAGTGAGAGGAGAGGAGAGAGAAAGACAAAGTTTTTTACGTAGAAGTTAATATAGTAGATTTCTGCTTCTAATAGTGTGTTTATCAAACCCATGGGTATTATTTTCTTAATTTCGCATGTGGGGACATTGAAGCTCAGTAAAATTAAATAATTTTCTTAAGATCACACAGTTAGTTAATATAAGTGATAGCGCCTGGATTTGGATCTAAGTTTGTTGGACTCCAAAGCCCATGTTCACCTTTATATGCCCTATCCTTTGATTAGCAGTGAAATCTAAATTATTTTAATGTAAATTGAATAATAGTGCTTTCTTAGATGTTTGTCCATCATGCTACCTCAAAACTGAATGTCTTCTGATCAGGAATCTTGCTGCACTGAGACTGGGATAACACTCTCCATTCTGTAATGGTACTTTTTAAGATGGGGGGCGGGGCGGGGTGGGGAGGCGGTCGATGAGCAACATACTTTGGAAAGACATTGATAAAGAATAGTGTGTTCTTGGTGCTGCTGTGCTGACACCTAATTAGAAGTCAATATTGCAAGCATAATGACCTAGCCAATTGCTGAACTTGCTGCCCAAGTGACACAGTTAGAGTCCCCAGGTAGTAATGAAAGATAAGAGTATTATTTGCCTGCCCAGTGCCACATGGTCGCAATGTTTACATTAGCACACAAATGCTGAAGTAGATTCTTCAGGGCTTGTATCTAAGCTGCTTCTGGCCTATGTGCCTAGGGTTAATATATCATAAAATTTGGTGTAAAACGCAATCTTTCTAACTACAAATGCATTTAGAGGAAAATTGACAGAAAATAGCTTTTCATTCCTGAAAAACAAAAGGTTTGGGGTTAGAGGGGCATGTGTGAAGGCAGATAAAGCATTTCTCCTCATGCAGGGATTATATTAACTAGCTTCTTAGAAACCACAACCAAAATTATCCTGATATTTGAGTGTTCACTGTGTTATTTTTTGAATGATCTATTTTTCCTTCCTTTCTCTGTCTTTAATGAGTAGATAGAGTAATACCTTATCTTAGAAAGTGATTGGATTTTTTTCTGTGTATCATATCCATTTTGACTTGTATTTGGCCAATGGTATGATATATTAAATAGCTTATATTTATCTGAGGGTGTTTCATATATATATTTCCTAATGCTGAGAATCACAAATAGCTGTGTAGAATGCTTCAACCAGCCTGATTACAGTGGATGTGCAATTGGATTGAGGAATGTGTACTCAGAGCTTATGATCACTGGCCTGGTTGAGTCTGGGTGATGCATGTGGCTTTCCAGGGATGCCGCTATTTACATCTGTTAATGGCCCTTCTTGATGGCCAGCTCCCCAATGAGGTGATATGCAGCAGCCTGGGGATGAGGGACCAAGGCTGCAGATGTGGCTGGGGCTCCATTAGGCAGGACCAGGGAAGCTCATCTGGTAGGTAGGCTTTGTGTTTGGTGGCGAGTGGTGGGGGCAAGGAGGGGGGTGAGAGACAGAAAGAAAGGGGGAAAAAAAGAATGGAAAACATTACTTATCCAGGTATAGGGGAAACAGGCAGGCAGACATGAAAAACTACAGCTGTAACTAGCGTATGAATGAATAGCATAGAAAAGAAATGGAACTAGCAAATATACAAGTAGAAGGATTGACTAGTTCTCATATAGAAGGGGATTAAAACAGGAGAGGGCTGTGAGAGTTTGGGAAGAGACATGTCACCTCTGCCTTTTAAGTCAATATCATTTATTTGTGTAGCTGGCCAGATGCTGCTGAACAGAGAGCAGAGATTTACATATAGTGCAGCAAGAGATTAGTTATTTCCATCCTTTGGTTTTTCTGGTGCTAGAAGAAAGCAAGAGATGCTCACAAGGATGCAATGTTGAGCATTGGTAAATTCTAGCAGAAATGGAACATACCTGAAACAAATCAGTAAAGAGTGTTTCTGTTATTCCTATCAAATGCTAGAGGACAGTACAAGGAGCCTGGATCATGAAAAGTGTACAGTCCGTGAGACGTCATCCTTTTTCTGCTTCCTTGTGTGTTAAAGGTTTCTTGGAACAAATGTCACAAAAGATGGAAATAGTGTCTGTGATAGTCCATTTGTGTTGCTATAAAGGAATACCTGAGGCTGGATAATTTATAAAGAAAAGATGTTTATTTTTGGATCATGGTTCTGCAGGCTCTATAAGCATGGCAACTGCATCTGTTGGGCTTCTGCTAAGGGTCTCAGGAAGCTTATGATCTTGGAGGAAGGTGAAGGGGGACCCAGCACATGACATGGTGAGAGAGGGAGCAAGAGAGAGGTGAGAGGGAGCAAGAGAGAGGTGGGGGGCAAAGTGCTACACTCTTTTTTTTTTTTTTTTTTTTTTTTTTTTTTTTAGCACCGTGACATTTTTGAGTTAATTTAAGCCACACCTGGGTGAGAGGGCCCTGCACCTAGAAGAAGGTGTTGGGACTCTTGGTGGTGAAGTATGGCTTATGCTAACCATGCAGGACCCCATGGGGCAGTGGGAACTTGATCTCGGAGTCATGGAACTGTTTGACCGCCAGCTGGCAGCACTTGCTGGCCGCAGTCTCCACCTTCATGATCTGGGTGGAGTGGGCCTGTGTGTGATGCCAGGTGCCCATGTCTCACTAGCACTGGATGACAGCACCCATGGTGGTCAAGTCCTGATATCCAGTACATGTTGTAGGTGCTGCTACGGGAGTCGTAGTGCAGCTAGATGCCAGATTTCTTCACCTGCAGGGGGGATTTCTCAAACACCTACCTACAGTAGACAATTTTCCCTGAAGACTCCTTATCTTCTTTAGCTGAGATACCAAGTACCAGAGACGGGACTTGACAATGACATGATTAGGTGCAAGATTCGCATACCATAGAAGGGCAGCATGTGGCATTTGGGGGTGGGCAGGCAGCAACCCACCACCTTGTACTCTTGTAGTGTGCCCAAGGCGTTCATAGCACTCTCTTCATGCTTGCTTTCACCCACAAGAGGCCACACTCTTTCAAACAACCAGATCTAGCATAAACTCAGATCAAAGGGGAGCACCAAGCCATTCATGAGGGATCCACCCCATGACCCAAACACCTCACACCAGGCCCCACCTCTAATGTTAGGAATCATATCTCAACATGAGATTTAGAGAGGACAGACATCCAAACCATATCAGTGTCTTAGTATATATGGCAGTAAAATGAGATATCTAGATTTAATCAACAGTGCCATGGCATTCTTCCACATGTATCCTGAGTGCATTTAGATTTTGGCTTTTCTGTCTTCTTTGAGCAGGCCCAAAGAAGGAATTGAGACAGTTTTGAAATACACAGTAGACCAGCTGTTCTCAGCATAATCTAGCAGTATACTAGAATGTCTTTTGTAGTTTCCCACAGGGAGTTTGGCTCTTTAGCAATGTGTATCTTTACATAATGGCTGTGCCTAGGTATACTCTGATACCTTCAATGAACCTGAAAAAAATTCTGCCTGTAAGAAACTTCTGTTCATTTGTTTGTTTATGCCTTTCCAGATTGGCATGGTAGCTTGGAAAATGACCTTTAAAAGTCCTGAATATCCAGAAGGCCGAGATATCATTGTTATTGGCAATGACATCACATACCGAATTGGGTCCTTTGGGCCTCAAGAGGATTTGTTATTTCTCAGAGCTTCCGAACTTGCTAGGGCAGAAGGTATTCCACGCATCTATGTATCAGCCAACAGTGGAGCAAGAATCGGACTGGCAGAAGAAATTCGCCATATGTTTCATGTGGCCTGGGTAGATCCTGAGGATCCTTACAAGGTACACACTAAGAGCATATACTACTTCAAGGTGCTATATGGTTATGCTACATGTGTGGAGAGGTGGGGGAAGGGTAGAGGTTTAAGTTCAAAAATCACCACTTATGGTAAAAATTAAATATAAACAAAATTATTTGTGAAAATTCCTTAAGACACCATATTAAAGACAAATTATTTCTCAATATGTTCACTTGGTTTTTCTTCCATCTATAAAACAGGTTGCTGTTTCTTTGGTTGAGCACTAGATGAAATAGTAGGTATGCATTTAGTGCGAGACATGCTAAATCAAAAATATATATCTTTATTTAATTGTGGCTTCCAGGACTTACGGTCAATTATCAACAAAATCCCTTACCTCCTCATCTTCTGCTCCAACCTCCTTGTTCACCTTGAGATCTGTCTCTCCTCTAAAGATATTGCTTCCCCCGTAGCCCTCTGAAGTACTGACTGATTTCTGTCTTTCTTTTGAACCACTGAGCCTGGAAGGGGAATATTGTCCTCCTTGATCCTCATTGCTGCTTCCAGACACCTCTCCCTTCTCTCTGAAAAAATCCCATCTTTGAATCTCATGTCATCAGACTGTGCCATACCCATACTGCTCCTTGTGTTTCCTGATCCTTTGGTCACTCCCTCTCATTCTTTGCATCTTTTAGTTCCTGGCACATTGCCACTCTGTCCATTACTAATAGTCATGTGATAATTCTTGGTGATTGCTATATCCACATAGATGATTCTTCCCATAATCTGGCCTCTTGGATCCTTGACTTCTTTTCTTCTAGTGGTTCTGTCCTATACCCTAGCTCAGCCTCTCATTCCCCATAATCTCAATTTCAAGTATCTCTTTCTTTGCTACCCCCTCCATCCTCTCTTTCCAGCTTCCTCTCTCTAGTCCAACAATCCTTTGAAATCATCAGTACCATTGAGTTGAACTCACCTGTTTATCCTCCCACCTTTCTTCTGTTCTTCACTCCCTCCTTACACCTCATTTCATTCCTATCTGGCTTAAACTCCAAGGTCAGTCCTTGATTAATCATTATAATCACCATCTTTTCTGCACCTTCAACTTTCTCTCTCAACTTGCTTCAACTTGCTTCTCTCTTCACTCTGCTTACTCTGTGCTTTTACAGAGTGTTTAAATCCAACTCTCTCCATTCTGCTCCCATGCCTGCACCTGCCCAGCTGAACTTTGATGGAGAAAAAAACAGTTCTGTTGACTGATCTTACTTTAAATTCAAGCTTAGCAACCTCCTGGATGACGGTTTCACATCTCTCCCCTCAAACCTGTAACACGCACTTCCCTCTCCCCACTCTTAGCTGATATCATCAGACCTTGCTTCCCAATTTTCAAGAAAAGAGAAACAATGAGAAGAGAGCTTCTACAAGCTTCCATGTACCTGCATCCGTTGTGCCCTTACTCTTCACCTTCTCTTCCACACTTTGAATGAATAGTTCCTACTTCTGTCTAAAGACAATCCCTCCTCTTGTACATTTGATCTCCTTTCTTGCTAACTTAAGTGTACGATCAACACTTCCTCCTGCTCTTTTGTGCATCAGCACTTTTTCCCTCTGTACTGTATCAGCCCTTTTAGCATACAAACACCCCTCCAGTCACTGTCCCTCCCCTCCTTCCCTTTACAGGAAAATTGTTTTAAAGGAGTTGTTCTTGCTGTCTCCAGATGTTCTTCTCCCATTCCCTCTTGAACCCACTTCACTTGAGCTTGCACCCTTACCATTCCACTGAAGCTGCTTTTGTCAGGGTCACCAGTGATTCCATATTACTGAATTCTATGGTGAATTCTCAGTCTTCACCTTAGTTATTTGACAATAGCATTAGCATTTGACACAGTTGGTCATTCCTTCATCCTTGAAATACTTTCTTCTGTTGGCTTCCAAGAGCCCAAAGTCTCCTTTTTATCTTCCTGCATTCCTGGCTCCTCTTTCTCAGTTTCCTTTGCTGCCTTTCACATCTTTAAATGTAAGAGTATTTCAGGAGATGATGGAAATATTCTATATTTTGATTGTGGTGGTGGCTACCTAAGTACATACATTTGTCATAACTCATCAAGTTATAACACTTAAAACTGATGAATTTTATTGCATGTAAATTATATTTCAATAAAGTTCATAGAAAAACTTTATTAAAGTATGGGAATTGATCCAGTACAGGGGTTTTTCTGGGGCTGATGAAAATATTCTGGAATTAGTGGTAATGGTTGCAAAACATCTGAATATACTAAAGTCTACTGAGTTATACATTTCAAAATGGTGAATTTTGGCTGGTTGCAGTAACCCAGCACTTCGGGAGGCCGAGGCAGGCAGATCACTTGAGGCCAGGAGTTCGAGATCAGCCTGGCTAACATAGCGAAATACCATCTCTACTAAAATATAAAAAATTAGCTGGTCATGGTAGCACACGTCTGTAATCCCAGCTATTCGGGAGGTAGAGAGGCATGAGAATTGCTTGAATGCGGGAGGTGGAGGTTGCAGTGAGCCAGGATCGTGCCATTGTACTCAGCCTGGGTGACAGAGTGAGACTAAAAAAAAACTTTAAAAACCAAAATGTTTAATTTTATGTTATATTAATTTTATCTCTTTTTTTTTTAAGAGACAGGGTCTAGCTCTGTCACCCAGGCTGGAGTACAGTGGCACATTCATAGCCTACTGTATCTGCCAACTCCTGGGCTCAAGTGATCCTCCCACCTCCACCTCTCAAGTAGCTGGGACTACAGGCGCACACCACTACACCCAGCTAATTTTATTATTTTTCATAAAGACAAGGTTTTGCTGTGTTGCCCAGACTTCTCTCAAACTCCTGGCCTCAAGTGATCCTCCCACCTTGGCCTCCCCAAGTGCTGAGATTATAGGCATTAGCCACTGTGCCTGGCCAGTTTTTTTAATTATAAAAAAAAGTGAATGGAGACATGTCAGGAGCACAGAGGCTGCAGCAGGACCAAGAAGTTCTGGACTCCCCATTCTCAACCCCACTAGGACCCAATGCCCTCTCACCTGGTGGTTTGGCAAGACAGCCAATATAGAAAGTAGGGTAGAAGGAAAAAAGTGATTCAAGGGCTTGGTCCCTGGACTACTCCTCTTTTCCTATTCACCTTCCCTTGGTGATCTCATCCTGTTTTTTTGTTTTGTTTTGTTTTTTTGAGACAGGGTCTCACTGTGTTGCCCAGGCTGGTGTGCAGTGGTGCGATTATGGCTCAATGCAACCTCTGCCTCCTGGGTTGAAGCAATTTTCCAGCCTCACCCTCCTGAGTAACTGGGACTACAACCATGCACCAGCATGCCTGGCTAATTATTTTGGTTTTTGTAGAGATGGGGTTTCCCCACGTTGCCCAGGCTGGTCTCGAATTCCTGAGCTCAAAGTGATCCGCCCATCTTGGCCTCCCAAAGTGCAGGAATTAGAGGTGTGAACCACCGCACCCAGCCTCATCCAGTCTTTTAAAGCTTTAAGTTTCATGTACAAGCTGATAAACTTCCAAATTTATATCTTACCCCTGAACACAAGATTCATATATCCAGACTCAACATCTCTACTTACATCTGCCTAAATGTCTGCCTAAATTGTAGCTTCTAATCTTCCTTTAATGTGTTCTTCCCACAGTCTTCTGTCTCAACAGATGGTACCTCTATTGTTTCATTTGTTCAAGTAAAAGACCTTGGAGTTATTCTTGACTTCTGTCTTTCTTGCACACCCCACATTCACTTCCACACCCCATTCATCCATCTAAACAGTAAATCATGTTTACATCCCTACCTTAAAATATATCCAGAATCTGAGTACTTCTAACAAATTCCACAGCTACTTACTAGCAGTAGCAGTAGTCTAACTCTTCTTACCTGCATATTGCAGTACCCTCCTAATTGGTCTTCCTGCCTCTGGCCTTGCTCCCAGCCCCACCCAAGGTCTGTTCTCAACAGAATGTAGAATGAGGCCATGTGTGGTGGCTCATGCTCATGCCTGTAATCCCAGCACTTTGGGAGGCTGAGGCAGATGGATCAACTTGAGGTCAGGAGTTCGAGAACAGCCTGGCCAACATGGTGAAACCCTCTGTCTACTAAAAATATAAAAATTAGCTGGGCATTGTGACAGATGCCTGTAATCCCAGCTACTTGGGAGGCTGAGGTGGGAGAATTACTTTAGCCCAGGAGGCAGAGGTTGCAGTGAGTCAAGATCGCACCACTGCACTCCTGCCTGGGTGACAGAAGGAGACTCTGCTCAAAAAAAAAAAAAAAAAAAAAAAAGATAGAATGATCTAGTTAAAATATAAATCAGATCACAAAATTTTTCTCCACTTAAAACCCTTTAATAGCTTCCCAATTCATTCAAGTAAAAGCCAAAGATCATATAGTTGCCTACAAGGCCTTACATAGATTGGCTTTCCAGTACCACTCTGCCCTCATTTCTTGCTACAGCCTCCCCTGACCATTCCACACATTGGCTCTACCCGACTCTGCTTTCTTAAACCTGCGAAGCACATCATGCCTCAGTGCATTTGTACTTGCTGCTCCTTCTACCTAGAATGCTTTTTCCTCAGATATCCTCATGTCTCATAGCCTCAGCTCCTTTAGGTCTTTACTCAAATGACACTTTTCAATGAGGCTTTCCTTGGTTATTTTTTCTAAAAGTTCGACTGTCTACCTTCTCTTTCATTTTGTTTTCCTTAAACGTTATTCCCATTTACATTATACATTTTACTTATTTTGTGTATTTCCTGACTTTCCGAGTAGGAGGTATGTTTCATAAGGGTAGGAATTCTTGTCTATTTTTGTTAATTCCTGTTTTTCCAGTGCCTGGAATAGTACCTTGTACATAATAGGCACTCAGTAAATGTGTACTGACTGACATACTAATGACACTCAGTGCTGTCAGGCATTCTCAACACAAATCATGCAAGACCAATCGCAGATTTATGTCTTTTCCATGTTGTGCTCACTGTGGGACATACATTTATTGAGTTAAATGGTGGGCATAATTTCTCATAGTATTTAAAATGCTTCCCTGTGTTTACTTATTTTTTTGACTGAGTGACTAATTCACTTAAGTTAAACACATATACCATGTAACTCTACTTTGTATGTGGCTGTGTGTATAGATACATATAAATCAATTATGAAATGTTAGTATAATTGTTTACATGTAAATGGGCATTAGGAGTTGTTTATTGAAAAAACAAAAGATCTGAGTTCAGTGTTCACTATTAGCACTGTGTAGACTTCTGATTTTAATATTGAATCTCCTAGATTTGCGGTTTTCTGTTATCCCTTGCTTATATTTATTTTGATGATCCTGTGGATTTGAGAGAGTGAAAAATAGTAATTCACACAATTCTTTAATTACATGTTGATATCTTTAAGAGATGTCACTAAAGATCAGAAAATGACCCTTTAACCCTGTTGAAAATGAAATGAGGCCGGGAGCAGTGGCTCACGCCTTTAATCCCAGCACTTTGGGAGGCCGAGGCGGGCGGATCACGAGGTCAGGAGATTGAGACCATCCTGGCTAACACGGTGAAACCCTGTCGCTACTAAAAATACAAAAAATTAGCCAGGCGAGGTGGTGGGTGCCTGTAGTCCCAGCTACTTGGGAGGCTGAGGCAGGAGAATGGTGTGAACCCAGGAGGCGGAACTTGCAGTGAGCTGAGATCGCGCCACTGCACTCCAGCCTGGGCAACAGAGTGAGACTCCATCTCAACAAAAAAAAAAAAAAAAAAGAAAGAAAGAAAGAAAATGAAATGAAGGGAATATACTTGGAATTGCAGCTATAAGGTGTCTTGTTTCAAGGACAGTTAGTGAGTGAAAAAATAGGCACTTCATCTTTCAAAGGAGGACTGTCTGTGCTAGTATTCTGTTAGACAGTAAACCTAAGAAGTGATGTGGCAATTTAAAGCTAGCTGTGGAACAAGCTTCATTATGTATGCTTTGCTGTATCTTCTGATTATATGACAATGGCAAATAATGAGTTAAAAACTATTTGTGCTTCACAGGGATACAGGTATTTATATCTGACTCCTCAAGATTATAAGAGAGTCAGTGCTCTCAACTCTGTCCATTGTGAACACGTGGAAGATGAAGGAGAATCCAGGTAGGTATATATGTATTGGAATAATTTGGTCATGACTAAAGAAAGGAGAATATGGTATTTTTTTCCATATTGTACAGCTGTTCATAACCTTGAAGAACATTGAAGATGACATAATCTAGATGTTTTAGGTTTACATCCAGCTCTACCACTTATTAGCTGAAGAACCTTGGGTTATTGATTGAAGTTTTTAAATTTATAATACTTAATTCATTTTAGAAAAACTGAAACATGTAAACAATTATAAAGAAAAAAAAATTAGCCACAATCCCACCTTCAGGCCACGATTATGAATTTATGTTATACACTTGCTGTCTTTTCTATAGACATATCTTTTTTCTATGTGATTGAGATGATAACAAGAATTTCTTTTATAATTTATCCTTTTCACTAAAAACTATTTTTGGGGAAATTTCGTGTATTCTTAAAACATTATTTAAGAATATGATGCTTAATGTCTACATAGTATTTTATTATAATAAATATATTTGAACATTCAGACTATTTCTAATTTTTCACATCCCTTGGCTGAACCCACTTAAGGGACATTTATATAAGTTTCATATAAACTTTTAGGAATTAAAAGCTCTGATCATCCCTTTTTGGTTAATTTCTAGAAGAGAAATTGCAGGTCGAAAAGTCAATTTTTAAGGATTTTAAAAAATAATTTTAAATTGCCTTCCCAAGATTTGCATTTCTGTCAGCAGTGTAGAATAGGATTTGTTTCCCTCTTTAATTTTTCTTCACCCCTGCCAACATTGATTATCAATTAATAAAATGGAATAAAAATGGCAATTGTTATTTTAACTTGTATTTTTGACTCCCAGTGAAGTTGAATGTTTTTATATAATCTATCTGCAAGTATTTTTAAGAATGTTAATTGCTTGGCTGGGCGCAGTGTTTCACGCCTGTAATCCCAGCACTTTGGGAGGCTGAGGCAGGCAGATCACTTCAGGTCAGGAGTGCAAGACCAGCCTGGCCAACATGGAGAAACCCCATCCCTACTAAAAATATACAAATTAGCCGGGCCTGGTGGCACATGCCTGTAATCCCAGCTACTTGGGAGGCTGAGGCAGGACAATCGCTTGAACCCAGGAGGTAGAGGTTGCAGTGAGCCGAGATGACACCACTGCACTCCAGCCTGGGTGACAGAACAAGACTCCATCTCAAAAAAAAGAAAAAAAAAAGTTAATTGTCCTAATACTATTTACTGAAAATTTACTCTTTTGTGTTTTTTTGTTCTGTCTGTCTGCTCTTGGGCTAATACCACACTATTTAAACTATTCTAGTGAGGCAAATTTTCTCACATTTTTAATTTTTCCTCAAGTATTATTGGCTACTTTTGCTTTTTTTAATGTAGAGGGTTTTTGTTTTTAGAGACAGGGTTTTACTCTGTTGCCTAGGCTGGGATGCAGTGGTGTGATCATAGGTCACTAAACCCTCAAACTCCTGAGCTTCAGAGATTGTCCCATGTCAGCCTCCCAAGTAGCTGGGACTATAGACAGGTGCCATCATGCCCAGCTAATTATTTTTTTAATTTTAGAGATAGAGTCTTGCTAGGTTCCCCAGGCTGGTCTCGAACTCCTGACCTCAAATAATCCTCCCACCTCAACCTCTGAAGTAGCTGCAATGACAGGTGCAAGCCACTGTGTTTGGCTAGAGTCTCATGTTTTTCTAATTCCAAAAAAGTTCCATAATGATTTTGATTCAGATTGTATTGAGTTTACACATTAATTTAAGAAGTGACATCTTCATAATACTAACTTTCCCCAAAAAGAAACAGGGTATGTTTTTCCATTTATATGAGTGGGGTTTTTTTTGTTTTGTTTTTACGTTTTGTAGTTTTCTTCATATAGGTTTTGCCAGAGGTTCCCAAACTTTCTTGGTTCATGGCATCCTTAGTGTCTCAGTAATTTTTTCATAGCACCCCTGGGCTATAAGATATACTTAATATTTCTGCTTATTAGGTAGTTAAACAATAAGTATTTGCGTCCTAAGAACTTAATAATCATTTGAAAAAATTATATACATAAATCGAAAAAATTTATTCTTAAATAATTACAGTTTCTTACTAATGAGATATTTGTGTCTGCATAACCTCTCAAACCTTGGAATCAGCTTGGATATAGCCACCCACATTTCTTGTTCTTCATTGAGTTTTCACAGAAACTTCAAAAATCTAGCTTGCAAAGACAGGACATTTTCAAAAGGAATGTAGCACCATTCTAACGTTAAACTGTGAACTACTATGAACTATCTAAAGCTAGTAGTTCACATAGGGTCACAGATACCACATATAATAGTGCTTCTCTCAAAAATTTAAAATATCTTGTAGTGCTTCTGGGAGTTCATCATGGTGCCCTGAGACACAATATAGTTACGGTGAGATTCTGCCAATTTCTTCATGCTTATTTCTAAATATTTTGCATTTTTTCTTGCTACTCTGAATGGGATTTTCCCCTATGATATTTTTTAACTCTTCATTTCTGGAATCTATGAATATTGAGTTTGTTACAGGCAAGTCTGGCTGGGTCCTTGAATATTTATGACTATATGGACCTTATACAAACAGGCACACAAACACATATACAATTAATGTAGTTAATTAACCCCCTTAAGGGACAGTAGCCTCATTTCTGACATAACTTTAGGATAGAGTCTAGATACAGAACAAAAGGAAGAACTGGGAAATTATTGGATATTAGGAGAGGCTAAAAATAGAAAGGCAGCAGAATCTGGGAAGCAGAGATGCAAAGTCACAGACCAACAGCAAGGGCAAAGAAAAAGAATTGATGGAGGGCTGGAAATGAAGAAGGGAGCAGGAAAATATGGGGGCAGGAGGAAGTATTTTAAGAGCCACTATGGGGTACTTATTTATTATTTCAATTTATAAAACTGTGCCCACTGCCAAGCCTTCTGGGTACACGTGGAACAATAAATAATATATGCCCATCTCTACTTCCAACTTTGTATTTTTCCTTTCTTTTATTAGTTGCATTCCCCATCTCCCATTTCCCATTATCAGCTATCACTCCTAATCCCCTGCCAGGAAGACAGATGAGTGACTCCCACTAGATCCACAGGATGCTTTCTGGACAACTTGGTCAGCATTTCACTTCTACACACATTCCACCTTCCCCTCCAGAGGACATATCCAGGGACCCTTGTGTATATACTTGATATTTATGAAGGAGTATGAATGGGAGTTCAGTATTTTGACCTTTGCTTCATCCTACCTTAGAAGAGGATTTTTGACTTGAGAAACTAAGCTGAGCATTCTCACTACCGCTCTGTTTGGATATTCTTTTCCTACGTAAAATTGTCTAAAATTGTTGATATGATGCCTTTTGCTCATTATAGAGATATACATTGACCTTGCTTTTAAGAAACTTGTTCTAGAAAATAAGAGAGGGCATCTAAAATCCGAGGGCCATCTATAACATCAAACCTTTTCCTTGTTTGCTTTAGTTTAACTTTCTTGTCAACCCTTAGAGGTAGATATTATTATTCCCATTTTGTAGAAGTTATTATTATTTCTAGAGTCACACTCCTGTGTGTATCAGAGCAAGGATTTAAATCTATCTGCTTGGCCGGGCGCGGTGGCTCACACCTGTAATCCCAGCACTTTGGGAGGCCGAGGCGGGTGGATCACAAGGTCAAGAGATCGAGACCATCCTGGCCAACATGGTGAAACCCCGTCTCTACTAAAAAAAACAAAAATTAGGCCGGGCGCGGTGGCTCACGCCTGTAATCCCAGCACTTTGGGAGGCTGAGGTGGGCGGATCACGTGCTCAGGAGATCGAGACCATCCTGGCTAACACGGTGAAACCCCGTCCCTACTGAAAATACAAAAATTAGCCGGGCGTGGTGGCGGGCGCCTGTAGTCCCAGCTACTTGGGAGGCTGAGGCAGGAGAATGGCGTGAACCCGGGAGGCAGAGCTTGCAGTGAGCCTTGATTGCACCACTTCACTCCAGCCTGCCAATAGAGCGAGACTCCGCCTCAAAAAAAAAGAAAAAAGGCTATCTGCTTAATTCCAGATTTCGCTCTTTCTATTAAACCATGTTGCTTCCAGGTAAAATAGGCACCAAGCTAAGAAGGAAAGACATATGAATGAAGAGTATAAAAGGAAGCACATAAAGCCCTGGCATTAAATATAAGCTTTCAATACACTTTTAGCCGCCTTTTATTGGTGATTATTCTTTTAATGGCTTGTTGTTACTGTGTTTAACATTCATAATTTGACATGGCCATATCCAATAGGTACAAGATAACAGATATTATTGGGAAAGAAGAGGGAATTGGACCCGAGAACCTTCGAGGTTCTGGAATGATTGCTGGAGAATCCTCATTGGCCTATAATGAGATCATTACCATCAGCCTGGTAAATCTTTCCAGAATGTGAAATTTTTGAAGAACTGGCTGTGTGGCTAGGTTTATTTTTTTCTCTTATCACTGCTATTCAGTCCCAAATGAGAGCATTTCTTGAAGATTGTATGTCTATAATTATATTTTAATCACACATGATAATAGGAAGATAGGATAATATAAATAACTGAATTTTTCAAACAAACCCAGCACTTTGTTTTAGCTTTTAGTGTAACTTCTTTTTATTTTCTTTCTTTTTTTTTTTTGAGATGGAGTCTCGCCCTGTCACCAGGCTGGAGTGCAGTGGCACGATCTCAGCTCACTGCAACCTCCGCCTCCCGTGTTCAAGCAATTTTCCTGCCTCAGCCTCCTGAGTAGCTGGGACTACAGGCGAGTGCCACCATGCCCAGCTAATTTTCATATTTTTAATAGAGCCGGGGTTTCACCATGTTGGCCAGGATGGTCTCAATCTCTTGACCTCGTGATCCACCCGCCTCAGCCTCCAAAAGTGCTGGGATTACCGGCATGAGCTACCACACCTGGCCCCTCTTTCCTTTTTTTTAAGAGACAGAGTCTTACTCTATCACCCAGGCTAGAGTACAGTGGTGCAATCATAGCTCACTGCAGCCTTTACCCCCTGGGCTCAAGTGATCCTCCTACCTCAGCTTCCAGGTAGCTAGGACTACAGGCATGTGCCACCACCTCCAACTAATTTTTAACTTTTTTGTAGTGATGGGGGTCTCACTATGTTGCCCAAGTAGGTCTTTTTTTTTTTTGAGACAGAGTCTCACTCTGTTGCCCAGGATGGAATGCAGTGGCGTGATCTCAGCTCACTGCAACCTCTGCCTCCTGGGTTCAAGTGGTTTTCCTGCCTTGGCCTCCCGAGTAGCTGGGATTACAGGCACGTGCCATGACGCCCGGATAATTTTTGTATTTTTGCTAGAGACAGGGTTTCACCATGTTGGCCAGGCTGGTCTCAAACTCCTGACCTCAAGTAATTCACCAGCCTCAGCCTTCCAAAGTGCCGGGATTACAGGTGTGAGCTGCCTCGCCCGGCCCCAAGGTAGTCTTGAACTCCTGGGCTCAAGTGATCCGCCCACCTCAGACTCCCAAAGTGCTAGGATGATAGGCATGAGCCATTGCACCCAGCCTGAATTTTGCATCATTGTATTTTCTTTTCTTTGACCATGAAATTTGTGTGTGTGTGTTGTTGTCAATCAAATAGACTTCATAAAAAGCAATGTTTATTTCTGTTAATTTGGATTTTACTTATCTATGCCTTAGTTCTTATAGCTTCAGAGAGGACATAAATATGTGACATGTAGAATTTATTCTTTTCTAAGGTGACGTGCCGGGCCATTGGGATTGGGGCTTACCTTGTCCGGCTGGGACAGAGAACCATCCAGGTTGAGAATTCTCACTTAATTCTAACAGGAGCTGGAGCCCTCAACAAAGTAAGTTTCTAGGGTTTTGAAGAAGTATGCATAGCTGATTGAAGATTATTGTGTGAATTCTTAATTCAAGATCCTGATTGGAAGGAAGCAGTTCAATCCGTGCCTTCCTCAGTCTATCTCTTCCCCTCTCCCTCCATCTTTTCTGCCCATTGACTTGCTTGCCTTTTTATTCATTCATTCATTCATTCATTTCATTTATCAACTATTTTGAGTACTTACTGTTTTCTAGGCACTGTTCCAAGCCCTGTGTATATGTTAGTGAACAAACCATATAAAACCGCTGCTCTAAAGTGCTTATGTTTTAGTGTCGTTGTAGAAAGACAGAATTAATTGAACGCTTCTGTTCTGTCCCACTTCTCTCTTTTTCTTAATCTATTAGTAAAAGATGTGAGGAGATCTATACACAGACATTGAGCTGTCTCTGATTCCAGCTGTGCTGGTTCCCATTTCAGGCCTACATCATGAATTAGGTACCGGCCTAGGTGTTGAGACTATCAAGTTTTAATGATTTTGTGAAATCTGTAAATACACCTCTCGAAAAGGGCACCGATGGTGGTCTCTTGTATATAGAAGAAATATTTGGCAAATATTGAGTGGGAAGATGGGTGGATGGATGCATGGATGGGTTACTGGGAAAGAGTATGCATAAAGATTTATCTTCCCTTCCAAAGAAAGATTTGTGCCTTTTTAGTCCAACTTCACAAGGGTTTTTCCAAAGGGGAAAAAAATGGATGGCAAGGTCACTGCTCGAAAGAGTGAAAACTATCCAAGAATACCTGAATGTATAAAGGACAGTGCAGTTCTGACATCTTTGCAAGCATAGGAAAATTATTTTCTCTTCAGGGCCAGAAAAGTATAATGGAATATTCTGAGGCTGACTGCCCTTGTGCAACTTATATAACCTCTCAGCTCCTCAGCTTTCTTATCTGTCAAAGGGGGATAATAATTTAAACCTTTAAATAATGTGGAGCTCAAATGAGAAAACATAAGTAAAAGTACCTAGTTCTACTGGGCATGCCTAGATTCCCAGCTACTCAGGAGGCCGAAACAGGAGGATAGCTTGAACCCAGAAGTTTGAATCCAGCCTGACAACATAGTAAGACCCCATCTCTTAAAAAAAAAAAGAGTACCTAGTTCTTGGCAAAAAGTGTTGGCCCACATTCAAATTTCAGTTTCCCGTTCCTCTCTCTAACATGATTTGGTGATTGAGCTTATGGAGTTAATACACATACTAAATTGTATCAGATATTATGTTTACTCCACTTGCAGGAACTTTTTATCAAGTCTTGACTTTCAAGTTTAAGGGTAAGAATTAAGTGTTCTGTCATTCCCATTTAGGAAAAAGTTGATAATTCCATTGGTTTAATTAGATTTTGTGGATGTCAGAAATTAGAGGAATCATTTGATGCGATCAGCTTGCTCTGTGCATTCATATGAACTCTGTATCCTCCTCTGGGCTTGCTTTTCTCATCAAGGAAAGGCACAGCAGTGCTAACAGTGGCGAACTTGGCTGTCTTCCTCCCTTTTTGGAGAGTAGCCTGGAAATAAAGGTTGTGAACCACTACTACTGAAGATTATTATTGCAGTGGGAGAAACTGCTGAGAGTCTTAAGGTTGTTGTTTTTTTTTTTTTTAAGTTGCTCTTTTGGATACCTTCTTAGGATGAGATATTGATGAATGCCAAAGATAATTTTAGGTACCATTATCTATGAGAACAGAATTTTTGAAAGATTTTAAAAATTCTGTTCTCATAGATAATGGTACTTTAAAAACCTATATTTCCATGATGTTCCCATACCCAGTCAGAGAGCTAATTTCTGAAATATATCTTCTTATATTGAGTTTCTTTCTCCCCCCTGCCCCGATACTATATTATATACAAAGAATATTACAAAAAGCAGATGTTGGGTTTTTGGTTTTGTTTTGCTTGAAAACTTGCTAGTTGAATTTCATTTGTGCCATGAAGAAACATTAGAGATTGATTTCTTAAAATCTGATTGAATTGTTCTAATCAAATTCATTATATTCACTGTCATAGCTTACAGGGCTGCTTGTTAAAACAAAAGCTTAGTTACAGGGTGAAAGATAAATAAAGCTATAGCTTTAACTTACCAAACAATGCTCACTTCCAAAAGGGCATATTTGTTTTTAGCTGAAGGGAGTGATCAGATACAGAGGTTACCTAATGTTGCTCTGCCTGCTTCACTATCTTCATGTCAGCTCCTCTTAAGTATAGAGCTGTGCTGCTGAAGACACCCGATTTTATGCAAATTCGTTCAGAATATCCTATTAGCCCCTTTGCCTATAAGGTATGAAAAAAGGAAACTACCATGCTCAGATGGCTTCCTCTGACTCACTCCTTCTGTGTGTTGTCTTTGTGTGTGCTGGTGTTTTTCTTCATCTCTGTTTGCCTTTCTTTCTGTAGGTATCTCTCTGTATTGTGTACTTTGGGTGTGTGCAAGTCACCCTGAGTGCATGTCTCTTTCTGTGTGGGTGCTGATCTTTCTGTCTCTTTGTGTCTGTGTCTTGCGTATAGATCCCCCTCTTTCTCTGTCTGTGTGCCGCCCTGTGTGTTCATGTGTGAGAAAGTCTTTGTGTTTTTGAAACATTATAGAGCCTCCTTTCTTAAGCCTTGGCCATTTTGCTCATAGTATGTACCTGTGTAAGGTGGAAATGTAGGAGACATGCAAGCTTATATACAGTCTTAGACTGTAAATATTTGACCCCCACATTTTTGAGTCTTCATCCTTTATGTTAAACATTGGGGTGAAGAATAAGGAGTGGGGGTGTTCAGAGGTTGTAGGGGAAAAAAATCTTGTGTGTGCAAGTGCCGATCCTGTTGACCCCTTTGAAAATTGAAATAATGATAATGCACGTCTCCTGACTGCATCAAAGTATCAGCACATCAAAAGCCAGGAGGCATGAAATGCAAATGATAAAGTGAAAGCAGATGGATTGTGCATGATCGCCTGATGCCCAATGAATTTTAAAAGGTGCTGGTTTGCAGGAAGGGGGGTTGGGGGGTTTTGGGGGGGACTGAAATAAACACGTTATCCCTGCAATTTTTTTTTGTTCTTGATGCTCACTCCTGACAATATTTTTTCACACTTGAGTGAACACCCTCTCTCTCTCTCTCCCCCCTCCTTCTTCTCTCCCTTTCTCTCTCCTCTCCAAATCCCCTCCTCTGCCCCCCCCTTCCCCCCCACCTCTTACACATCTCAGGTCATGTCGCTGCAGCTCCGGTGGAAATAATAAGATATAAACCACGAGGTTGTTATTTGCATAGAAATAGCATGGAGCCCCAGGCAGCAAGGGAGAAGGACACAGGGATGATTTGTCTAAAATTTTAATGAAAACTTTTGCTGAGGCAGAGATTTTTAAAAACTTTCTTTCTCCCTGCTTTTCCCCTTCCTTCCCCTACCCCCCAAACCCCATCATTGATTTTACTTAACATGGTTCAGTTTGAAGAGAAAAGGTTGACACTCCACATATCATACTCCCATAATGCAGCAACCTGTAAATTGTTTCTTCCTTTAATAGATATGAAGCTGAAGAGACATGCATTTTCAACTTAATACATTGCATGTGTGCGCCTGGCTTTTATGGCTATACTCCATCTTGGCATACACATGATGTTGCCTGTCATTAGCCTGTTTTTAATTAGTTTACACCTTCCTATCTTTTGCTTCCAAAGACTCTTACTTTTTAAAGGATTTCTTTTTATAGCCAACAGTAGTAACCTTCATATAAAATAAATATTTTCTGGTGTTTTCCTGTTTTTTTACTTTTGGTGGTTTTTCTGTATACTTACATGTTTTATTCATGGACGCCATCCTTTGTCACTGTGTCTTTTATTCCAAAACCAGGAAGTGCTTCCCACCTTCGTATTTTTATCCTTTTCCCCCTGTGAACTCACCATTTGTGTATCTTCTTTCCATGTCTGTCTTGCTTTGTTGCCTGCAGTTATTTGTAAAATATTCAAAATATTACCCAAATTGAGATGAGTTGTAGTATCTGGATTTTATTGAGTGTTACTAAGCACATTTGACATTAGAACTAAAGGCAGTAGGCTGGTGATTAGAAGCAGCCCAAGTGGGTTTGCTTGAAATTCAGTCAAGAATATCTGTCTGGTTCCTTGCTATCTTCTGGAATGGGCTAATGGTATCAGGGCTATATTTCGTAGACAGGAAGGCAAAAACAGAAGGGAAAGTGACTTAGTTTCATTGAGAGAGACTAGATCAGGGTCAGAACATGAACTTTCATGTCCCTAAGTTTCACTGAAGAAAGCTCAGGCCTCTTTGCTTAGTGGTCTGTAAAGCCTAAGAGAAGGTGGTCCGGTCGTTTTCCTGTTTGTCCAAATGTCGTGAGAATGATGACATTAATAAGAGAAGTTTCTAGGGGCTTGCTATTTCATGTCACTCAAGGTAGTAGATCCTAACTCTAGGAACTGTAGGCTGTGGGTGACAGATTCCTTAAAATGCCTCACTGCGTGGCAGACCTGATGTGTGTGGCAAATTACCCTGCTTGAAGGGAGTCATGCTGGCCTGGCAAAGGCAGTAACCTGTGTACTTGGGGAACTGTTAAGATGCACCCTTAAGGAGCTGAGATGATTGCAGAGTCATAAACTCTTAAGTCTATTTGCCACTGGACATTTGCAGAGATGATCATATTTACTTCCCTCCTCCCACCACTCTTCCTCTCAGTTTCCTTTTTACTTTATTTTTTTCTCCCTTTCCTGGTAAAAGTATTAGTATGTTTAACATAGTGTTAGGTGGCAGATAGGCTGGGAAGAGCTAGTATTGTAAAGGAACACTGATGTGTACTGGAGCCTACTAGCTCTCAATCCATTGCCCCAGACTTGGGGAGAGAGAGCACATTCTCTATCCAGAGAAATAAGAATATGCAGTTTATGGTTGTCCTGTGGACATTAACTGACTGTGAAGGTAAGGTATATGCCAAAGGCAGTGATATGCAGGTGATAGATTCACCGGGAGATGATATGTGACTTTTCTTGTATTTTAAAGCTCTGCTTCTTTTTTAGAAAAAAAAAAATCCTATACTCTCATCCCCCTTAGCGAGATCAGGCCCCTATTTCCACTGAATCTGCCAGGAAAAAAGAAGTTATGTGATGGGTATGACTAGGGCCATTAGTTTGGTAGGGGGCTAATTCTGCTAATCTTGCTTTTGAGACTTGGTGCAAGTAAGTTACATTTCTCTCTGGTTCTCATATATGTATTTTTCTGCAGCTATGCAGTATGAAATGTGAAGTTGTCATAGCTGACTCTGTTAGGCACAGTACCAGAGTTCCTCTCAGGAGTGGGAATTGTCTGTTACACCAGGGACCTGCACTGTGTAGTCTCCATGCTCACCCACCCATGACTCTGTGAAACACAGCATGAAAGTCATGGAGGCTCAAGAAGGGAAGGAGAGATTACTTAGCTCTCACTGTGGGGCGGGCAGCATTGTAACTTTCACATAACTTAAAGAGGTTACGATAGAGACAGCGCCGGGGCAAGCGAGAGCCAGACAGGCACTGGGTGACTCTGTGCCTCGCTGTGGAAAAACAACTAAACATGGGCAAAGGAGATCCTAAGAAGCCTAGAGGCAAGATGTTGTCATACGCATTTTTTGTGCAAACTTGTTGGGAGGAGCATAAGAAGCATCCAGATGCTTCAGTCAACTTCTCAGTTTTCTAAGAAGTGCTCAGAGAGGTGGAAGACCATGTCTGCTAAACAGAAGGGAAAATTTGAAGATATGGCAAAGACAGACAAGACCCATTATGAAAGAGAAATGAAAACCTACGTCCCTCCTGAAGGGGAGACAAAAAAGAAGTTCAGGGATCCCAATGCACCCAAGAGGCTTCCTTCAGCGTTCTTCCTGTTGTATTCTGAGTATCGCCCAAAAATCAAAGGAGAACATCCTGGCTTGTCCATTGGTGATGTTGCAAAGAAACTGGGAGAGATGTGGAATAACACTGCTGCAGATGACAAGCAGCCTTATGAAAAGAAGGCTGCGAAGCTGAAGGAAAAATACGAAAAGGATACTGCTGCATATTGAGCTAAAGGAAAGCCTGATGCAGCAAAAAAGGGAGTTGCCAAGGCCGAAAAAGCAAGAAAAACAAGGAAGATGAGGAAGATGAAGAGGATGAGGAGGAGGAAGATGAAGAAGATGATGATGATGAATAAGTTGGTTCTAGCACAGATTTTTTTCTTGTCTATAAAGCATTTAACCCCCCTGTATACAACTCACTCCTTTTAAAGAAAAAAATTGAAATGTAAGGCTGTGTAAGAATTTTTTTAAACTGTATGGTGTCTTCTTTTGTATAGTTAACACACTACCAAAAGTGTCTTTAGATAGCCCTGTCCTGGTGGTATTTTCATAGCCACTAACCTTGCCTGGTACAGGATGGGGGTTGTAAATTGGCATAAAAATTTTAAGCAGGTTCTTATTGGTGCACAGCACATGTAAGTTATATATGGGGTTGGTAGTTTTTTCATTTTCAATTGTCTCTGATGCAGCTTATATGAAACAATTGTTCTGTTAACTGAATACCACTCTGTAATTGCAAAAAAAAAAAAAAAGTTGCAGCTGTTTTGTTGGCATTCTGAATGCTTCTAAGTAAATTACAATTTTTTTATTAGTTAAAAAAAAAAAAAAGATGTTATGAGCATGGAGAGGCTAGAGCCAGGCTGCCCAGGTTTAATTCTTGGCTCTACCACCTACTTAGTTGTGTGACCTCGGGCAATTTATTTAACCTCTCTGGGCTACAGTTTTATTAACTGTAAAAGATGAGTAATAATAGTATCTGTGTACCAGAGTCGCTGTGAGAATTAAATGAGCCAAAATAGGTAAAACATTGGCACTGCCATAGTCTTCTCTAAGGTTCATTTAGGGTTCCTTCTCATTGCAATTTCTTATCCTGGTTCTGGAAAGGAAATACGAACACATTATTCTCTATACTTTCTGATTCTTTGAAGGCAAAAATTTCTTCCAGAAAATGTTAGATGACAGTCCTCACTGTGGCAGTACATTCATGTATTGACTTTCCCAATAGATGTATCTAGCAACAATCAACGCACTTTGGAAAGCCATTAATGTGAGAGGCACGATGTTCAGTCGTGACAGGGTAGTATATATGTCAGTCATCTGTCTACAAGAGTCCCCAAGGACTCGTTGATACAATAGCTCATAATCACTCTAAGGATCAGTCTAGCAATTTGCATTTTTAAAAGTCCCTAACTACCTATTTTCACAATAGACAGTCCCTGTACTCCCATAGCTCCAGATGGGATCACTCTCCTTTCTAAAGAGGGCATTTTAGCTTCCTTTCTGAGTAATCCTTGCTTTAGCATTATGAATGAATTCTCAGAAATTATTGCACAATGGACAGATCTCCCTAATTTTCAAGCGCTCCCTCCCCACACATAAAATATTGGTAAATCTGGCCCCATTTGGGGGGATTATTTTGTTTGTTTTTCATTCAATATTCCTCAAGTTTGGTAGAAAACTATACCAGGTTATGTTTTGACTCTATTAGTCTGCCTTAGTGACCTGCCAACAATCCTGAGTGCTCTGGTTTGGAGATCTTGCAGGGTGGAATCGCCACACAGAGCTCCACTGCAGAAGTTGTCTCTGACTCTAAGAGAGCCCATGCATATATGGTGGCTTAGAGTCTAAGAATTTGGGAGACCCTACAGCAAGTACCAGTCCAGAGCTTCTAGATAAAGTGAAAGCTCTGAGACTCTATTTGGGGCATTGAATACAGACTCGGAAATTATCATGTTTGACAACCTATTATGAATGTGCTCAAATTTTTTGGAGTTACAGAACCTTTAGATTAAAAAAAAAAAAACAAAAAAAACAAAAAAAACTTGGCCAGGCATGGTGGCTCATGCCTGTAATCCCAGCACTTTGGGAGGCAGAGGCAGGCGGATCACCTGAGGTCAGTGGTTTGAGACCAGCCTGGCCAACATGGTAAAGCCCTGTCTCTACTAAAAATACAAAATTAGCCAGGCGTGGTGGCACACACCTGTAATCCCAGCTACTCAGGAGGCTGAGGCAGGAGAATCACTTGAACCTGGGAGGCAGAGGTGGCAGCGAGCCAAGATTGCACCATTGCACTCCAGCCTGGGCAAAAACAGCAAAACTCCATCTCAGAAAAAAAAAAACAAAAAACTTTTGATTGTTCTTCTCCCTGACATTTACTAGGTAAGCAACTTTGGGCTTTAATCTATTTAGATGTTAGTTTCCTCTTTGTGAAATGGAAGGCATAATACATTTCCCATTTTAAAGTAGAAAATCAGGTTGGCGTGGTAATCCTATAATCCAAGCACTTTGGGAGGCCAAGGAAGGAGGATGGCTTGAGGCCAGGAGTTCAAGACCAGGCTGGCCAATATAGCAAGAAGCAAGACCCCCTCTACAAAATAATTAAAAAATTAGCCAGGTGTGGGGGTGCCTGAGATGGGGAACCGTGGAACCTTTGGCAGTGGCATCCAGGGCTGGGACCATGGCCGTGAACAGGGCCTGGGCCCCACAGAGCTCATGGAGGCAAGGCTGAGGGCAAGGAATGGATGACCAAGTTGGGCCACCTGGTCAAGGACATGAAGATCAAGTCCCTGGAGGAGATCTATCTCTTCTCCCTGCCCATCAAGGAATCTGAGATCACTAACTTTTTCGTGGGGACCTCTCTCAAGGATGAGGTTTTGAAGATTATGCCAGTGCAGAAGCAGACGCGTGCTTGCCAGCACATCAGGTTCAAGATGTTTGTTGCCATCAGGGACTACAATGGCCATGTTGGTCTGGGTGTTAAGTACTTCAGGGAGGTGGCCACTGCCATCCATGGGGCCATCATCCTGGCCAAGCTCTTCATTGTCCCCATGCACAGAGGCTACTGGGAGAAGAAGGCCCACACCATTCCTTGCAAGGTGACAGGTGGCTGTGGCTCTGTGCTGGTGCGCCTCATCCCTGCACCCGGGGCACTGGCATCATCTCGGCCCTGGTGCCCAAGAAGCTGCTGATGATGGCCAGTATTGATGACTGCTACACCTCAGCCAGGGGCTGCACTGCCACCCTAGGGAACTTTCTCAAGGCCATCTTTGATGCCATCTCTAAAACCTACAGCTACCTGACCCCCGACCTCTGGAAGGAGACTGTATTCATCAAGTCTTCCTGTCAGGAATTCACTGACCACCTCATCAAGACCCACACCAGAGTCTCCATGCAGGGGACCCAGGCTCCAACTGTGGCTACAACACAGAGTTTTTACATAAGAAAAATAAAGTGAATTAAGCCTGTTTTTGGTTTGCTTGTTTTTTTTAAGTAGAAGACCAGAGGATCTCTTAATCTTAAATTCTGTTCAATATCTAGTATTCTGTGATGCTATAAAGATGCATATTGATCTGTAGCCAGGGAACTGTTTTAGGCTGGGGAGTGAATAGATAGGAGGTGGGGAATTTTTAAAGTTATTGCGTATTAGGGTATTATATATAAAATTACATATTAGTGATATATAAAATTATTACATACTCGTGAGACCAGGAATGGAAGTTGAAGAGCATGATGATTTAAAATTTTTTTTAATTTTGTTTCTTATCCAGATTACAGAAAAGTAAACACTATATGTTGTTCACAATCACAAGTGGCTGTAGAATTATAAATCTTGAGAGTGGGAGGATCCTCAAAAGTTCAACCACACAATTGTTGTGTGAATCTCCTCTGTGACACCATTGCTAAATATTCACCCAATTATGTGTGAAAAATTCAACTGAATGGGAGCTGAGTACTTTTGGAGCCAATCCCATTCATCTATGTATTCATCTGTGAATTCTTTTTTATATTTGGCTAAAGTCTGTTTCCCTGTACAGAGACTGATCACTCTTTAAAGACAGTGTTCAAATTTAACAAAGAAACTCCCAGTTTTGTGATATGACCAATTGGAAATTGAATGGAACCAAAATCTTTCTCATGTACTTTTGTGTTCAGAGTCTGGTCTTGTCTCAAGAACAAATGTAGTGAAGATGAAAATGCTATTCCAAGATAGAAAAGAAATTGGATTCATAAATAACTTTGCCAGTTAAAAATGTGAAATAAGTAGAAGAAACAAGAGAAACAGTTAAAACTTAATTCCACTTGGAAGTACTCCTTGGAACCTTAGGGGTCTCCTGCAGTGCCATGCAGTACCTTCGGAGCCCGATTATCTCCTGCTTTCTCCTCCTCTGCCTTGTTGAAAGTCCAGATCCTGAAATAAGGTTGGAGGATATTTCTTTTTGACTGCTATATTTGTAGATACCAGCTAAAACTCATTGGGCCTAAGATTTGGTGGAATCAGTAAAGGTGATGTAGACTTAGGTACTCAAACCCCAAGGGTACACAAACACAAGCTAAACTGCTAGAATGTATTACCCTCTTGCCTCAGTGAACAGTCTCTGGCTCACTTCATCCATGTGGACCTTCATTATATCTCTACCCTATATCCATTGTCCATTTCCACCTCCAGGGTTCTGATGTGTCCTGAGTATTAGAATGAAGAAATGCCTCTACCTCACACTTTGGGTGGCATGTAGGGTCTCTACACTGTCTGTTTCTAATAAAACATTGTCTCTGAACTCAAGCTAAGGGCCCACTTAGCTCTGTACACACGGTTCCTTAGGAAGATTGGTTTCTTCGTCTTCTTCATTTTATATTCAGTTGTGTGTTACACCTTCATATGTTGAATTTTCTTCACCTGTCTCTCTTTCTACATATATTCATAGCTCTGTCTTTGCAGATCAGTGCTCACTTGAAGCTTTGCTACTCTGTCAACCCCTCTCCTCTCTTCAGCCTTTCTTCTCCCCCAACCCCAGCCTGAAGCCCAAGTAAATTAGCTTATCACCCCTGCCCCCTAGTTGTAAAAAAATTCCCGTACTCCTCCAACAGTGTCTATTCTTGGATTTGCAGTCAGCAACCATCTCCAATAACCATCAGGCTGTCAGCTTTGCAGCTCCCTACCACCTCCCACCTCCCCCATTACTCACCAGAAGAAAAAGAGAGCCAGAGCAAGAGCTTGAAATATATCATGCAATAGTGTATCATGAATTTGTTGTGAATCACAGTGGTGAAGCAGGTTTATTTATTTCTGAGACCTTAAATCAATACAAAGTAGGTCTCTTAGTTCTGAAGCTGGGATGGAGTGTGAAAAAATGAGCCCATTGTACTCTTACAACTTTGGGGAAAGGAGATGACAGCTATATAATTCCATTTACCAGGCACTAGGGGCTTTAATGTGAAGGTGACAGGGAGCTCTTTGTGCATTTAGAGCACCATATCTTCTAAATAAAAGATCTGTAGACTTGATAGTGGAGCATAGCTCCAAGTTTAATAATCTCCAAGCATTAGACCGAGCCAATATGTTCCCAAGTCAGAAAGGTCCCCCTTAACACTCATAAATTAAAAGTGCAAGAACCACACGTTAGTAGATTAGAAATGCAAGGACTCCAGTCTTTTCTAGAAGGAAGACAGAGCTGGGCCCTGGCTGTGCACAGACTGGTCTATGAATATGATAAAGAAGCGGAAATGAGACTGTTTAGAAACCTGACTCCTAGCTGTTCATCATTCTAGGGAATGTTCCCTGTGCATGGATCCAAATCTAGCTATGTCCCTTCTCATTCAGATTGGCCATCATCACACAGTCTAATCAGCTAATGTACACAGTCAGGAATATTGAATTATGAAAGGAGAAGCTTAAAGAGCTTTTTAGATTGAACTACAGATTACCATGCCTGGGCTTCAAGATTTTCTGGCTGATTTTTGACCGGTTCCTAATTTTAATAATGTCTCAGTGTCTGGGATTTAAGCCTTCTAAAATAGTATGCGCGTCTAAGAAATTGAGAAATCAGTGTTGGTAAGGAAAAGAACCCACCCAAATTTAACCAACAGCATAAGATGCAAATATGAGAAGTCAAGACCATTGGAACATGTAATCAACTTTTGAGTAACTTCATTTTCTACCTGACCCATTGGTAAAATATGCCTTTCTCAATAGATAAAGCAGGTTTATGCAGCTCAGAAGAGCATTCCTAACATAATATGACTTTATAGTACTTAGAATTACTAGTTTAATTTTAGCCCATGTAAAGAATTTTGACAGGGAGGGAGGGAGAGGGGCATCTACATTGGGGAAAACTAAAAAGGTAGGAAAATTGAACCACTCCTTTTGCTTCAGAAAGCCACTACACATTATAACACTAATATGAAAGACTTATTTTGCTTATAGTGGTTTAACTTGCTGAACATACTAATCAGTTGAGGTTTTATAGAATACATAGAAATGTGGTAGATCACATGCATTTATTGCATGCCTGTTAGGTATAAAGCTGTTCTTATGCTGTGGCAATACAAAGATGATTCCTGCTTTCATGGAGCTGAAATTTAGCTAAAAGACAATAATAGGCCTTTCATGTGTTCTAAAGGAAAAAATAAAATTGCTGCCCATCAGACGTCAATGAGAAAACACAAACCAAAAGGCCACAGAGATAGTAAGTCAGTGCTACTCCCCTAAGAGCGAGGCCCTGCAAACACCATACTCTTGGGGCCTGGACACTGGTGAGCAATGCAGTCAGTCACAGCCTATTCAGTAAAACCAGTAGGAGGCGACTGACAAACAGGGATTTTTTTAAAAGTTTTCCATCTTTAGAAAATACATAATCTGATAAAAGATTGGTATCCAAAAGAATTCTCAAACTCAGTAAGAAAACAACCCAGTAATTAAAAACATGGGCAAGAAATTTGAACAGACATTACACCAAAGAAAATATAAGGATGGTAAATAAGCACATGAAAAGATGCTTATCATTAGTCATTAGGGAAATGAAGATTAAACCACAGCTTGACACCACTAAATGGTGTTTTTTGTTTTGTTTTTTGTTTTTTGCTTTTTTTTTTTTTGAGACGGAGTCTCGCTCTGTCGCTCAGGCTGGAGTACAGTGGTGCAATCTTGGCTCACTGCAACCTCCACCTCCCGGGTTCAAGCGATTCTCCTGCCTCAGCCTCCCAAGTAGCTAGGGACTACAGGCATGTGCCACCACGCCCCGGCTAATTTTTATATTTTTAGTAGAGATGAGGTTTCACCGTGTTATCCAGGATGGTCTCAATCTCCTTACCTCATGATCTGCCTGCCTAGGCCTCCCAAAGTGCTGGGATTACAGGTGTGAGCCACTGTGCCTGGCCTAAATGGTTTTTTTTTAATGTTTGACAAATACCAAGTGTTGATGAGGATGCAGGACAGCTGGAACTCTCATAGATTGTTGGTGGGAATGCAAAATGGCACAGCCACTTTGAAAAAGGTTGGGCTTTTCTTAAAACCTGTACACAAATGTCTATAGCAGTGTTATTTATAATCCTCCAAAAGTGAAAACAACCCAAATGTACACCAACAGGCAAACGGGTTACCAAGTTGTGGTACTTCCATAAAATGGAATATTACTCAGGAATAAAAATAAACTACTGATACCTGCATCAGCATGAATGAGGCTTAGATGCAATATGCTAACTGAAAGAAGCTAGATTCAAAAGGCTATGTACTGTATGACTCCATTTATGTAACATTCTAGAAAAGGCAAAACTACTGGAACAAAAAGATCAATGGTTGTTAGGGGTGGAGGGAGGGAAGGGAACATGAGGAGACTTTGGGATGATGAAAATGCTCTCTATCTTGATTGTTGTGGTGGTTATATGACTATGTGTATTAAAATTCACAGACTTGTATACCTTATGATGGACAGTTTTGCTGTATGTAAATTATACTTCAATAAACCAGACTTTATTTAAAATTTTTAAAAATTGGCTGGGCATGGTGGCTCATGTCTGTAATCCCAGCACTTTGGGAAACTGAGGCGAGAGGATTGCTTGAGGCCAGGTCTTCGATACCAGCCTAGACAACGTGCAAGACCTTGTCTCTACAAAAAAAAAAAAAAAAGAATTCCTGTTTGGAATTAACTTATCAGAAATCTCAAGTCCCTACCTACATGAGCAGTTGGTGGGTCCCCCTAGGGTGAGTGATTACTTTTGGCAGCTTTCTTTCCAGAAGCCTGTGCTTCTTCTCATACATTTAGCAAACTATTGTGTGGCTCCTCTCTATCTTTTACATTACAAATGAGTCTCTGTTCCTTACCCACTCCACCTTCAAATCCTTATTGTCTTTCTGCTGTCTAATTCATTCCTCTGTTCTCCACTGAGCCCTGTACCTCAGTAAAGAGATGTCTTCCAGTGTTATTTCTGGCCTATATTCAGCCTCTTTTTGGCTGTTTCTTTTCCTTCCACTGACAGTACCACCCCTTTGCCCCAGTTTATCCTTCAGCATACCTGATCACTTCATGATTTGCTGCTTATAGAGAGATTTTTGGTCTTATAGCAAATGGTCTTGAATCCAGCTGTGGCTCATGTCAGAGGCTTTTCTCTCTTCTGCCCACAGTATGTCACCGAGCCCCTTCTCTACCCCAACCCTAGCCTAGCACCTGCCAGCCAGCACTCCAGTTTGCCAGTGACAGTAGTGGCAATAAAGTGGGGAAAAAATTATAACCCTTTGCCTATGCATTAAGAAACTGTATTTTGGAACCCCCAAATAATCTTGTTGGTCACATAGGTCCTGGTTCCATCTCCCTAGAGATTTAATTCCATTCACCCTTGGATATATTCCTGAAGAAACATTGACACAGTGATATGTGCAGCACCACTTAAAATTGTTAATTGGAGATTGAATTACTTGTCAGATTTTTAAAATGTAGTCCTCTCAGGTCAGGGAGGAGGATATTAGCTGCACTGAGTAGATGAGCTATTGCATTTTTTTCTTCTCCTTCCTCCTTTCTCTCCCCCTCCCTTTTCCTCTCTCTCATCCTTCCTTCTTTCTTTTGTCCCTATTTTACCACTTTTCCTCTACTCCTGCTTATTCTTTCTCATATCTGTTCTCTTTCAGCTTTAGCCAACCTTTATCAATAACCTGACAGATCCCAGAGTGACTTTAATATCTAGAATCATGGATGAAGTCCAGTGATGACAATTACTCAGTAAATTTACAAAACCCCTCCTCAAATCCTCTTGAGAATGGAAATGTCCTAATAAGAAGGAGGATTGCAGCGAGGACTCAGCTTGTGTAGCCTAATTCTTAGATGCAGGAGGAATTTTGTATTCCCTGCTTCCTTAAATAGATGTCCTGACCCACCGAGCATTGTTTAAAGAGGGGGAAAAGACTGAATAAAGAGGAGGAGAAGGAATAGATTTCATTTTTTATTCCATCATTGATATGCATGATAATTTTTCACATCTTCAGCACATGATTGCAAATATTTGCCTATAAGTCTAAGGGTCCCCAACATAATGTGTATGTCAGGACAAAGGCAATTTTTAAAAAATTGAGCTAAGTTGCATCTGTGAAACTTGGAAATCTCAATGCCTGTGCTGACAAATATCCTGACAAGTAAATACTGCACTCATTCAGTATTACATAGTGATTTCATTTGCACAAAACATCACAATGCTCTGCCACTTCAGTCAAACGTCTGGAGCATGGGGGAAAGGAAGTACGTGTTTATCTTGATCTCCAAAAAGGGCTTTAAGGGAGAGAGCAGGCGGTATATTAGGCTGTTTTCATTGCCTGTCAGCTGTGGTAAACCTGAGCTGTCTGCAGTGTCTCTAGATAAGCAGCAGCAGCAGCAGAGGCCTGAGCATGGACGTATGACTGCATTCATTTGTACTTCTTATGTATCTCAACATTTCTAAAGGCTACGTAGCATCTTTGGTGGAGCCTTTAACAATTGTGTCTCTGCTAATCACCGGCTTTTATGTGGTGCCCTTAATTCTTAGGTCCGCCGGCTGCAATGAATGAAGTACTGGATGAGGCTTAAGTTTATATTGAGAATGAGTCAAGATCCTCTTTCCTCTCAGATTCAGCCCTTATTCAATTCTGTCAGCATGGCACTCTTCAGCAGAGGACCCCAAGGTGGAGCCCATTCCTAATATTGCATGGTACTGCTTCTCCACTTAGATCTGGAGGGCAAGAAAGTGAGGCCTCAGGAGAATCACCTCTGTTTGACTCACTCCTGTGTTTAAATGATTATTGATGCTTGCTGGACAGATAAATTAAAAGTTTGTATCATACAGTAAGTAGAATGTAAGAGGAATATATTTGGGAACTGAAACACGGCAAGAAATGCGTAGGTCAAAGTTTAAAAGAGTGTTGAATGCAGCTCACCTACTTCATGAAAATATGTTGATGAGAGTTGTTGACCCCAGGTTTTTCTGTAGAAGGTCAGCAGGGCAACCTTGAGGAAGAAAACAATGGTTCTGTCTATGTGGACTCCATTCGTCTTCCTAGATACTGATGAGGGTTTGTGTAACTGTTATAGCATGATCATTTCACAGTTAGGCAGAATGGATTTTATCCTAACCCAGATTCTGCTTCCTTGGTTGGAGCTTTTGTTGTGAAGTATTCTAAAATCATTAAAACCACTTGAGTCAGCAACGACCCCTATAAATCAGGAGCTATTGTGTGCGCCCTCATTCTACTGGCGCATACTCCAAACATGTGGTCATTGAAGATGAACTGGAGGGTACTGCTTTCTCTTCACCGATTGTTAAGTAGTTATGATTGTTAGCATTTGTTTGTGATTAGTGGAGCAGTTTCATTTCTGTGCCCATCCCCACCCTACCCCCCATCTCCCAAGATAAGGCTGGTCAGAGAGTGATATTGGGATACTCTTAGTCTATTCTGTAATTTTTCTCCTTAATTTCTGAATTAAGTGAATTTTCTCACATGACAAACACTTCTTTAGCTCAGAAATAATGTTCTTGGTATGTTAAGCCCTGGTTAGGTTTCTTCTAAACATAGGAAAGGAGAGATGTAGAAATACTGCTGCCTTTTCAGAACAATGCCAAAGCATCAGAACCCGAGTTTTAGCTTGTAAAGAGAAGAGTACTCAGTTATTGAGCCTACCAAGTTTGCCTCCCATTATTTTGTAAAAATATGGGGTAGAATAGATAAGTGGCAGAGGATCACTTTTAAATGAGGAGGCAAAGACATCAGAAGAAAGTATGTTTAAACAGCTGAGCGGTCCCTTTTTCTGAGTGTAGTTCTTTATTGGTCCATTATTAGTTTTGGAGATGTGTAAGATTCTAAGTGGTTGGACATTATCAGGTATTAGAGATAGGAAGAAAATAGTGTTTCTGAGTAGAAAATGGCCCAGCTCTCTCTTCTGGGCAACAAGGAGTACTTGGCTCCTGACCTAGATTGTGAATATCAGATTTTCAGGGTCAGCACAGTGTCTCCTTTTGTATTCCTTTTCCCCCTTTCCAATTTTATTTTAATAATTAAAAATACTGCTGATCACACTGAATGCCTTCTAACAGAGAGGCAGTCTGTCCCAGAAGGACCAGTTGTGGGCCATCGGGTTTATGACGACCATAAAACCAGAGCCAGATCAGAGCGTGGCCTCTGTAAGTGACAGGGTTTCTGCCTCTACCAGGCTCCCGCATCAACAGACTGCTTTGGATATTTGCTTTGGTTTGGATTTTTTGTTCTGTTTTGTTTCCTGATGCATGTGTGAGTGTGCATGTGTGTGCACATTTAAAGATATAAATGAAACAGGTATGTAATGCCCTCTGCCTGTTAGAAAGACTAAAGCCATAAAAATAACAAACGGCGTGTATTTGCTAGAATGTCAAAGTTATGAGTTTATTTTGTAATGATGTGCTCCTGCCTTCATGAGGTAAACTGGCCGTGGCGGAGGTGTTATTAGTAATATGGACTCAGCAGAGCAGAAAGCTGAGTGACCGAGAGATCAGTGTATCAGTCAGAGAGAGGGCAAATGGAAAGAGACAGCAGGAGAATGAGAAAAGAGCCGCAGTGCCTGGGCTGAGATTAAAGACGGACTGAGAGGCGGATGGGAGCTCAGTGGTCAGATACCGTCTTCCCTCTTCACGAGGCTCCTTCAAAGGAGCTGCCAGCATGTTGCTCAGCTTGGGGCTGCCTGTAAAGGCTTGTTCTCTGCGCTTCCTTATCAAGGAAAACAGTAATCTGAGAGCAATTTTGCTTTCCATATTCCTTTCAGAAAAGTATCTTATGCCCTTCCTAGCTGAAGTTAAATGGAATCAAGGCCAATTGGGTCACACTGAGGTTATTACTTTGGTCACCAACTTCCTCCATCTTTGGAAGGTCCCGATGGGGGTGCTGACCCAGCATGCAGGGGAACCTCTCAAAGCTCCTAACAAGAAGGGGCAAAATGGGAATATACAGGCAGACTTTGCTGGCCCTTAGTTAGTTAGATTCTCCCCAGAGACTGAAAATGAATACACGTACGGAAGAAATTTTGTATTGTCGTTATTTTTTAAAGGAGGAGGGGAAAGGAAAAAGAAAAGGTAAAATACAGTAAGCGCTCTACAACTGTTTAGAGCTCTCCGGGGCTACCTTAGATGACTGACAATTACTATACACTCAGCAGTTTGCAATAGTCAGTGATCAGGCTGCCCGGCTTCCATCTGCTGGGTCAGAAAACCTCCTTCCCTGAAAGAAATTATTAACCAGTCTTCAAGGGAAAAAGAAACCCTGCAATTTCCAAGTCCAGGAATATCTTTTCTTCCTCTTTTTTTCTTCTTTAAAGGAAACTTTGTGGTTTCCAATTGCAGGTGCCCTTTGACCTTACAAGGATTAAATTCCTCCAGGGATATACCAGGGATTGAGGCCCTGAACTCCCTGGAGCCTGGGAAGGGAAGGAGGAGGGGAAGCATGCTTGGGTATAAATCACAGCCCTGCACCCAGCACACAAAGAAGACTTGAGACTCAGGGGTTCATGTATGTATCATGAGTTGCTTCAGGTTTTTGCTAGCTTTAGGGCTTGTGCGTGGAGGCCAGTGTTAGGCTGGTGCAAAAGTAATTGTGGTTTTGCCATTAAATGACAAAAACCACAATTACTTTTGCACCAATCTAATAAAAATCAAATATAAGGAAAAAAATAATCCTTTTTAAAAATGAGGAACCTAAGCCCCCAGAGTTTCTTTAACTGAGACTTGTCACTAAATATTGTTGAAAGACAGGCATGTTACCTTTTTGTGTCTGTGTGCAAAGAGACTTGCACACAATGAGGTAGCCTATGCCTCTGGGTCTCAGCCTCACCCACCACTGCAGTTTCAGCTGAGGGTGGAAGTATGCTTTGCCTATCTGTGGCAGCTGGTGGAGAGAAAGGGGCTTGCTGGTTTTAAAATTGCAACCATGAATGTGATTGTTAAAAGTATTTTTTGTTTTTTTTTAATTTTTTATTTTATTTTTATTATACTTCAAGTTTTAGGGTACATGTGCACAACGTGCAGGTTTGTTACATATGTATACATGTGCCGCGTTGGTGTGCTGCACCCATTAACTCGTCATTTAGCATTAGGTATATCTCCTAATGCTATAGTAAGCCCTCTTAGCGCAGCTGGCAGCGCGTCAATCTCATATTTTTTGTTTTCTAAGTTTTCTTTTTAGGAAGAAGATTCAGATAGTCCCTCAGAACAACCAACCCATGGAGACTGAAATCTCTGTTTTGTGGAGAAAAGAACCCATTTTAGTGCGACTTGTGAAATCGACCATGCCTTTATTTCTATAGAGACAAATGTCTTTTCTCTTGCTCTTTTCTCTAGGTCCTCGGGCGGGAAGTGTACACCTCCAATAACCAGCTGGGGGGCATCCAGATTATGCACAACAATGGGGTGACCCACTGCACTGTGTGTGATGACTTTGAAGGGGTTTTCACTGTCCTGCACTGGCTGTCTTACATGCCCAAGGTGAGCCCTTCCTACCCAGCACTGACATGGCCTGCAGAGCCTGTCATTTCCACCACAGCTCACTGCCTCTGTGTTTAAGGTCTTGTCTTTATGGTGGAGGAATTTTTTTATAAAATATTTCTCTGAAAGCTATTGATTTCTCTTTTCCTTACAGCCATATTTTGCCTTCTACCTTTAAGATGTCTCTGGATTTCATTTGTTGGGCCCCTTTCTAATGTCTTCCAGCCACGGAAGCCCTCATGGCCTACCTAAGGCTCAGATCCCAGTATATTAAGGTTCCTCCTCATTGTGGGTTTTCTCCTCTGTAATAGCCATTCATTCCTCAGAGGAGCATCCCAGAAAGCATGGGCACACTGAAATCAAGAGTCAAAACACACCACTTTGTGCCAGCCTCCTAAATGAGACTATTGACCTATACATGTTCCTTGGGGCCTGGCACATACGTAGGATTCTTCCAGCTGAAGATTGGGACTATTGGGTGCAATTCCATACGTGGGCCCTGCTGTCTTTGTCTGTAACTATTGTTGCTGAGTTGGAGTCTAGGGCTGTCGTTCACTGATTGCTGTGCTCTCTTCCAATCTCCTTTTAGAGCGTGCACAGTTCAGTTCCTCTTCTGAACTCAAAGGATCCTATAGACAGAATCATCGAGTTTGTTCCCACAAAGACCCCATACGATCCTCGATGGATGCTAGCAGGCCGTCCTCACCCAAGTATGTATATGTTTGAGGACCCCATGGTACCTGGCTCTTAAGCTTTTAGCGTTCTTTTCAATCACTATCCAATTCCTGAACAATCACATGTGACTAAGAAAACAGAGGTAAGTACCTAGAAATGAGAAAGACCTGAAAACCAGCCCTCTGAAGAAAAAGGTGGGAAATCCTTCATGAAAAAATGAAAAATAAATAAAATGACATTTCCCAATCACCCATTAAGTCAAGCAGTGCAGTCACGAATACATTTCTTCTGTTTATTCTGTTATTAAAGCACTTATTACTTAATGGGTTCAAAGACTTTAACACAGTTCAATATAAGCCATAAAATCATAAAATTATAGGACTAGAATCTTCAGTCATCTAATCCCTACAACCAAAAGAGATTAATCAGTTTCGTTTTAGCACACGTCTTTGAGACCCTTCAGTGTAGAATATGACTTCACTCTTCTCAGCAAGCTCTGAGCACCCACGCTGCATGTGCCCTTCTTATGATATTGGTAATGGTATTGGTACTTGCTTTAGTAAGTAATAGAAGGCTACTTTGTAAGTTCATTTATTCATGAAGAGATTGTCCAGAACTTTTAATTATATAGATACATGGAGTGAGAATAAGCTCTCCCTCCAGATATATCTAATCTACTGCTTTGTCTTTTACCTAACTTAGAAACAAAACAGGAAAAAGAAGTAACTCTGTGTACATTCTCATTTGTCAGTCCATTTGGCTGTTCTAGCAAACCTTACTTATCAGGAGGTTCTTTTGTGGAGCACCAAATCCCTCTGCTGTATTTTGAATCCATTTTTTCAAACTATGTGAGGAAGCATTTGTTCTTTTTTGCATATTTATTGCAACTATTTCAAAGAAAGGCTATATATAAAAGTAGAAGAGATTGCAGAAGGTATTTTATTAAGTGTAAAAGTCATTGTGATCTTGCTGAAAGAGAGGTCTTCATAAGGAAGACCTAATAAACTTTTGTGGGTACCCACTGTAAGCCAGGTGGGACTGTAAAGCACTTCCACATCTTTTTTGCACTTACGACCTCTCTTAGATAAAGAGAGATAACTATTTTACAAAAATCAGAGAAGTTGAGTGATTCGTACAAGGTCACATAGCTATTATATAGCTATTACATTGTTTTTCTACAATATTTACATTAGACTTTCTATTATATAAAAACATGAGAGAAGTGTTTATTTTAATTTATAACTTTACCTGTTGTCTTCAGTGCCTCTTCTTGTTAATTTTAATAAAACGAAATAGTTTTTCTTTACATGCCTGGAAAGTCACCATACTAATCTTCTTCCTACTGTTTTTTTTTTTTTTTTTTTTTTTTTTTTTTTTTTTTAGATGGAGTTTCACTCTTGTCCTCCAGGCTGGAGTACAATGGCATGATCTCGGCTCACTGCAACCTCCGCCTCCACTTACCCCTTCTTTCCCCTTTTTTTTGTGCCATGATTATGATAAGAACTATGAGCCTAAGATTACCTGTCAGTCTTTTTTTTTTTCTTTTTCTTTTTTTTTTTTTTGAGGCGGAGTCTCACTCTGTCGCCAGGCTGGAGTGCAGTGGCGCGATCTCGGCTCACTGCAACCTCCGCCTCCCAGGTTCAAGTGGTTCTCCTGCTTCAGCCTCCTAAGCAGCTGGGACTAAAGGTGCATGCCACCACACCCAGCTAATTTTTGTAATTTTAGTAGAGACGGGGTTTCACCATGTTGGCCAGGATGGTCTTTATCTCTTGACCTTGTGATCTCAAAGTGCTGGGATTATAGGCGTGAGCCACCGCGCCCGGCCACCTGTCAGTCTTAAAATGCAGGACTTTTCTGGGAATGAAGTGAGCCTCTTTACTTCTAGAATTTGGAACAAGACTTAGTGAGTTTTTTCCTGGGAAATACGGGAAGCCATCTTAGCCGGCTTCTAAGGTTCTGCATCGGAACTGGGTAGGATCTACTCTCTGGGGACTGTGAAGCACAACTACAATAGTCAGTGACTCCTCCTACCCCTAGCAGGAGAGTTTTTAAAGAAGAAAACATTTCCATCTTGAAGTTAATTCTGTAGTTCCAAATCCCTGTTATTGAAGTAAGAATTAGAAAATGATCCAAAGATATAAAGTTAAAATTCAGTGTTCTGATGAACCTAGAAATTTGGTTTAGAAACTTCACCAAAATTTGAGTCCTTCTTTCATGGGTGAACAGAAGTATGTGTGTGTAGGTGGGCATTATCCTGGCCATTATTAATGAAATCCACAGAATAAAATGAAATTTTTGATAAACTAAGTTTTCTGTTTTTTGGATAATATTTTTTCATTGACTCCCTAGTAATTCATCCTGCTGTCTATGTGCAGCTAACACTCGCTCCCAAATCGAGTGACTTCAGATTTTAATTTAGTGGAAGCGTTAAAGAAAGCAGATGATTCCCTGTGATAAGTTAAAGCAGATATCTTCTAGGTGAAAAGTTAAAGTCATTTATTAGAGGAGATAGTGCTGTGATATTCTTCAAACTGACGCCCAACACAAGACCAGAATCTAAACGATCGGCTTTGGGCTCACGGATGGAGAGATAATTTTGAAATGGATGATCACATTTTACACTGGGGCCATAGAGGCAAGGAATGTAGAACACAGTAATTACAAGTTTAGTCTAGATAAAACACTCTCCATCCTGTTTAAGTCAGCAGAGGTTAGCTTGCTCAGATCTCCACTTTTAATTGGTTTTGGACTTGGGTTTTTAGGGGGTGGAGGGCCATGTTCAAATTAGAAGAATCACTGAAAACCGTGAGCTGAGAGGGCAAACTAGGAAACGGTTATTTGCAGAAGCTTTTATGGGGCTTTGGTCAAACATTTATACCTGTGGAACAAAAGTTTTTTTTTTAAACTAACATGTTGAAAATTTTGGGTCTTGCCAGTGAAGGAAATTCTATGTGCAAGGAAGATTAATGGCATTAAGTATGTGCATCTTAACCATTGTATTTTTACTATCTGTCAAGAATATGTGGCCCTTTTTTGTAGAAAGGTTATACTTTATCAGCTGTTTAATAAAGTAGATATATCTTGTTGCTTTTGTAGCGGAGAAACTGAGTTCCTATTTTTCCCTCCAAATTTGGATCCTTATCTGATCATTAATACTTATTGTTTGGTTGTTTTTAGCCTTCAGTTAAAAGAAAGTCAGTGGAATCAAACAAAATTGTAAGGCAAGTTTTAAAATAGAAATAGACATTTTGAAAATATCTTTAATGACTTGGCAGCCTTTTGACAAATGTTTGTAGTGTCTTGAAGAAAGTCAAGTTATTTATTTAAAAGCATGCAAACTCTCTCTGCTAGCTAAACCTTGTCATTTAACAATAAATGATGCTTTTGCTGATAAATGATTCTTTTTATGCAGACTAGCAAATGAAATAGGAGATGATGTCTGAAGGCAGATGAACATTCAGCTGCCTAATGCTTCCATCTATTATAATTTGGTTAAAAACAACAAACTCCCCAAAATAATCCCCCAAACCACCTTAAATTCGTCAGTTCCAGCACATTGTCAATGGATTCACTGTCCTTATTCTCTGTTTTCTTTCTTTCCCTTCTGTAGCCCAAAAAGGTCAGTGGTTGAGTGGCTTTTTTGACTATGGATCTTTCTCAGAGATTATGCAGCCCTGGGCACAGACTGTGGTGGTTGGTAGAGCCAGGTAAGAGCTCTTTTGTTTTGGCAGCTCTTTTTCCTCCCAACTAAAAATAAGAAAGAAAGAGCCATGGCTCTATAGATATATACCAATAATGTTCTCTTTGTCTGAACTGTCTGAGAATATTGGATTATAGCCATGCCCAAGGCAAAATAATTGGAGTGCTGGTTCTCAGTTGCCATTTTGTGTGTCACTCCAATGATGCGTTTAATCTGAAGGCTAATTTTGACAACACTTCCTTTTTATAATGTTTCAGGAAAAACACTTTGGGAGCTGTAAAGCCCAACTACAATAGCCAGAGCCCACCAATGACTTTCCCTCTCCCAAAGACAATTTTCTTTCAGGAATAGGTGACAAGTGATTCAGAGACTCATCTGCTTTTCTATGTAACTGGAAAGAGGTTCTTCGTGGCACCGAGATTATTTAAGTGACAAATGTACTATATTGGATTATAATCAGATGTGAATTGCCAAAAAAAAAAGTTTACCTGAAACAGGAGTAAAATAAGCTGAAATAGGTTGCCAAGATACCTATATTTTTGAAGTGGGAAATTGAAGTTTCTATTAAATTTTAATACCTACTCTAAGAAGTGCTTCACTCAACAGCAAGCTCTGTGCAAAATAATCTGTAGTGCTTGCTATAACGAGCTATAACGAGCACCTGCCACGACTGATCTTAATCTACTTCTGCACTGCAGAGACATGCTGCTGAGGGACCGCATCTGGAGCTCACCTTCCTCTGGGGGCAATCAGTTTTCCTTATCTTGGTGAAAAGTGGCACCTGCTCAAGATTCTCAAACATGCCACATTGGGTTGAGATTTAGATTCTAGCCTTGAAAATAATTCTAGGCTCTGTGGTTCTCTCAGTACAGCAGGTCAGCACGCCTCCATGCTGCCTGTGACAAGAAGCCATCAGAGGGCAAATCCCACAGACAGGGTCTTCCTCTGTGACTCTGAATAGGATTCTGGCCTGGAGTCAGCTCAGACTGAATGTCCCAGAGCCTACCTGTCTGTTTTCTTTAAAGTCTCAGGTCTTTTATCTCACCCCAGGCTTCTCAGTCCCAGTGAGAAGTATTCTCTGTGCCTGGTAAAATTCCCAGTGGGGAGCTTGGAAGTAGGAGATACACTGGAGCGAGAACCCTGATACTCGACTCCTGTATCAGCTTGTTAGATTCCTCACGGCACACTAAGACCAACTTTTTTGAGATTTGTCTCATCTATTCTGCTTCAATTTTCCTGTCTGTGAAAAAACATGACAGATTTTAAGTCTCAGAAAGCCAAACCTTTGTTAAGTTCTTTAAGATCCTCCCATGGGAAATAAGAGAAAAATACTTTACACTTATGATTAGAAGAATAGGGATTGCTTTGCGACCAAGATCAGTCAAGCTTGGCTTTGGTTAGCTCTGTCATTGTTTATTGCAACACTCACTCTGACTTCCTCCTTTCTTTCTATCTGACGAGTTCTGGGCTTCTTACTCCAAACGTATACACATACTCACAAGTATATAAAACACAAATGGAGCTCTAGCTTCTTTCAAAAGCAATGGCATTTCAAGAAATAAATATAAATGTATTCGTCTGGGATTGTTACTGTAAGTGCTGCCAAAACTCATCTTTGGTATGTATGTTTGGAATATGTGTGCTATTGGCTGTAAATTGTCTTTTATTATTCCATGGCACCTTGTCCAGGGACACACTATAAAACAAGATGTAGCATCTTCATGTGCTAGCCTGATAAAATTTATATGAAGTATAATAGAAAACAGAAGTTGTTCTGAGCTGTTTTCAAGTTCAATAAATAACTGTAATACTTGGATAAAGATGTTCTTTATTAGGTCACATGGGCCCTAATATATAAGTTATAAGTTACCGATTTAGGGTGGCTTTTGCAATTACAAGTTTCCAGTTGGATTGTTAATCATTGTGAACAGAAATATTTCTAAACCCTCCTGTGTATCTCCTGCTCGTTGTCTGGTTGTCTAGAGGGCTTTTGATTCTGATTCAGTGCAGGCAAGTGACAAGGGGGTGGGTGGTCTCCACTCAGGCCCTTGTCAGCCCTCTTGTGATGACAGGAATCCATTTTCACTAGCCAATTTAACAACCAAAGGCCATCTGTCATGGAAAAGTTTGTTATGGAGATGCTGTGAGAAATGAGAGACTATAACCCATCCCAGCCCCAACCCCAAGGAATGCAACAGTGAGAATGAAGACTGCATCACATTTTCCAGAGTAAAGACTCACCCTGTACTTTGTCTTGCTCTCTGATTTTTCCTAGAAAATCTTTATGAGGACCAAATTGGGAAGTCATAGTGGAGTATAAGGTGCAGAGGCTTTGAGCTCCTAAACAGTTTTTTAAATAAACATAGCTTTGAGATTAAATATATAATTCTAATATAGACTTCACCAGCATTACTACTAAAAATTATCCTTGTCCCATTTGTCTTTTCCAAGGAAGGAGAAAATTAAGGGCTTGTTGATCCACTTCCCTATTCTTGGCATGTGTTTCTCATCATCCTCATAACATGCCTACATACTCCCTATCCACACACCTAATAGTAAGACCTATTGTACCCTCAAATCTTATCTGGAACCACATTATTAATATTCCATAGAAAACTACAGCTCCATTTCAGCAAGGTCAGTCCTCATTAAAAGTTACTGAAAGTCTCAGATTCCTACTGCCTTTCAGACCATTTCCTACCATCTTCACCAAGGAGATGCTCTAGAGTGAACTGAGAAATTTCGTTTAGCAGCCACAGGGGTAGGGATGTGTATATGTGCTAGGCTGTTGAGTCTAAATGTAGAGGCTCCCCTAGAACAGCCCTTGGTTTGAATTTATCTTGTGTTGGGACATTTCCGAATAGAAGTGATTCTGAGGGTGGTTTCCCACCATATTTAGAGAGTAAATATCAAATCCGTAGAGTCTCACATTTAACTCATAGAAGAATCAGATTTCCCCTGCTCTCTGTGTTTGTTTCTAGTTTTTTCCCCAATGTCTTGATTTGGGATTGGAAAACAAATGGCTAGCTATAATGTTGACATACATTGGGTTCTTATGTGACTCATGTTTTATCAGGCTAGGAGGAATACCTGTGGGAGTTGTTGCTGTAGAAACCCGAACAGTAGAACTAAGTATCCCAGCTGATCCAGCAAACCTGGATTCTGAAGCCAAGGTAGGCCACCTCAAGTACACTGGGGGCTGTGCTTGGAGGGTTTTTCTCTTCGCAGTGCCTGTGAATACATCAGGAACATTGCAAACCATCAGTTTTAGAGGGAAGGGCATCAGCAGCCTTGAATGATTTTAGAACATCATGTGCTCACTTTTAAGGTGAGTCTAAACGGACTAGAAGCTAAATTCTGCCTCAAAAATTAAATAAGTCTTTACAGTAGTCTTCTTGATGCTAGAAAACGTATACTTTTGTTGGGGAGATGGTCTTACAGAAAGGTAGCTGAGATAATACTGAAGGCTCTTTGGTCCCCTATTCTCTGAGTATACACATGGAAGAGCTACAGCTAGAGTTAACGGTGAAGTCTGCCCTAATGCCAAGCGTGAACACCACAGCCCTTTTTTTTGAGACATGGTTCATGGCCCAGGCTGGAGTGCAGTGGTGTGATTTTGACTCACTGCAGCCTTGACCTCCTGGGCTCAAGGGATCCTCCCGCCTCAGCCTCCCAAAGTGTTGGGATGAGCCACTGTGCCTGGTGCCATTATTTTTTTAAAGGATGGATTATATTTTCACATCCTGACACCATTCAGAAAGTGAGGGGTCAGGGAGGCCAGGGAGGAGGCTATTCAGCAGTGTGACGTCAATTGTCTATTTGTTAGCCACAGTACAGGAAAATGCTATACTAAGCACAAAGGTGAAAGGACTGGGAGACTATGTACAATTGACTTGCTTTAAAGAGTAGCACAATGGAGCCATTTTAAGTAGCTTTTGAGAAACCTAGAACAAGGGTTCTTAGGACTGCATTCTTCCCTTTTGACTACAGAGTTATTATAATCAGGACTTAAAAAGAATAGTATTTGACAAGGTCAAAGATCGAGGATCCTTTCTTCTTTTTTACTCCAAACATGATGATCTTGATGAACAATAGTTTTTGTTGATCTGATTTTTAGTTTTCAGTTTTAAATAAGTAAAATCTTGTTCACCTTGGAGAGATTTCCCCCTGGAGCTGTGTTGTTAATTGTGTCTTCTTTGACTTTTCCTAATAGATAATCCAGCAGGCTGGCCAGGTTTGGTTCCCAGATTCTGCGTTTAAGACGTATCAGGCCATCAAGGACTTCAACCGGGAAGGGCTGCCTCTGATGGTCTTTGCCAACTGGAGAGGCTTCTCTGGTGGAATGAAAGGTGACTGGGCTGCCTGTGGGCTGGAGGGGCATCACTGATTACTGGGCACTCTGCGGCAGAGGGAGGGTATAGATTCAGCAGAATCTGTGGGTGTCCTAATAGCCTAGGCTTTTTGGGGATTCTGCCCTCTCTGAGACATCTTTTGAGTTGCAACTTGAATGGAAAAAAGTACATTTTATAATTCCATACAGAATTTCAGAATAATCTACTACTAGTGTTATTGAGGTGACCTACTGTTGTGGATCTCGCTCTCACAGATGGATGCTGGACCATTCTGATGGTGCTGGGGAAATATGATTGTGACTCTGTCCCTCTTTTCTGGGCATATACTTTGTTGGTGTTACTCCTAATGTTCTACAGTGACCAAGACAGATACTGAAATTAGCATTTACTGGAAGAAAATGAACAAATTCAGTACCAGAGGCTGTTCAGTACCAGTGGCAATTTGTGCTATGTTATATTATTATCTAACAACAGCCCTGGGCCTGTGGCTCCAGCATATTAGACCATTATTACAAAGGCTCTACTCCATGCTATGGGAATTGCTAAGTAATTAGGCAGCCAGTATCACCATTTACGGAGAAACCTTGATGTGTAGAGCGACTGTGGACACTACAGGGAGAGCCAAAGGAAACACTACCTCTTACAGTAGTGAAGCCCTCTGTCCCATGGCCAGATAATTCATGGCCATGCTAAGCCAGAGACTGCATACCTGGAGGGTATGAGAGTATGCTAAGTATAAATTCCATCTGTCTTGGGGAGAATTTGGGGTTCTAAAGCAATAGGATAGGGCCAGGCGGGGTGGCTCACGCCTGTAATCCCAGCACTTTGGGAGGCTGAGGCAGGTGGATCACTTGAGGTCCAGGAGTTTGAGACCATCCTGGTCAACATGGTGAAACCTTGTCTCTGCTAAAATACAAAACTTAGCTGGCGTGGTGGTGGGCGCTTGTAGTCCCAGCTACCCGGGAGGCTGAGGCAGGAGAATCACTTGAACCTGGGAGGCAGAGATTGCAGTGAGCCAAGATTGTGCCACTGCACTTTAGCCTGGGCAAAAGGGTAAGACTCTGTCTCAAAAAAAAGGAAAAAACAGTAGGATAGGTTAGGGGAAGGAGGGAGGAGTAGAAACTTTTGGAGTAAATAGTGATTAGAAAATGCTTAGGATGGCCAGGCGCGGTGGCTCACGCCTGTAATCCCAGCACTTTGGGAGGCCGAGGTGGGTGGATCACCTGAGGTCAGGAGTTTGAGACCAGCCTGTCCAACATAGTGAAACCCTGTCTCTACAAAAAATACAAAATTAGCCAGATGGGGTGGTGCATGCCTATAATCCCTAGCTACTTGGGAGGCTGAGGCAGGAGAATCACTTGAACCCAGGAGGCAGAGGTTGCAGTGAGCCGAGATTGCACCACTGCACTCCAGCCTGGGCGACAGAGCAAGACTCCATCTCAAAAAAAAAAAAAAAGAAAGAAAGAAAAAGAAAAGAAAATACTTAAGACATACAAAATGTGAAACAATGAACTCTCAATAGGGCACTTAAAAATAGCTTAGGGCAGAAGCACCCCCAGCCTATGAGGGAGGAAATGCCTGGGGAAACTACCAGATGGTCAGTTATGTGGCAAGAGGGATTTGAAATTTTTGCCGACAATTTTTCCTTACTCGTCTAGGAAGAGCCCTGTATGGCCAGGCCTCCTTGGCAAAATGTTGACTAGGTTGATTGTGTGTGTGTGTGTGTGTGTGTGTGTGTGTGTGTGTGTGTTTGGTTGAAAAGTTTACCTTTGCCTGTATTTGCTGGAGAACTACCACATTTTATACTTTTCTTGGGGGAGACTTGGACTATATATCCAAATTAATGATTGTATATATTTTTTAGATTATCAAGGTGAATTATTTTTTGACCGAGATAATAAATTAGTGGAAATACCATGAGAAATTGAGAGTATACGGTTAAGTCAATCCTACACATTTTTATTGAGTTCTGTGTGTTAGGAACTATGCTAGCCACTTCAGAGAACAAAAATAAGTCAAAATAAGTCAGAAACAATACATTGCTTCACAGAGACAAGAAAAATGTCTTGAGCAAAATGATAAAGCCATAATGTATAAACAAAATACCAGGATATTCAAAAGAAGATGGTAGTAGTATATCAAAGGGAAGGGGGGCCTGAAAACCCCTCATTCATATATATGAGGTTCATTCAGCATTAGATTTCACTTGATCCCAAATTCCTTGGCTCTAATATTTTTGTTGAGACCTGGGAGAGAATGCTATGCTATTACTCCTTACTTATCTCTTTGTGGGGGGCCCACTGAGAATGTACTCTTCCTGACATTACTTCAGAGTGTCACCCTGGATATTTTATCCTAACGGGAGTTCAGAGTTCAAAAGTTTCCAATGTGCCACTTCTAGGAAAAGCTTCAATTCTGCTACATATTTTGGCTCAGGCCCAGATTGGCTGCCGCGCTGTAACAGTAAGAACAACAACAATTAAGATTCATTGAGCTCTTTTCACCAGAAACTTGTGCTAACAATTTTACATGTATTATCTTACATAATCATCACAACAAGCACCTCTAAGGGGTAGGTTATATTGTTATGAACATTTTACATAAATTAAGATTTATGTAAATTAGGTTAAGTAAATTTCCCAAGCTCATTCAGCTACAAAATGGCAGAGTTGGGAAAGGAAGGTGGATCTGTCTGACTTCCTGTAACACAGTTGGCTGATGTGATGTAGCTCCCTGTAACACAGTTAGAGCCTAAAACCAGAACTAGATCTACTAGAATATCCCTATAACAGAATGTCAAGGTTCCTGAAAAAGTTATTATCCACCTACTTCCCCTCTACTTTGGGGATGTCCTTGGTTATTGTGAAAAGAAATTTCAAGAGCTCAGAAATGAGTTCATTTTTTATTGTGGTAAAATATACATAATATTTATCACTTTAATTATTTGTAAGTGTACAATTCAGTGGCACTAAATACATTCACAGTGTTGTGTAACTATCACTGGTATCTACACCCAAAACTTCATCATCCTCAACATAAACTCTATACCCCTTAAACAATAAGTACCCATTCCTTTCTCCCTGCTGCCCTTGGTCTGAAATGAGTTTTTGGCCTGATATATAGACCAGGGCAAGTTCTGTCTTAATTTTGGTGCTGATGCATCCTTTTACACCTCACGTAAGACAAATAAGACTTAGGGAAGATAGAGATCCCTGTGAAGGTAGGAGGGGGAGGAACAGTGCCTTTCATATTTACATACAGGTCAGGGTGTTGTATTATCTCATGTAAAGGGACCTAAACTGAGGGCCTCTTGTCATTCTTCACATCCCTTGGGGAGATGTTTGCAGTTTTGGTTTCAATACTGGCTGGGGATTATGCAGGGAGGGAAAATAAACAATTATGCCATCCCTCAGTGCACACAAACACACAGCCAGGAGCCGACTGCACTGTGGGTAAAATGACTCCAAAATTGTGTGTAATGAGTAGGAAAAGATTAGAGACAGCTCTTGCTATGCTGAAAATTGACATTAGTGAAGGGAAAAAAAAAAAACTCTACTAGTCGGCCTAGGAGGTCTAATTCGAGCAGTAAAGATATAAATAAATAAATAAAAGCATGTCAAGATGGTATTGGTGCTTTTTTTCAATGAGCTCTATCTGGCCGGAAGGCTATTCAGCATAATGCAAAATTAAATTATAAAAACTGGCTGAATATTTAGATGGAAGAGCCATTTGGAAGCAGTTTATTTAGACGAACCGGCAATGACCCACAACAGGGAGACATCAAGCGTGAAATTTACTAGAAATTAGCACCAGGGTCCCAGCCTCAGCATGAATAGCTTGATAGGATGCAAATCCCAGTGATATTAAGCTGCCTCACTGCTGGTGCTACAGGGTCACTCTCAGTTGGCTTTTCATGTTATACTTATTATTTTTTCCTGGGACAGGTTATAAATAACAATAAAAAAAATTTATTGAAAACTTTAACTGGAATGAAAGTCTATTTTAAAGTCTCTGATTACTAGGATGTTGAAATACAGTGTCAGCCGATCATAATGAACTAAGGAGAGACATTATGTATATGTAGCTTGTGTATGGCTAATGTTTACCTTCAGTTTCTAACAGATAATCTTGCCCAAGCCAATAAGATCTGTTTCATTTTCAAGAGTGTGGGACACTGTGGAAACACTCTGCCACCCTGTTCCCTTGTTTGATACACATGGCTGCCACGGTTTATCCATGTTTATAACAATAAAAGCCCTAGGCAGGGTTGGTGCCTAGGTGCTGAGAGCACACTGCAAAGGTTGTGTGTGGTCACCATTCATGCAGATGTGCTTTGCCCAGCATGCTAGAAAACTCCAAGCTCCCGCCTCTCCAGTGAGGAACCTATCAGTATTTTCCATTCCCAGTTGCGTTTCTCAGGGCCTGAGAATTGACAGCACGTGCATAGCTTTAAAATTCTGTAGACTGATTTCTAACCTAAACCCTTGGGGATCGCCCCTCCCCTGCTGCTATTGGCTGTGCTTTTGCTCTGTCTCTTAAATACGAAGGGATTTCAGACAATTGTGTGTCAGATTGTTGCCAAGTGTTTCAACCTGCCTTTCAAAATAAGTGGTTTGGGGCAGCTGCAGTTCAGTCTGAGCATGTCGATTACAGAGTTTATTTGTGTGTTTGTTTATATTTTAATAGCCTGCTTTTTGGGTGTTTTGATGGTTGGGCTGTGGGTCTATAGGTGTTCCAAGTTAGATGGAGGCAATATATTAGTCCCAAACATGTCAGCTTTAACAAACCCTGATGCTCCTTTCCTACTCACAGTCTTGGGGCCGAAAAATACTTGTTTGGCAGTCAGATCCAAGCCTCACACAGGCTGGTAGTGTTATCAGTATAGTTTTGAACATTTCTGAACACAGAGGAAATCCAGCAGCAGTTGGGAATATTCAGTCATGTATTCAAGTCTCTTTTTCTGGTTTTATTTTACTCATCATATTAGATGTTGGAAAGCAGAGTACCCCAGTCTCATGCTGTCTCTCCTAGCAGTAAGAATGAAGTAGTAGAGGCTGGGCACAGAGGCTTACACCTGTAATCCCAACATTTTGGAAGGCCGAGGTGGGCGGATGGCTTGAGCTCAGCGAGACCAGTCTGGGCAACGTGGTGAAACCCCGTCTCTACAAAAAATACAAAAATTAGCTGCGCATGGTGGCACGCACCTGTAGTCTCAGTTACTTGGGGTGTTGATGGAGGAGGATCGTCTGAACCCAGGAGGCAGAGGTTGCAGTCAGCTGAGGTCGTGCCACTGCACTCCAGCTTGGGAGACAGAGTGAGAACCTGGCGCGCCCCGCTCCCCACCTCAAAAAAAAAAAAGAATGAAGTAGTAGAATGTGGACATTAGGGCCAACAAGATCTAGATTTGAGTCTTATCTCCACCACTCACTCTTATTTAAGCCTCAGTTTACTCACCTGCAACTTGGATATATAAATAAGATAATGTTCTGATGATTAAATGATTTATATGTGTGTATATATAATCATGTTCCCTGGTACACAATAAGCTAGCCATGATGATGACAAAAAGGAGCCCACGTCCATTTCATAAAATTAAAAATCACACACACACACTCATCTTCATTTGAAACTGTTTGCATATACTATGAAATCTAGTATTTTTTTAATAGATGAATGAAAATACATTTTAAATAAAATCTCCCCTTCTTTTTGAGATGTCAATCTGTTAATTATAATACAGAGATAGATTTTGTTGTAGCTAAGTCTTTAACAAGAAGAAGTGAGTAAAAGAGCTGGAAACTTTGTCTTCACTTACCTCTAACTTTTTTTTTCTTTTTCAGGTAGAATGACTTTTTGTGCTGTCTTTTATTGCTTTATTTTCTCCTTTTATCTATACCTTTCATTTCCTCTCTTTGTATGATATCATTGAGGGACACTTTTCTGTTACTTGTTCGGAGACTGTACTCTTGGCAGCACTGAAAAATGTACTGCTAATTACACAATTATTTTATTATGTAGCACTGGTTGAAATATCCACTAAAGAATTAATTTAGTTAAAATAATTTGAACTGAGCAATTATTTTCATAACTACAGAATTAGCGTAAAGCACTTAAAGTCCTTTATTCCCTGCTCTTCATACAGCAGTTGTTAATTAGCAGTAAATTTTTTTGGTCTTAGCTTTTCTCCCAAAGGAATAAATGTCTTCACTCTGATCATATACATGGAGTACATATCATACACATTCCACATAGAGTAGGGGGTGTTTTCTGGGGTAACTTGGAATTTCTGAAGTCTTCACAGACACACCAGGTTGGGGCAGTGGAGCATGTGCCTTGCAGTGAACTGTGCTCACTGATAGTTTGTATATTAAGCCATTTTTACTTTGGAGAAGGTGGCAGTTTAATTTGCCAGTAACTACAATGAAAGCAATTTCTATTTGGTTTGCTCTTAACTTCCTGAAAAATGCTTCTTTGCCTTGGATTCCCAGAATTGATTTATTCCAAATTGAGATCCTCTCTTTGATAAGAAAGTTTGATCTCAGTTGAACCTGTTATTTGGTATTTAGAAAGGATCCATTGTGGCTCCACTGAAGTACTCATTAAACATCTGGACTCATAAACCTAAAGCTTTAGCAATGGACTTCAGTGAGCTGGGAAATGGGAAGTCCATAAAAAGTTGGGAAATAAATAACTGATCCAGTTTTCCAGGGACTCACTTTATGTGTACATCATGGGTCCTTTTCTTCAGGCTGCTCCTGGCTTTGGAGGGATTACAAAATGTACTCTTTTTTTTTTTTTTTTTTTTTTAAAGGCAGGGCCTTGCTGTGTTACCCACACTGGAGTACAGCAGCATGATCACAGCTCACTGCAGGTCTCAGCCTCCTAGGCTCAGATCCTCCCACCTCACCCTCCTGGGTTGCTGGGACTATGGGAATGTGCCACCATGTTTTGCTAATTTTTTTGGTTTTTGTAGAGATAGGGTCTCTCTCTGTTGGTCTTGAACTCCTGGGCTCAAGCGGTCCTCCCACCTCAGCCTCCCAAGGAGCTGTGATTATAGGTGTGAGCTACCATTCCCAGTCTACAAAGTGTAGTCTTTAGCAGAATGAAGAGGTGGTTCCTCTCTTGTTTTTTGTTTATTTTGTTTTATGTTGTTTTTGAGACAGGGTCTTGTTCTGTCACCCAGGCTAGAGTGCAGTGGCAAGATCATGGCTCACTGCAGCCTCGACCTCTTGGGCTCAAGTGATCCTCCCACCTCAGCCAAGTGACTGGGACTGCAGGCATGCACCACCATGCCCAGCTAATTTTTTATTATTTGTAGAGACAGGTTCTCACTATGCTGCCCTGGTTGGGTCTGTTCTTCTCATGTGGCTGTGTGGTATTTCCTAAGTATTTTTAAAATTTTTCTCTCATTGATACCCTATAAAAATGCAACTGTTAAAGAATTTGTCTTTCTTTCTCATTATATTCTTTCCAGAGTATATAACTAATTTATTCAGCATTCATTCATTCAGCAGATATTTGTTGAGCACTAACTATGTTCAGGCACTGGGCAGGGATATCGGGATACCAAGATGAAAAATAGTTTTTGAAGATAAAATTTTTAAAGGATCAATTTCCATTAGGTGCACATTTGAAGAGCTCATCCTATGCTAAGCATCATGAGAATAACTGAAAAGAGGTAGAATAGTTCCTTCCTTTAGTAAACTTACTGTAGTGGGAGAGCACATATTGACATGAAAAATACTCAACGTTTGTAGAGCAAATGTGAATTAATGTGGTGAAACGTGAGTACAGAAATTCAGAGAGGATATAAAATGGAAAGGCAATCTGGAAGACTTACACACTGTATCTTGTGAAAGACAGTGCATCTCTCTGTTGCTGTCTTGTGCTTTTGAAGATCCTCTGGAGTCTTGAATGGGATACAGGTCGATACTCCCTTTAGTCTATAGGGTGGCCAAACAGGAGGCATAGTATAAGGAGGCTCTTCGTGGCCAGAGGTCCTGAACAGTGTTTAAAAGTACTGCTTTGAGGAAGAGAAATTTCTTGATTTCTAATTTGTCTCATTCTCCATAGATATGTACGACCAAGTGCTGAAGTTTGGTGCTTACATTGTGGATGGCTTGAGGGAGTGCTGCCAGCCTGTGCTGGTTTACATTCCTCCCCAGGCTGAGCTGCGGGGTGGCTCCTGGGTGGTGATTGACTCCTCCATCAACCCCCGGCACATGGAGATGTATGCTGACCGAGAAAGCAGGTAGCGTGCCTTCCACATTTCCATTCACTGCCTTTAGGGACCCTGTAGCTGTTGGTTTCCTCCTGGAGAATGTTACAGCCATGGCACTACAGCACCCACATCCTGTGATTCCAAACCAAAGCTTTTTCCTTCCATTACAGTCCAGGTCCTCACTCTAGCATTTCAGGAAGCTGAAGACCATGGTGTTTGTAGCACCCAAAAAAACTGTAAGGGAGAACCTCAGGCTTATTGGGAGGTGGTACCTGAAACTACCTAAATAAAACAGATCTAATCTGGCATCCTTTCATAGTCTGTTCTCACCTCTTTCCTAAGTAAACTTCAAAACGTGTTTCTTTGACATTTTCCAAGGAAATTCTTACCTCCAGTCGTTTTAGTGGACCGCCCGCTTCTCTCTTGTCCCCCCAGATTCAGCCTTCTATGTCAAAGGCTGCTTAGGAGAGTCCAGTAGTTTCACTGTCAAACCTCTAGGCTGAGAGGCTTATTATTTACATTCTGTACTTAGGGGTTTATTATTTTTTAAGTCCTAAACTCATCTGATATCAGATCAGAGACAATTCCTCTATAGACTTTGGAATCAGACTGTCTGGTTTCAAATCCAGTTCTGCCTCTTGTTATATTTGGACGAGTCTCATAACTTACTAAACTGTAGTTTCCTCACCTGTAAAATGGGAATAATCACAGAACCTTACTACATAGTAGATGGAGACTGGGCATAGGATTGTTGTAAGGATTTATATGTAAGTTATTAGAACAGTGCCATGTACATAGTAAACATTATCTATAATTTTTTTAAACTAGAAAGCTGTGGGTTTTTTTTTAAACATGTTTGGGGTAAAGTTTCTGGGGACTGAACATCATTAGTATGCACTAAAAGTAACCCTGAGACCTTTGACTCTGCTCATTTCCATAGCGCTGGGCAGAATGTTTTACCTCCTACTTGGCCTGGCTTAGTGTGTCTGATCAGTGTCCTACAAGCAGACTGACAGCTGTGGTATAGGTGAGGTAGATAGATAGATAGATAGATAGATAGATAGATAGTATTGATGAAGTATTGCCCTTCATTATTGTACATCCTACGTGATGGAGGTGGTTCCCCTGTCACTGTGCCTACAGCATTTTTTTCCCCTGGAAAATAATGTGATTCCTGTTACTCTTATCAGCTGTAGGTGGTGGAATCTGTATTCTTCTCCCTTTGAAATGGAAGTCGACTGGTGTGGTAATGAGAATTATTTTAATTGCTTTTTGCCAGGCCTTTCTCATACCTCACTTAGACACTTCTCTGGTGCCTACTGTTCTCCCCGGGGAGATGTCTGTTAACCATAGGTGGGCAAAATGATAATGAAGCTATTTCCTGGTCTACAAATTGTAACTGGCCTCATTCTGTTGTCTCCTTCCTTTAAAGTGCCTCTATTTCTGTTTTGTTTTTTCTTTCTTTCTGATCCAGGGGATCTGTTCTGGAGCCAGAAGGGACAGTAGAAATCAAATTCCGCAGAAAGGATCTGGTGAAAACCATGCGTCGGGTGGACCCAGTCTACATCCACTTGGCTGAGCGATTGGGTATGTCTGCTTGTCCTTCTGGCAAATCAATGAGCCATTCAGCTGATTTGTAATGAGTGCATTCATAGGCCAGGGGAGGAGGCACTGAAGCATTTGATCAAATTCATGATAATCTTTATTTACTGTCCTCTATATGGTAAGAACCCTGGTAGAATGAAATAGTGTGTATAATAGGGAAAGTGAGCCCTAAAAAAGCAAAAGTCACCTGATTTTTTTTCCTGATATTTCCTTAGAGTACAAAAAGCCCGTCTTTCTAAGATGTCCTTGTAGAGAATGATTAGCTAGAGTTGCTGCTGGGGGCAGGCCTCACCAGAGAATATGCTAGATTTAAATATGTCCTGTTTCTGCTTGTTTCTTTGGACAGCTCACTTCATTTCTGAGAGATGGGATAGAAAAGCAGGAGTCTTTACCCAGGTGGTGTTCCGGGGTCTTCCTGAGCTAGAGAAATAGAAGTAAAGATTGCGCACTGTGTGCTTCCAAACAGTAGCTGCAGCCAGAATAGCCCTGAGAGCAGGCGTGCTTAATGCTTCCAGCCATTGCTCTGTTGCTCATTTGTTTTCAGAGCTTTTGGAAGCCACTTGGCAATTTGAACATAGGACTAAACCATGGGAGTCCTGTGTTGAGTCCAGAGTCTAAATGAGTTTCAGATTCTTTTAAAACACTGATTTTCTGCCCAGGTCTCCCATTGAGCCCCTTGCTATGTTAGTAAAGATAATTGCTCGAGGTTCTTTTGTCAGTTGGTTTGTCTTGTTTTTGTTTTTTTCTAAAGGAACAGAGATTGCCTTTAAAAGGTAGTGAAACTCAGTGAATGGAGAAGAGAGATGCTAGCTCATTTATGTTCCAAGTGGTAATTTAATTAATAAAGTACCATTTGTGGACTGTATATCCCCACCATCCAGAGACAGAAAAATCCCGTTTGCCTACACTGTGGAGACTGTACATCCAGGCATTTGGAGCCCTGAGCCAGGTTGCCTGCCAAACACGGTGACTTGGGTTACAAGAAACCCTGTTTGTGTCCCATTGTTTGCCACTGGGTAACAGCCACCAATAACTCTAACTCACCACAGTCTGATCCTTTTATGGGGAATGCACACATACAAGAAATGAGAGTTGTTTCTAAAATCTATTGCCACCCAGAATTGAGGTGGGTTTTTTCTCTTTCTTTTCCAAACAGAATAATTACTTCTGACCAACCCTGTACACTTTAATTAAAGTAACTGCAGCTCAAGAGCAAGTTACTTACAACTGTTCATAGAGAGAGCTCTAAAAGCTTCAGCCACTGATAAGCATCTCACTTAGATGGCTCATAATTGCTCCCAGCATCCCCCAATTGTTGCCGCTGTGTTTACCACTAATTCCATACAAAGGCAGCAATGCCGCAATTGCAGGACACAGCAAATTGCATCATTTTCCTTTTTCCTTTTTTTCTTCCTTTTTCTTTTCCCTTTTTTTTTTCTTTTTGCTGGTTTTCTTTCTGGCCAATTTAAAATTTGTCAAAGTCGGTCTTCTTCTGGATCACTGCCCTTTGATATTTCGCGCACTCCATTTGCCACAAACAAGCCGCAGGGCCGCAGTTCATGCTGACTCTAGCAGAAGCAGAGAGAGCTCCATTTATCTTACACTGCCTGCTGAATTCCTACTCATTAACTGGGGGTTCACTGCCTCTTTTTAACCCCCCAATGGCTGTTATCATCCCTTCAGAGTAACTGGGTGGTAGGGAGAGGGATCCTTTCTCCTTTTGCAGAAGGACTGGATGGTGAGGGGTGTGGAGATAAAGCTTCTTTCTCTTCAAGGAAAGTGATGTCGCTCCCACCTTCAACCAGCACCTTTTAACTTTTGAAGCACATGAAGGGGAGAGGGAGGAGACTCCCAAGTGATAGCCGTTTAATCATTTGTTACAAATCATCTCATTATCAATTTCCTATCCGCATTGGAGAAAACCATATTTATTTAACCTTGACCAAAATGGCACTTGAAAAAGGACCCTTAGTCTGCTAAATGTGAAGCAGGCTCTGGCCTAGGGCAGCTTGGGAACATGAGCAGTGGACTTGGAATAAGAATAACGAACTACGAGTCTTGTAAATTATTTAACTTCTCCGAACATCAGTTTTTTTCCAACCATAAAGTGGAGATCACACCTCTGCCTAGCTAATATGAGGAGCAGATGAGCATGCATTTACTTCATTGCATCATTATCTTTCTGTCTTAATCATTAGAAAAAGCAGATGGCCATGTTTGGTATCCAGTATTCTCTGTGGCTCAGTCCCACATGTGAAAATATGAAAGAAACAGAAGTATAGTCCTGTCTCTCAGGGATATCCTATACGGGCAGCTGTCTCTGCGACAAAGCAGGTCAGCCTAGATATAACAGGACATATTATGAACCCAGTTCCTTTGGGGTTCACAATGATTCTGGCTCTTTTAGTTTGCCTAGAACCAAACTACCAAAATTCTTTTTCACAAAGTGGGTGAAAATGGTCTCATTTTTCAGACTGGGAAATTGAGGCCAAAAAAGTGAATCATCTAAGATACAAAATAAATAAATGTACATCAGAGTCCAGAATGGAATTCTCATTCTCTGTGTTCTCCTTTTCTCAGGATTTCTTCAGATTTTTCCTCAACTGAATACTGAGCCCGAACTAAATTAAACAAGGATTCTTTCCTTTTGTAATCTAAAGCCATTTCCACAGAGAAAATCTGATTTAGGAGAAAGCCTGTAGGAGTGGATGTTATCTTGTGTTGCCGTTCTCTCCCCAAATCTGCCTCTTTACTGGGGAGCGTGCTCACAGATCACTTAGACAAACCAGCGCACAACTGATTGACTGTGTTCAAAAACATAATTACTCCGGGCACGGTGGCTCACGCCTGTAATCCCAGCACTTTAGGAGGAGGAGGCAGGCAGATCACCTGAGGTTGGGAGTTCAAGACCAGCCTGACCAACATGGAGAAACCCCGTCTCTACTAAAAATACAAAATTAGCCGGGCATGGTGGTGCATGCCTGTAGTCCCAGCTACTCAGGAGGCTGAGGCAGGAGAATCGCTTGAACCTGGGAGGTGGAGGTTGCAGTGAGCCGAGATCGCGCCATTGCACTCCAGCCTGGGCAAGAAGAGCAAATCCCTGTCTTTAAAAAAAAAAAAAATCATAATTGCTATGTATTTTATAAGAATGAGTAATATTTGACTTCTGAGCAGCTAACTTCATCTCTTCTAGAATTTTTATTTTTTTAAATGGCCTTTTGTCATCTTACATGGTTAGTTTGGGTGGAAAGATGGTGAATTACTAGTTTGCAGGTCTGTGATTATAACAGAAAATATGTAAATAGTGCCTACACTGATTCCTAATAGAAGTAAAGGGAAGAATTACCTCAGAAAGAAAAGTGAGCAAAGCCCAGGCCCCAGAGTCTTGCATTGCTGAATCAGTTCTGACCCTGATTCACAGAACCAGGGCTTGGTAGAGTCATTGCAAGGAGGAGAATTACTTCCTACCATTTGGTTGCCTTAAGGAAATTAAATTTCTTCTCTGGAAATGGAGCCGCAGCCCTCCAAGTCCTTTTTGTCTCTCTCTGACATCCTTCTACTGCCTCACAAGGCCAGGAGCAGGGAGAGTGGCTGTGGAGCGGGACGGCCTTGCTAGCCTGGCCTCTTGAGTGCTGTGACCTGAGGTCCTCTCCTGGATCCTTCCCCTCCTCTTGTGTTCAGAGAGAAATGACAAATCAATTTAGATGGAGAGAGAACTGTCCAGCCCAAGTGTGAAGCAATTGTAAGTTCCCCACTGTCCCTCTCTCTCAAAATGAAGAGCACCTGGGCAAAGGAGCCGCTTAGGGGAACTTGTTCTTAGTTGTGGCCCTGTTCCCAGGCAGCTGGGCAGCCTGCCATGCAGCACCGCACTGCGCCCACACAGAACATGCCCTGACTGCCTGCCACAGGGAGCAGCAGCATGGACTGAGTGAGCACTGCTGCTGGCCCTTGCCTGGTCCTTCTAGGCCTGCCCACACCCACCATGCCTTCAGGGTCAAGGTTGCCCCAGGTGCAGATATGGAGCATTGTGGTGGCAGGTGAGGATACGCTTCTCTGTAAAAATCTTCAGGAATGCCTTCCTCCCAAGCCTTCTCTAGCAGCCAGAATGACAGGAAAAGGACTGTTCCCTGGGCTAAGGGGACTTAAGGGTTAAGCTGCTTTTCTGGCAGAGGTGATCAAAGTATCTGAGCTGTGTTTTTCCAACTCTTATGTCCATCTTCGAGAGGCTGAAAGCTGAAAAGAGCCAGAGTTGCTTGTTTGAGGCAGAAAGTATGTCTTTGCCTGGAAAGTTAAGACTAGGAAAGAAAGAAGTTCCGATACGCATGCCTTAGTGAGTGGTCTTTCACCTCTCACCTGTTGAACTTGGAGTGTCCTCACTGACACTATGGCCACTGTGTCCTTTGCGGTAAGGAGGCTGATGAGAAATAACACGAGGCTTTCTATCACGAAGGTAGATATGGGATCTTGCCTCCTCTCTTTTGTTAGCAGTAGCTGAAAACCTACCCCTCACACTGATTCAGAAGCTATTTGGCTCGGTGAAGTTTAGTGCAATAGTGACAAAATTTTCTGAGAAGAGAAAGGGGTCATTTTAGTTTGATCCTTTAATCTGATTGTATTTATAAAAGCACCTGGGCTTGCCTCCCCCAAGGAAGCAGTGTTTCACAATTCTGTATGGCCAGAGGGACCTGGCAGGCATTTAGTTAGAGGGAACCCAAGAGAAAGCTGTCATCAGAATGTGTCTTGGTCCCAAATGACCAGATCCCCGTATCCTGACCTGCCAGACATAGGGAGAGCAAATTAGGGAAGGAAAATAATGAAGACTACAGAGGCATATTTCTACCAGAAGAATTCAGAGAATTCTGTGCTGTTCCCTGACCTTTTTTATATGGATATGTCTGCGTGGAAACACAGGGACGGGACTGATGGGGGAGCAGTATTTTTTTTTATTCCTGTTTGGAAATCTCTGGGTTTTCTATTAATATAATGATTTTTAAAAATATGAACAGTAGAGCACTAACACTGTTGCAGGGAACTTTAGGGTTAAACATCCCCTGAGAGGATTGCTGTTAAAATCAATATGCAAATGTGAGTGTATTTAGATAGGTATGGCCCCCTTTGAAGAAAAGCAGATATATGAAAATGGGGTTTTAAAAAAAGCTAGATACATTGGGAGAAATTATTCCCATTACAAAAGGATTATTTGCCTTACCAAAGGATTCACTGCAGGGTTCCTCATAAAATAGCTCCCTTAAGGCATTTAAAACAGGATCTGATTTACGCAGTTTTTCAAGAATGCTTTTGTGTAAAGAAAGGCACACCTGTTATGGATATAGAAATAGTTTTGCAGGATTTTTTTTTTTTACCTATCTTACTATGTTTATAGAAAAATTTCTTTCAACATAGAAAATGTGATTACATAGATCTTTTAAACAACTGCTTGTGTTTGTACTTCTGAATCTTAATAAGATTCCAGTCTTTTTTATGCTGATTTTTCAGTCTCAAGGTTGAGGGATGGGAGTATGTTTTAACATCTGAGATATTCAGGAGCTTTCTGGGGAGGGTGGTCTTGTTCTTATCTCTAGCATCATAAGTATTGAACCATTCAAAGCAAATTGCTTTCTTTCTTTCTTTCTTTTTTTTTTTTTTTTGAGACAGAGTTTCGCTCTTGTTGCCCAGGCTGGAGTGCAATGGCACGATCACGGCTCACTGCAACCTCTGCCTCCCGGGTTCAAGCAGTTCTCCTACCTCAGCCTCCTGAGTAGCTAGGATTATAGGCATGCACCACCATGCCCGACTAATTTTGTATTTTTAGCAGAGATGGGGTTTCTTTATGTTGGCCAGGATGGTCTTGAACTCCCGACCTCAGGTGATCCGCCCGCCTCGGCCTCCTAAAGTGTTGGGATTACAGGCATGAGCCACCGTGCCTGGCGCAAATTGCTTTCTTAAGTAAAGGAAGAAGGGCCCATCAAAGTTAAAATTGGATTTAAATTTACATAGGCTTCTTAGTATAACTGTTTTGGTTTTGTTTTTGTTTTTGAGATGGAGCCTCGCACTGTCGCCTGGGCTGGAGTGCAGTGGCGTGATTTTGGCTCACTGCAACCTCTGCCTCCCGAGTTCAAGCGATTCTCCTGCCTCAGCCTCCCAAGTAGCTGAGATTACAGGTGCCTGCCACCAAGTATAACTTTTTTAAAAGTTGAGAATGTTTTTAAAAACACTTTAATATCACATTCTTTTATAAAACATTTTCCCTGTTTGCCAGACTGGGATTGTTGTTACATAAATGAGGAACTCAACTCAGAAAAGGAAAAAGATTTCTACAAGGTCGCCTAGAGCCTTTGGCTGAGCAGAGAATTTTTAGTCTACCAGTCTGATTTTTATTCCAAGCTTTGAAGATGTCACCTCCCCCAAATCCTACTTTTAGGATGTAGTTTGTTCATACACAGACTAGGGCTGACCTTCTCCTGGCCTATTTAAGTGATATGGCTGGGCAAAAAATTGCCTCCTGCTGCAGAAATCAGCCGTTTCCTCTGGGAGTTTCTCTTTAGCTTTTTTTTTTTTTTTTTTTTTTCGGTCAGAGACAGATTCTCACTCTGTCTGCCAGCCTGGAGTGCAGTGTCATGATCACAGCTCACCACACCTCGACCTGTCAGGCTCAAGCAATTCTCCCACCTCAGTCCCAAGTAGCTAGGACTACAAGGCATGCGCCACCACATTCCGCTAATTTTAAAATATTTGTAGAGACAGAATTTCCCTGTGTTGCCTGGGCTGGTCTCAAACTCCTGGCCTCCGCAGTCCTTCCCACCTTGGCCTCTCAAAGTGCTGATATTACAGGCATGACCCACCGTGTCCAGCCTCTCTTCACCTTTGATACCATGGAGGAGAAATGTGGCTTTTCTTTGTATCCTGGCTCCAGGGAACACCTGATAGGCCACTGTGCTGCGGATACTTTCAAGTCAATTTGAACTGCTTTGTTTAAGGAGCATGGGCTCTTAAACCAGATTACCTAGTCCAAAATCACAACTCCACTGTTGCCTAGCTTTGTGGCCTTGGGTGAGTTACTTTTTTGTGCCTCAGTTTCCTCATCTTTTAGGATTGTTGTAAGGATTAAATGAGATAAAAAGTACTTTAACAGTACCAGCACACAGTAACATCTCAATAGTGTTAGCTCTTCTTATTTGACCAGTGATATTTCGTCTCTGTTTAACTCTTTAAATTTTTTAATTAAAAGTGTGCATTTTTAGGATTTCATGGGGACTTATTTTTTAAGAGACAAGGTCACCCTCTTTCACCTAAGCCAAACTTGTCCAACCGTGGCCTGCAGGCCACATGTGGCCCAACACAAATTTGTAAACTTTCTTAAAACATTACGAGATTTTTTTTACAATTTCTTTTCCAGCTCATTGGCTATCGTTAGTGTATTTTATGTGTGGCCCAAGATAATTCTTCTTCTTCCAATGTGGCCCAAGGAAGCCAAAAGATTGGACACTCCTGACCTAGGCTGGAGTGCAGCAGCACAATCATAGTTCACCGCAGCTTGAACTCCTGGGCTCCAGCGATCCTCCTGCCTCAGCCACCAGAGTATCTCTGGGACTACAGGCACGCTTCACCATGCCTGGCTAATTTTGGGGGGCATGCAGGAGGAAAGACAGGGTCTCGCTCTGTTGCCCAGGCTGGTATTGAACCCCTGGGCTCAAGCCATCCTCCCACCTTGGCTTCCCAAAGTTCTGAGATTACAGGTGTGAGCTACCACACTTGGCATTTTGTGTGTGTGTGTGTGTGTGTGTGTGTGTTTGTGTGTTTGTAGAGACAGGGTCTTGCTTTGTTGTCCAGGCTGATCTTGAAATCCTGGCTTCAGGCAGTCCTCCCAACTTGCATAGGGACTTTTTATTTTGGATAGGAAAGGATGGGAGCACCTACCTTTTTACTCCCACTCAGCCATTTCCTAATGTAGAATTCTAGAAAAGAATGACTTTTCTCTCTGTAGCATATTCTTAAACACACTCACACACGTGTACACACCAACTTGCTTTCCTAAAATCCCTGAGGCCCTGCAATCTGGCTAGAAAAGAAAGAAAACCATTTCAAGATATTTAATTGTACAGGGAGCTTACAGCATTGATCGAGAGCTTAGCTTTTTACAATAGTCCAGTGAATAAGAAATGCTCCTGACAAACGATCAATGATAGGATAATCACTCTTTATCCCCCTCCTCATTCTTACCTTCTTTCTTTCAGGAGAACAGGGTTCAGAAGTCAAAAATCTTTATAGACGCCACTTTTAAATTAAGCAGAAAATAGACATTGACATATTTGTTAATCTCCCCTAAATCATTACCGGGGCTGGCTGCTTTGCTGTACAAGGAGAGAGGGGCCCTCGGTGTGCAACACATGATATAACTGGCTTAATAGCAGCCTTTTATTTTTAGAAAATAAAATTTTAAAAATCTTTTTTCCCCTAAAACAAAGCACACAAATCCTTGACCTTCACATGGGCATTTAAAAACACATATATTCTCCACTTCAGTCTTTTCCTTGTTTTGATGCTTTTTTGAGGTGGGTCTTGAACCATAATCAGAGGCATTACTGAAGGAATCAAACAAGGTAGGCTTTGGAGGAATGCCCTGCAATCTTCCTAGTCTCAGGAGGGCCAGAGCATTACAGGCATTTATTTTGTTATTCTTTCAAAGCTCTAGAATAGCTTGATTGAGAGGGCAAGACCTTTGTTAGCCCAGAAGCCAGCATCCTCCGTCCTTCCAACTTGGCGAAGCCAAAGCCTGGTTTCTGAAACACTGTCCTCAGCCCGTAGCTGCTCCCTCTTCTGCAGCCAGTGCTGAGCCTTGCTCTTAACTCCTTGCGAACAACAAACCAACTCTCCAGCTGGTTTCCCTATAGTGGCCACTGCAGGATATCTGCTTGCCAGCCTTCAATACCATTTAATGTGGAAGAACACAGGCTTTGGAGAGAGCCAGACCCAAGTGTAAATCCTGACTTTGCCACTTAAGAGCTGGATGCAGCCAGGTGCGGTGGCTCACACCTGTAATCCCAGCACTTTTGGAGGCCGAGGCAGGCAGATCACCTGAGGTCAGTTTGAGACCAGTCTGGCCAACATGGTAAAACCAAATCTCTATGAAAAATTCAAAAATCAGTCAGGCTTGGTGACGGGCACCTGTAATCCCAGCTACTTGGGAGTCTGAGGCAGAAGAATTGCTTGAACTCAGGGGGCAGAGGTTGCAGTGAGCCGAGATCGTGCCACTGCACTCCAGCCTGGGCGACAGAGCAAGACTCCGTCTCAAAAAAAAAAAAAAAAAAAAAAAGAGCTGGATGCCATTGGGGAAGTCCCTTTACATTTCAGAGCTGTGGTTTTCTTACCTGTAAAATAGACACCCTGGCATAAAGTTGAGTTGTCCTAAGGATTGGAGATCATGTACCTGAAGCAACTGGGAAAGCACGCAGTAACGTTGAAGTATTCAGCTTGGCAGCAGTGTTAACAGCTGACCAGATGTAGGTGTGTAGATCTGTATTGTGCTTGGTGATTATGATATGTGATCCTGAAAGATTTGAGTGCAGTGAGTGGTAAATGCTCAATAAATGGTGTGTTAGATATGGTCCATGTATATGTGCGTTTAGCCATGTCAGTGGTCTTGCCATCCCTTTGCTCCCTGCAGGGCTGTGACTTTACCTATTATTGTATTAGTTCTTGAACTCACAGTAACAAGAGACACAACTCTTAAATCTTAGGCCTGCCTAGGAAATTGCATCTGAATGGGAACTATTGGAGACATTGTCCTGGTCTTAGTTATGGAATTGGGACTAAGATAGAACCTTTATCAGCCAGGAGCCCACCATCATCACTTAGCCTCTCAGAAATTAAAGGGACACTACTACTGAAGCACGTGTCTTCTGCCCAAGTAAGCGAGAAGAGACAGCTAACAGTGTTCAAAAGCTTTGGGACCCAAACTGCTGCATTTGAGTCTTGGCTCTGTCACTTGCTAGCTTTGTGACCTTGGTAAGTCCATAAATTCTCAGTGCCTCAGTCTCCTCACCTGTAAAATGGGAATAATAAGAATACCAGACTCCTAAGGTTGTTGTGATAATAAATTAATAGATATAAAGCACTTAGAATGGTGCCCAGTACCCTATAAATATTAGCTTTGATTATTGATTGTATGCATTGGATAGCCAGGAATAAGTTTTCTTTTCCAGCTTGCCTAATTTTTAAAACTTTCCAATTTCACAAAAAAGTTACAAGAATAATACAATGCTTTTTTCTCAAATTCACCTATTGTTAATATCCCAATGCTTTATTATTTCTGCATATTCACATGTGTACATGTATTTATTCTCTCTTGCTCCACACACATATGCATTTTCTTTGAGCCATTTGAAAGTAATCTGTGGACCTCTTGCCTTTTTTTTTTTTTTTTTTTCTGAGACAGTCACTCAGGCTGGAGTGCAGTGGCGCCATCTTAACTCACTGCAAACTCCAGTTCCCGGGTTCAAGCAATTCTCACGCCTCAGCCTCCTGAGTAGCTGGGATGGCAAGCATGTGCCACCATGCCTGGCTAATTTTTGTATTTTTAGTAGAGACAAGGTCTTGCCATGTTGGCCAGGCTGGTCTCAAACTCCTGGCCTCAAGTAACCCACCTACCTCAGCCTCCCAAAGTGCTGGGATTACAGGTGTGAGCCACCCCGCCTGGCCCTAATGCTTCTTTATTCATAAATATTAGTGTGTATTTCTAAGAACACAGACTTTCTCCTACATAACCACAATACATTTATCAAAATCAAGAACTGTAAACATTGATACTACTGTCTAATCCATGATTCATATTAAAATTTTACCAATTGTCTCAATGTCCTTTTTAGTTTTTTTTTTTTTTTTTGAGGGGCGGTCTGAGATCTGATCTAATGAGCATACATTGAAATTCATTGTCAAGTATTTTTGGTCTCTTTTAATCTGGACTGATTCTTTGACCTTTGTTTTTCATGTTTTTCACATTTTTGAAGAGTGAGCCACTTTTTTTGTAGCATGTTTCCTCAGTTTGGGTTTGTGGTTAGATTTCGATTCTGCTTTTTGGGCAGGAATGTTGCGGAAGTCATGTTCTGTCCTTCTCAGTACATCATCAGGAGTCATGGTATCAGTCTGTCCTCTTGGTGATAATTTAATTACTTGCTTAAGGTGTTGTTCACTAGGTTAATCCACGATAAAGTTACCATTTTCCCCTTTGTAATTAATAAGTGATTTGTAAGGAATATTTTAAGACCTTGTGAATATTCTGTTTCTTATCAAACTTTCACCCACTGGCTTTGACATCCATTGATGATTCTTGGAAGAGTAATTTACAGTGATGCTTGTAAAACGGTGATTTTTCTAATTCCATCATTTCCGCTACACTTATTGTTCTTCTGCTGGAAGAGAGAGTGTTCCCTTTCCCTTCTCCCTCATTTAATTACTTATATGAGGGTGAATTGGTAGATTCTAGTTTCATTCCACAAATATTCTGTCTGTTAATAAATATCATTATTTATTTTAGTGTTCATTGTCCCAGAATTGGGCAGTGGGAACACATTCAAAACTGGCTCCTGCATTTTTCTAACATGTCTCAATCGTTTTTTGAGGGCTTCCTTGTTTTTTTGTCACAATATACCCCAGGTTCATCTGATGTTTTCCCTACCTCATCCCTAGAATCAGCTATTTCTCCAGGGAATCTTGGTTTCTTTCTGTGGAGAAGGGAAAATATTTGCTTCCCTAACAAGGGTGTTCTGAGAATGTCTCATCTCCGAAGACACCAGCCAGCCCTCCATCCCTCAGCCCTCCTCCCATCAGCCCTCTTGCCATCAGCCCTCCCTCCATCAGCCCTCCTCCCATCAGCCCTCCCTCCATCAGCCCTCCTGCCATCAGCCCTCCCGCCATCAGCCCTCCTGCCATCAGCCCTCCCGCCATCAGCCCTCCTGCCATCAGCCCTCCCGCCATCAGCCCTCCTCCCATCAGCCCTCCTGCTATCAGCCCTCCTCCCATCAGCCCTCCTCCCATCAGCCCTCCATCCCTCAGCCCTCCCGCCATCAGCCCTCCAGGCAGATCTACACTAGAATGCAATGGGCCTTTGTGTCATCCCTTAGTGTGGGGCCCGGTGCGTTCATGCTGTTCAGGTGTTTTGGAAGGAACACTACTGAGGCGCCGGGGCCTAAAGCAGCAGATCAGTGGCACCTTCATCACAGTTTTAAAATGGTGATGAGCTTAAAAAAAGAGGTAGAGTTGGGCATCCAAAAAACTAATAAAAATGAAACTTAAGTACTATAGTTACATCCCTCCTCTGTTAACCTGTGTTTATGTATAATACGGCTCAGTCAGCAGCCCAAGGCTGTTTTTATGGCATATGATTCATTGTGGTGTAAAAAACAAGGCCTGTTCCCAGACAGGCATGCTTGAAATAGACCTTCCTCTTCTGCATCCTATCACCTGTGCTCATGTATTTATTTGTCAGCTTTGGTGACAAAGCACTTCAGGGTGTCCCTAACACCAGGGGCTGTCACCTATTGCTCCTTCAGCTAGGCTTACTCCTCCTTACTAGGCAGGCAGCTAAATTTTCAGTATTGATTGCAGATCCCATTCTGAGAGTAATTAGGAAGAAAGGCACACCATAGCAACACCTCTACTGGGACACTATTGATTGGGGGAGGGGTCCCTCCTTGGTATAAGGGGTTCCAAAGTCTCCTGTCTGTTGAGTCAGGGTACCGTGCGCAGTGATCCAAATGAGGTTTGCCAACTGCCTTTCTCTTTTTACATCCTCCTTCTCCTTTAGCCTAAGAAGTAGAATGTCTTTGTCTGGTCAGGGACTGGCTCTGGCAGTAGCAGCCCAGGCGGGAGAGCACAGGCTAACCCACTGAGCTGACACAAGATGTGAGGATCTAGCTCTAATTAGATTGAGTTCTACTAATTAGAGGTTAAGAGTATATAAACCTGAGATTAGAAGCCATGAAGTACTATGGCTTGTAACTTTAGGAGTTATTCAGGTCCTTGCCAAGTTTGGCAGATAACTCGCATGTACACGGAAACAGGAGCTACTAGTTTGTGCTCGGAGTTTAGGGGTGCTCTCACCACATCCCACGTGTGGAATAGCCCAGCTGCTTTGATGCTGGTCAGCAGGGATGGGCATGGTGTCAGTGTACAAGTACTGGCCTCAGGGGAAGGAGGAGCCTGGGTGGTGTCAGCAATATGCAGCAGGCCTCTAGGTCGCTACTTGCACCTTCTCAGGGAGAGGCATGGGAGAGGGGCTGCCATCTGCCTTCACACTTGTGACTGCCACAGGGAAAAGAGGGCATGTGGGCTTCTTGTGGCAAGGTAAAGACTGGTGTGGCATCTTGTAGGGCCCTGTTAATCAGCAAAGAGCAGAGAAGACAACGGAGAGCCAGGCCACAGAGGGAAGAGGGGGCAGGCTGATGTTGAGCTTCCCGTGATTGTGGCTGCTTTTGTGCAGAGAGATTCCTGGTCATTACAGAGTGTGACGGGCATGTTTATCTAATTGCAGGGACCCCAGAGCTAAGCACAGCTGAGCGGAAGGAGTTGGAGAACAAGTTGAAGGAGCGGGAGGAATTCCTAATTCCCATTTACCATCAGGTAGCCGTGCAGTTTGCTGACTTGCACGACACACCAGGCCGGATGCAGGAGAAGGGTGTTATTAGCGTAAGTACAATGGTTGCCACTTCTTGTCAGAGGCCCACATGTGGGCAAGTGTGTGTGTGTGTTGCACACAGGCTCATAAGCAGGGAGCTATGAGGGCCAAATTAAAACAACTTCTGCAGATCAAAACATTTTCAATATTTTTTAGATTTTCACTGTTTCTGTAACTGTTATCATCTTAAAACAATGTATAATTTAGGTTTCCATTAATTCCTCAGGAGGCAAGCTGCATTTTACTGGTGGGAAACTGAGTCACATGTGACTTCATTGGTGACGGGTCCTCAGGATGTGGGTTACTATAGGGTCAAGGCTCCCGCAGCAGCTAATTAATAATTGATCTGCAAGTTGTTTGATCCATCTTCTCAAAACGAATTTATCCTTGTCTGGTTATCTGGGAACTCACAGCCTCTTCCCCAGAACATCTCAGCCATGTGTGGGATCAGCATTAGCCAGGCCCATGGCTGTGCACAGTGCTGCAGACAGCAGGGCATGTGGGCTGCATTTCTGCCCTGGGGGACATCTGGAAGTGCTAGGAGTTTACAGCCAGCTCTTGGGTCTGTGAAGGGCTTGCCTGGAGAATCAGTTTTTATGCCTGTGGGTTTCCCTCCAGACTGAGCATTAAGCAGGAATTAGGACTGGGCTAAGTTTATTCTTCTCTGCATGTAGGATATCCTGGATTGGAAAACATCCCGTACCTTCTTCTACTGGCGGCTGAGGCGTCTTCTGCTGGAGGACCTGGTCAAGAAGAAAATCCACAATGCCAACCCTGAGCTGACTGATGGCCAGATTCAAGCCATGTTAAGGCGCTGGTTTGTGGAAGTGGAAGGAACAGTGAAGGTAGGTGGGACACTCAAAGAGAAGCCTTTTTGCTGAGTTCCTCACACCACCTGAGGGCTGCAAGTCTCGCCAGCAAAGAGTCCACAGGCCTCTAAGGGCAGGAGTAGAAGGGAAACATAGAGATCCAAGCTGTTTCCTCCCCCAGCTACTCCCCCTAACATGTCATGTCACGACATCTTGTTAGAAGAGGTGGTAGGGCATATGTTGCAGCTTATGCAATCATTCAGCAGACCTTTTTGAACACTTACTGGGTACTAGACACTGCATTTGCTTCTGGGGGCATGGCAGTGAAAGAGGCAAATGTTGTTCCTATCCACATAGAGCTCACCATCTAGAGGGGGAGACAAATAAAGAGGTTATGCACAATAGTGAGGCCCATGTTAAACACAGCAAAGGGCACAGAGCACAGCGAGAAGATACCTGACCCTCTCTGGGAAGGATGGAGGAGAGTCTAAGAAGCCTTGTGCAGTAAGTGATGTCTCAGGAGAGGCTGGAAAACAAAGCAGAAATGAACCAGAAGAAAAGGCTGGATTTGGGGGCAGTCAGGGCTTAGGAGGAATGTTCCTGCAGAAGGAACAGCATCATCCTAAGCCATGAGAGTAAGAGTAACATGCATCAAAGGAACATCCTGCAACTGTTTCAGGGCAGCTCAGAGACTGGGTGCCTGGTAGGAAGAAGGGGCAGGGGCATGATCACACAGGGCCATGTAAGCTGTCAAGGAGTTTGGACTTTGTCCTGAGGCCTGTCGGAAACCACTCAGGTATTTTAAGCAGTGGAGTGACATGCTCTGATTTCTATTTTAGAAAGACCACTAAGGGGGCTGTGTGGAGGAGGGAATTGGAGGGGCTAAGAGCAGAAGCCTAACAGGTTGTGATCGGCAGGAGATGCCATGACTACAACTAAAGAGCTGCCTACTTCCAATCAGAGATGGAAGGAAGTATCCACCCTTATGCAGGGAAAGGGACCTATGAAGCTGGCATTTTCTTGGGGTGATCTCACAGAGAGGGCTCGTGACCTAGAGCAGTAACCCCACTGAGATGGTGTCCTTGGTGCTCTAGCCTCAGTGTTGGGGATGGGGCGGGTCTCAAGCCAGGATGACCTAGCAAGGGCACCAGCATTTGCTCCTGGAATAGTGGGCTGCATAAGTCACTCCATGGATGGGAAGAAAAAGCTGGAACTTTTATTTCTGTTTATTTTTACTAACAAAAAGAAATTAACCTTTATTAGTAATTAATATATGGATTAATCATTTACATCAAAAATGCATTTTATCAGAATATTGGTAGTATGTGCTCAAAATATATTTGTCTGTCTTTCTCATTGCTATGTGATCACAAACATTTGGTGACTACCAGGTTAGAGTATTGATGGAGGGCTGGGTGGCTGGTGGTGGCTTGAAGGGTCCTGGCCCACAAAGAGGGGCACTCTGGCCTCTGCCTAGAAAGTGTTGCCTGAAGCCTCTGCTAATCGTTCTCAAGGAGGAGCTCCCAGATTTGCTGTCAGTTTTAAAGCCAGTGAATTGGGGTGCTTCTAGGATTCACCTTTGTATTAAGTCTGCCCATTTTTTTTATGACTGAAAAGCTTCTTTGGATAAATATTTCAAATGTGCAGTTGGGGAGCACAGCCTTCTCCGACATTTGGTTCAGGTTAAGGTCAGTCTGTGGCATCATAATTGAGTGAGACAATTTTGTCAGTGGCTACTGGCAGCTTCTAGTGGAAGTTGGCATTGAAAGTCACGCAAGTGTAAAATAAGAGTTTGTCCTCCAGTTAAGAGTGGCCGGCTAGGTAAATGGAGTGTGTGTGTATGTGTGTGGCCAGGAGAGGCCTGCACTGCCTCCCTACCACATTAGTCACTAATGGACGTGTCCAGCCTCAGTAGGCACAAGGATGAGAAGGAAGTTTCCCCCCAGGCATGAAGCAAGTAGATAGGCCCTTCAGCTTTTCCCTAGCATCCTGCTCCCAAGCGGACAGAGCGTCTGAAGAAATAGGTCACTGCCGTCTCTTATCAATGGAGAGAACAGTTGACCACGTGTGTACAAGCTCCTGGCTGGAATTGAAGCACAGAAGAGAACCTCCACCCCGTAGCTCAGTAGGAGGCTGCCTAGGCACTGGGGGCAGCCATGCTGAGCACTGAGGCCATTTCCCTTGTGCCCATCTACAAAAGGCAGCATTCTCCTGAGTTCTCTGAGAGGAATGCCAAGGACTGAACGTGAGGACGGGTAATCCTATGATGTCAGGGCATGTGGCTTTGAAACCTCCTTCCATATTCGGCAGGCTCAGCAGGACCTAGTTTAGTGTGAGGTGGGTGATAAAATCTGCAGTGCCCTTGAGAGAAGAAAGGGTTGCAGTGTTCAAAAGCCATCTGTGTGCCTCAGAAGGAGTGATGTACAATCTGCTTGCTGTTTGGTGTGGGGGGGGGGGGGTGGTTCTTCAAAGAATGATAGATACTGTGTGTTGTGTTTCTCAAGTGCAAAGACTGGCTGAGTCTAGACCCTGGCTTTGCACCAGGAAGTGACCCTCTAATCCTTATTGTGGTTGGTTACTGGTAAGAAAAGACATTTCGAGATAGGCATCTATTAGCTATGCCTTGTGTTCTTTTTGTTCCCAGAGAATTTGTTTTCTTAATCTTAATCCTGAAAACAGAAATTCTGGGACAGAAAATTGAAGACACGGTGATATTATATAACTGAGCACTATAATTCTTTTGTTTCCCTTAGAGATATCTGTTACCATGAGTTATGGGAGTCTGTTTGAATCCACTGGGACGATCCTACTGTAGGAAATAGTAGGATTTATGGTTCATAGTTTCACTGCAGGCAGAAGCAAAGCATCACTACAGCTCCTTAACGAAAATAACAAGAACAGTAGTTTAAATTGGGTCATAAGAACATGGCACACATTTGTATCCTGGGCATGGTTTCTCACTTGATTCTTAGATCCAAAATTTGAAGCCTGGTTTTTCAAACAGGCTGATTTATTTTTTCCCAGACCCCAATAGTAGAAATTGAAATTAGGACTCTGCATGGAACAATGAGAATGTGGGTTTTGAAATCTCATAAACTTCGGGATCCCAGCTTTGTCATTTACTGGCATGGGCATATTATTTAAGCCTCCATTCCCTCATCTGTAAAATGGGGGTGGTGTTTATGTCATGGGGTTCAGTGAGTTTTAAATAACATGAGTAAAGTATGGAGCATAAGTCAGATGTGGTGGCTCACGCCTGTAATCCCAGTGCTTTGGGAAGCTGAAGTGGGAGGATCGCTTGAGGCCAGGAGTTTGAGACCAGCCTGGATAACAAAGCAAGACCCTGTCTTCACAAAAAATTTTAAAATTTGCTCGGTGTCGTGGCACACACATGTAGTCCTAGCTCCTCAGGGGGCTGAGGCAGGAGCATCGCTTGGGCCAAGGAATTTGAGGTTATAGTGAGCTATGATGGCGCCACTGCACCCCAGCCTGGGCAACAGAGTGAGACCCTGTCTCCAAAAAGAAAAAGTATGGAACACAATGTCTGGCTCAGTAGACATTCAAAATATGCTAGTTTCCCCTGCTCCATGTTAGAAGGTAAAAAAATAATAGCAACATAGACCAAGTCAAAAATGTACAGCTGATTGACCTCGGCGGAAAGGGGGCTGACTCCTGAGCACAGTGGGTGCTCAGACGCTCTTTGGTTTGGCATGCTCTCATGTTCCCACAACCCGATGCCATGGTGCATTCTTATTGTTCACACAGCTACCCACTCGCTCTTATTCTGGATTTCCAAGTGAAATGAATGCTCAACAGAGGCCCCTGTGAGGACCATAGGAAAAAGCACTATTGACAGGGTCACTTATTTCCACTGACCTCAAAACCTGGCCTCAGGCTACTGATGAATAAGTCTCATACACCAAACTTCTCACACAGGGCCAGGCAGGGAGGAGGTAAGGTAGAACCTGGAAAGTGTTGCTTGGCCCTGCTATGGGCCTGGAGCTGAGATGGGATTGGCTCACAGGAGCTTGGTTCACAGGGGTCTGATGGCCACCCTAGCCCACATGTCCTTTGGCTATTGTACTCTAAAGCCCTTGGAAAAAAAAATCACATCCTTTCTTGGGCTTCTGTTGGATAGGGCTTAGCCTTGTAAGTGTAGGTGTATTGAAAATGTCTTTCCAAAATATGAGTGTACCTTAGGATTTGTATGCCATCCCTACACCCATCAGGCTGTGTGTTTCCCAGAAGTCTAGAAGGTCAGAAATGGGAGGAGCCTCCCTAGCTGGAGGTGTCTCCCAGCAGCTCCCAAGGTGAGTTATTAGTAGGGTATAGTAATCAGGGCTCACATCCATCAGGTTGTGCCCTGGTCACTCCTTGGCCCTGCTGAACCATTGTCTAAGGAGGACTTAACAGCTATCCAGTATGTTAGAAATGAAACTTTCCAAACAGGTCATTTAGATGTTGTGAGATAGACTAATTACTACATAAAATTAGTGAGGCTGACTAGTGCCTGAGATACTTATCCACTGATGCAGACAGAAAGTGTCTGTTGAACATTCATTTTAGGACAGGCCACTGTTGTGATGTAGAATTATTGATATTTTATTGATAAAATGTTCTGATACAGATGGATATGCTGACAGGTGGCATACGGGCCCAGGCCTGTCATGATGTTAGCAGCCTAGCATATCACACCTGTTTAAAGTCCACGCTGGAATACTAGGAATGACTGGCCACATTTTCTTTTTTTTTTTTTTTGTCTCACTCTATTGCCCAGGCTGCTGGAGTAGGTATGATGACTCACTTTCAGCCTCAACCTCCTGGGCTCATGTGATCCTCCCCTCCCACCTCAGCCTCCCAAGTAGCTGGGACTATAGGCATACACTACCCCACCTGGCTGATTTTTTTGTAGAGGTGGGGTTTTGCCATGTTGCCCAGGCTGGTCTGAAACTCCTGGACTCCAGCAATTCCCTGCCTCAGCCTCCCAAATTGCTGGGATAACAGGCGTGAGCCACTGTGCCAGGCCCATTTTCATAATTTTAAGGAGGGAAATAATAATGGCTTCTTCCTGGGAATAAGGTTGGCCTATCCTTCTGGATGACTGGAATTGAGTCTTACAACTGTTCTAAGGGAGCAAACAAGAAACTGTAGGCTCTGGCTGGGCACAGTGGCACACGCCTATAATCCCAGCACTTTGGGAGGCCAAGGCAGGGGAACTGCTTGAGCCCAGGAGTTCAAGACCAGCCTGGGCAACATAACGAGACCCTGTTTCTACCAAAAAAAGTTTTGCCAGGCATGGTGGGGCATGCCTGTAATCCTAGCTATTCAGGATGCCGATGCAGGAGAATCACGTGAGCCCAGGAGTTTCGGGCTGCAATGAGCTGTGATCATGCCACTGTACTCCAGCCTGGGCAACAGGAGGAGACCCTGTCTGGGGGAAGAAAAAAAAACCTGTAAACTCCATAACCCAGTGGAAGGGAGCTTGCTTTTCCCAGGTGGAGCAAATTATCCCACAACAGTATGGTAACTCTCCCAGGTCTGTTGAGAAAAACCAGTGGCACTATGCTTACATAAGTTTGTTTATTTTTGCTAAACATGCAGTTGATTAGAACTTGAGACCCCTTTCCTTCATGTACTCTAGGCTGTAATCCACTGGGGTTTGGCGGTCATTGTCATCCAGTTGTACTTTGCGTAAACAGCAGATCTTTTTATAGGACCCATATTTTCAAGCAACTGTAAAACTTGGAATGCGTTGCCCTAATCCTGTCTGGGAACTTTTCAAAATGTTTAAACACCTAGCATACTCTGTGGCTGCAGGAGGGGAAGGCAGAAGAGTTTTCTCTAGAGGGTAGCTGGCTTTCCAGTGTAGTGTCTGAGCATTGTTGGAAGCAGGCATCTCGTTAGCTAATACATTACACCAATCAAGGAGAGTTATCTTAAGCCACAATTAATCTGCTCCCTGGCATATGTTGATAGGAAAGCATCATGCTGTTTCTTAATTAAAAGCAAACGGATTAAAAATGATTAATAAGAGTATTAAATATTCTCCTAAACTAAAGGCTTTGGGATTCTTGGGTAAATCTAAAAATCTTGGGGTTTTTTTTTTTTCCATTCTGAAATCCAAGAAGCATTTATTGTTTTATTTTTCCTCCCCTCCACCCCAATCTTCATAAGTAGGGGTATGTGTAGAAGTCCTGAAACCACGGAGCAGAAGAGTAAATTGCCAATGATGGAAATGGAAATGTTGAAATTTAGGTGGCGACGTTTAGGAGTCCAGGGGGACCCATCCATATGTGGGGCGTGCAGCAAGCTGGGTCACAAGAGTGAGTTAAAACCATGTTATGGGAAAAGCAGTGCTACCTTCTCCCTCGTGGATAGGGGCTGATGTGACACTTCCTTTCCTTAGGCGCAAAACACTTTCTCAAGGCAGTTTGGCCTTGAGAGATGCTGGGAGTCCTAACCCAGGCACAGAGAGGAGAGGGTCACTCAGGTTTGCACTGACGGGGCCACACACCCCAGCTGAAGAATTGCTGATCTGCTTATCAGTGATTAGATACAGAACTGGGCACATTTGAGTCAGAAAAAGAAATGGACAAAGAACTAAAAGAGACATACTGCTGATCCTTAGTCCCCGGAAGCCTTCATCTTTCCAATGTAAAGGAGTTAATTTTTAGAAACAGAGACGTCGATGAAATGACATACATTAAATAACCAGTCACAACTAAGTCGGCAGCTAAGTTAGAGACAGGAAGTGACAGTCTGAAAAGAAACCATTATATTTGAAGGCACGAGATAGTTAGAAAATAGCCTAGTGCTCAGTTTTGTACTGCTTGAGGCCTCTTGTGATGAAGACATTTCCTCTGCAGCCCAGTAGTCACAGCTGTGGCTTTGGTGACCTTGCTTGCATACAGGCTTCCTGTAGCCACGTCTCAAACCTCAAAGCCTCAGAGTCCCTAACAAACACACCCACCTATTAAATTATAGCACCAAACTCATTGTCATTCTGACTTTGACTTCGTTAGTGATAACAGAGAAGGATAGCGCACCTTTAAATGACAAGCTTTGTGTTTAATTACCCAAACAAAATGACATAAATATGAATGAGCCCTAATTGTGGTACTTGGTTTTCCGGAAACCATTAACAAAACGATTCCTAAATGATTTGTAAAGAAAATGAGAGGAGAAGAGAGCAAGGAGAAGGCTATTAGGCTTCTAACACACTCCTGAATTATTATGTAGTCAACCACCTAGGAAATACTCAGCTAAATGATCTTGAAAAGGAGGTGAGAGGTGGTTTGTTGAGACTTTCAGGGTTATGGACGTCTTGATCCTTTCGAATACTCTCATAGGTAATAAAATGGGGCTTAGGTTTCTGACCTGGTGGCTGTACCCTGGCAACAAGACTTCCCTCCCATCAGTTCCCCGTCCGTGCCTCATCAAAAGACAGTGGGCTCTATTTCAGGAGACTTCATCCATCCAGTGACTGCCAGGCCTCACTGAGGCTAGAGACTTATACTTTAGGCATTGTGTCTCAGCTCCTCTGAGAGCAAAACACCAAATAAACAGCCTTGCCTTCTCAATCACAATTTTACTAAGTAATTTGGGCTTTTAACTGGTTCTCTCAAACCTGTCAGGTTATTGAATTCTCTTAGCCTTTGTCAAATAGGTGGGTCCCTAGAGTCTGACAGGACAGAGTCAGGGTATGAGCACCAGAGTGCTCGGGAGAGCCCCATGGAGACTTCAGGTGTACACCTGTGTCCATAAAGGAAGAGAAGGAGAAGGGGCACAGCTCCTGCCTCGAGGCCTACTTCCTCCTCCTGCACGATGCTGACAGTGAAGGAGAATCGTGGACACGGAGCACACTTTTGGAGTAAGCAAGCACTCCAGATCCTGAATAGTCAGGGTGTCCCGGCCTGGCCTGACCCCTGGTGTTTGACCAAGAGTCATCTGTTTGCAGGCTTATGTTTGGGACAATAATAAGGATCTGGCGGAGTGGCTAGAGAAACAGCTGACAGAGGAGGATGGTGTTCACTCGGTAATAGAGGAAAACATCAAATGCATCAGCAGAGACTACGTCCTCAAGCAAATCCGCAGGTGAGACCAACGTGGGGAACTCCACTAGAGAAGGAGGGCTAATTTCTTTGGAATAAAAAGTTTCCAAACAAATCATGAGATGATCGCAGAAATCTTATGATCTCTGCAGTCTCTTGCTGTTTGAGACAGCTGTAGTTGACCCACAGGTACAGATATGGCCTGAAGCCCAATTCTTTTTCAGCTACTGCTCCCCAGGGGCACTTAGTAATCTCAGCTAGATGAAGGCTTAATTCACTGTGCCCACCTCTTAGCTCTGAATGCTGATACTCAAACCGGATGAACAACTCTGGGAGGAAAGCTGATTGTGTGTGTGGTGGTTTCCTGGGAAACCACCTCCTCACCTCCTGAAGCCAAGAGTTAGCTGTATTCTTCTAGAGGCTTCAGTCTGCTCCATAGGATCGGTGGTAGAGACTGCAGGGGCATTTTTGTAAAAGTTTATTTGGAAACATTTCACTTACAGAAAAGTTATAAAATTAAAAACAGTACAAAGAACACCCCTATATATAATATCTGTACTCAGATTTACCTGTTACATTTTCTCCCCGTTGCTATATCACTTATGAGTGTGCCTGCCCTCCCATATGTGTATACATTTTTCCTCTTTCTGAACTACTTAAGGGTGTTACATATATCATGGCCTTTACCCCCAAATATTTCAGTGTGCATTTGCTGAGAATAGGGATACTTTTACATAACCATCATAAAATGATCCACTTTTGTAAATTTAACATTGATTAAAAACTTTTATCTGATATCTACCATCTGTAGAACATTGCTCATTTTGAGTTTGTCTGATGTCTCCCCATGATGAGATGCAGGTGAGGCACTCTGGCCAGAACCTTCACAGGGCACCACATCTGGGGGCACATGCTGTTTATCTGCTCCTCCTCGTGTTAATTTCATCCGCTGGTCAAGATGTTGCTCCATTTCTCTACCGTATAATTACTGATTTTCCCCCCTTGCACCTAATAAGTAGTCTGCAGGAAGACATTTTAAGGCCATGCAAGTATCTTGCTTTCATCAAAATTTCCCTCTGGTGCAGTCTTTACGATGAGCTTGCAAAATGATAACTTTCCAACTCCAGCACACCCTCCACAATTACCAGTCACCACTCAGTCCTCACTCCTGCCGATTCTTTTATATATACATTATTGGTACAGACTCATGAAGTTCTATTTTTTACTGATTTATAATTCATTGCTGGGCTGCTTTTGATGCCCCAATTGCTGTCTTTGTGACATGCCCCCATTGGCATGTTTTGGGTTTTTTTTGGGTTTTGTTTTGGGTTTAATTCCTTTTTCAACATAGCAAAATGTTTTGGGTTTGTCTTGCACTACCTTGGCTGGATATTTGTAATATAGGGAAACAAATAAGGTGAGGCGTGACTAAAATGTCTGCAGTGGACGGTGCACACATGTTTATTGGGCAGTTCTTTAGCTGTCCTCATCTAGACACTTCTGCTTCTCTTTTCTTCACCATTCTCAATCTTCCTTTCCAGCTTGGTCCAGGCCAATCCAGAGGTTGCCATGGATTCCATCATCCATATGACGCAGCACATATCACCCACTCAGCGAGCAGAAGTCATACGGATCCTCTCCACAATGGATTCCCCTTCCACGTAGGAAGAGCTTCCTGCCTGTCCCTGCCCTGTCTCTGGAGAAAAGGGCTAGAGCTGCCTTTTACAACTGTAACCACTGTAATGAGAAGGCACAGGAGACCCAGCACTGGAGTCAAATGGCATTTTACTTCCTCTCGTTTCAGGTTATGCATGACATCCTGGGATGTAAGATCACAGAATCCCCCTCCAGCCCACCAGTCACACCTACCCCATTCAGTATTTATTACCCTGGCCAGGCCTAGTCCTCCACTCCCTGCACAGGACTGAGAAGGCAATGAAAGGTACAAACATGTACCATGAGGTCTTACTAACCAAAGTAGGGCTGCCCCTCCTGTCCTGACAGCCCCTTGGCCTCCCAGCATGGGGAAGCGTGAGGAGTTGCCCAGCAGTGAGCAGCCCCCCTCACTCCTGGCCCCATGAGCCGCAGCCACAGGCAGCAGAGGAGGGCTAAGGAGAGGAGGAAGCCTCAAGTCCATTGTTTATTACCCCGACTCTTAGCCCAGCACACAGTAGGCACTGGAGAGGAATGATTCCCAGTTTAACCACACTACGGTACCTTTTATGAAGAAAAATTAGAGCATAAAATCTACTACAAGCTCCATAGGAACTCAAAGATGAGGGCAAAACTGTGAGCCAAGAAGCAGAGAAAGAAAATAGAACCAGTTATTCTTGATTTAGGGGACCTCAACCTTGGGTTCAGTCTCTGAGGACAAAGGGAAAGGTAGTTGTTGGCCTGCCTCTCGCCTGCACGTCACTGCTGGACTAGCTGTCGCATGTGGCTGGGAGCTGCAAGGCCAGTGCTTGAGGGGCCCCAGCAGTTCCACAGGTGGTGAAGCCTGAGTTGGCAGAGGAGGAGCCAGAAGAGAACTGCCCTTTCTGCACTGGTGGAAACTAGTTATTTATGCCATGTGGAGAGCCAGTGAGATAGATAGATAGTCTGTTTGTTTTGAGGACTTGGAAAGTTGTTCCTATGAAGCCTGGAGCTTGGATGGTTTTGAGAGGTTAATGGTGCCTCCACACTCACTCTTCCCTAGTTCCAGGATTACTGTCCTAGCAGCTAACGGTTCTACTCTCTTCCCCAGAGTGTAGACAGGCAGCAGGTCTCCCCACAGCTCTGAAAGGACCCTGGTGACAGCTACACCCTCAGCACCAGGAGCTGGCCTTCCTGATGAGGGAGGCTTCCAGGAAACACAGAATCCACATGACCTTAAGATTATTTACAACTCAGTCATGGTGCTGCTGTCCTCCAGGCTTACTGGCCCCTCCTGACTGGCATCAGGGGCTTCCTCAGGTGGTGGAGAGAGTTTACTTTCAACAACTAGTTTATTCAAGAAAAGAACTTACTGATTCCTCTGTTCCTAAAGCAAGAGTGGCAGGTGATCAGGGCTGGTGTAGCATCCGGTTCCTTTAGTGCAGCTAACTGCATTTGTCACTGATGACCAAGGAGGAAATCACTAAGACATTTGAGAAGCAGTGGTATGAACGTTCTTGGACAAGCCACAGTTCTGAGCCTTAACCCTGTAGTTTGCACACAAGAACGAGCTCCACCTCCCCTTCTTCAGGAGGAATCTGTGCGGATAGATTGGCTGGACTTTTCAATGGTTCTGGGTTGCAGGTGGGCACTGTATGGCTGGGTATGGAGCGGACAGCCCCCAGGAGTCAGAGCCTCAGCCCGGCTGCCCTGGTGGAAGGTACAGGTGTTCAGCACCTTCAGAAAAGGGCATAAAGTGGTGGGGGACAATTCTCAGTCCAGGAAAATGCATTGACCATTGCTGGCTATTTGCTTACCTAGTAAGAATTGGATTCATTTTTGACCAGATTATTCTTCTATGCTTTTTTGCAATAAATCAAATCCCACATATCTACAAGTGGTATGAAGTCCTGCACCCCCCAGGAGGCCTGTCCAGGCATGTCTTCAGAGGCAGGGTGGGTTACACTCATTTACCTCCCCTCTCCCCACCAAATTATGACACAAACGAGTATGTTTCCTCTCTAGAACCCTGTAATGCCTCCTCCCCCATCCCCAGAGCTCCTTACTGTAGGTCTTACCCTGGACAAGGATTTTTTCAAGTTGGAGGCACAGAACATGAGCAATCTGACATTCCCACAGCCCCTCAAACATGCAAGGCTACTAAGGCAGGAGGAGTATAAATGATGGATATTGACCAAGACCTGCTTGGACGGAGACCGCCATATTATCTGTTCTCTTCGTTCACAAAACAGCCTTCACTTGTCTCAGAATTTGATGGACACATACTGTGATGAGCAGGAGCTTCAGATGCACTCTTTACACATTTTGTTGAAATAAACCTCTACATTTGTAGAAGAGTTACAGTTTGTCATTTCAATCCATGCCCAGCCACCTCATTTCTTGTTCTGCTTTCAGCAGGGGCTCAGTGTGGGGCAAGCCCCTCCATGGCCCTGTAACACCTAAAGCCCTTTGTCTCCTGAACTTGCATAAAGATGATGGGTAGGCAGTAAAAAGCTGGCCTTGGCCAGCCCTGTCTTATCCGCTGAATCAAGGTCAAACTCTGAAAGGCTACAAATGCTCGGGAACCCCGTAGCAGAGGGTCAGTTTTTTAGTTTCTGTTGAGTTTTTCAGGATGGGAAACTTCTTCCTGCTGAGAGCTGGATGGGAGTCCTGGCAGGAATGTCCCCTCCAAAAGAGAATGTCTTTAGAGCAGGGACAAGAAAGACCACAGCTGTTTAGTGAGGATAACAGCTCCAGGCCTTGGAAGCCCAGAGCCCACTGTCCTCCTCAGAAGTCCCTTCTCAGCATACAGGAAGTTGAGAGTGCTCTGATAACTCAGTGTAAACACTGGGGCCGCATGGCCCTTGTTAGAGATTTGAGAGGAAGGTTTTAGATTTTCTTTCTTTAGCTATTCATGGATTTTTAACTCTGGGCACAAAAAGGCACTCGGGGCAGGAAGCTCATGATTCCATGCCGTCAACCCTCTGCCTCAGTTTCTCTCTCTAAAAAAACTTTCTATGGGCTGGGCATGGTAACTCACCCCTATAATCCTAGCACTTTGGGAGGCTGAGGTGGGTGTATCATGAGATCAGGAGATTGAGACCATCCTGGCTAACACGGTGAAACCCCCTAAAAATATATAAAAAATTAGGTGGGAGCAGTGGCACACACCTGTAGTCCCAGCTACTCAGGAGGCTGAGGCAGGAGAATTGCTTGAACCTGGGAGGCGGAGGTTGCAGTGAGCTGAGATTGCACCACTGCACTCTAGCCTGGTGACAGAGCAAGACTCCGTCTCAAAAAAAAAAAAAAAAAAAAGCTTTCTATGAATCCCTATAATTAAGGCAGGAATAAGCACCAATTCCTGAATGTCTGCAAAGATACAGGTCACAGGAGGCAAATCCCTGCCCTTTGCTGATTATTAAACTCAATGTTGTATCTGTCTCTCTCTTTGGGATATATTGCAAAGCAAAGGGTTGCTTTTTCTAAAATGAAATAGAGTGTTAAGAAAATATCAATTTGATTCACCCTGAGCCAGATGTTCCAGAAAGGGGAGTCAGAAGGGAGATACAGGATAAAGGATCCAGGGGGAAGATTGCTACTGTTTGCCTCCCACTGCTGCTCTTCACAGGCAAGGAAGCCCGGTCTGCGTGGCGGCCTGGGCCTCTTCTTCCTTCTTCCCTCCTCCCTAAGCAGGCAGCTGAAGACAGGCCACAGGTGTAAGCACTCAGCCAGCACCTGTTGGTGGTTCTGAGGCAGGATTCCGCTGCTGCCTCTGGGAGCTTGCCCGATACAGTTTCTTCTGCTGGGGCGCCACACTTCCTTCACTCCTCTTTTCAACAAAAGGAAATAATAAATCCCCATTGGTCTTACTTTGGGGTAGTAAGGAAAAGACTGCACAGTGAGGGTTCTAGGATCCAGATCTAGGCCCACCTCTCTTTCCCCGGCTGAACAATAACACAGCGATGAACGCAAATGCCTAAGGACCATAGGGAGGGCTGTTCACCCCTAGTAAACAGGGCTCGGTGCAGGGCAGCAGGGAAAGGCCTGTAGGGAGGCACTGAGCTGAAAGGCAAACCTTCCTTCAAACCACTGGCTCCTCAGGCCCTGGGCACAAGAAGGGTAACACCTGGGCCTGCCCTGTTCCACATGGTGAGGCAGAAAGCACCATGGGCCAGAGGGAGTGGTATGGACAAATGAAGCTTATTGGCAGAGAGAGGCTACCAGCTGCGGCAGGGTGGAAGCCAGGGCATTCCAGGCCGGGGCACTGGGATTTACAAAGTTATTTGGGGGGCACTGGGAAGGTTGAAGGGGAGTAGAGCAGTCACTTGGGGGAGTAATAGACAATGAACTCCCAAAAAACAAGCCGGCATCAGATATAAAGATCCTTAAATGCCAGGCCAAGGAGCAAGGGTTTGTCCTTTGGTGGTTTATGGGCACGTGAAAGCTGTGTATAAAGCTTTCGAAAGCAGCCAATTGAATGAAAAGAGCACAGTCTTGAGTGCCAAGAAAACTGGGTCCAAGCTCAGCTTAATCGTGTGCAGTCCCCAAGCTGGAGGGGCACCCAGGATAGTATGCCCGGGCCACCCACAGGAGTGGGGAACAATCGGCTATTTCCAGTGCTCTAGGAATCCTGCTGTGCCTCAGGCAGCAGTCTTTCCATGCCGTTGTCTTTGTGTTGACTGGAGTTTTACCCAGGAAGTGCAGTCCTGGTCACCTCCTGCTGGCCAGTGGCTCTAATGGGTGTTGATAATAAGTGATGGGGGTAGGACATCTTTAGAAATGCAGTATCTTGGTAATAAGCAACATCTTCCAAAGCATGGGGTTTCCTGTGGTTGGTGGAGGGCAGAATGATAACGGAGCCTGAGACTTGGAGCCACACAGTGGGCTCAGCCCACTAGGAACCGCACGGAGACAGGACAGAATAGCTCAGATGGCGCTGAGTCTGATTGCCAACATTCTGTGTCATGACTGGCCTTCTAGAGTAATCAGGGAGGGCTGGGGGTGGGAAGAGGCAGAACCCACTGTACAAGTCCAGGCTCTGCAGCAGGAAAAAGCTCACAGAGCATTCCTGTCCATGCAAATAGCTCCTTTCATAGTCACTTACAAGAACAGGGACTTTAGAATAAGCCTGAGCTGATTTCCAGTATCCAGCCCCTCACTCTTGTCCTTGAGCAAGTTCCTGCCTCCTCATCTGTGAAATGTGGACCTCAATGGGGCATTTTGAAAAATGACATTAAATTAGTTGATGTGAATCAAGTGCAGGGCATGAGCCGCAAACCCTCAATGCAGGTCAGGTTTCTCCATGCCCTGTCTCTTTTGCTCCCAAGACTGGGCGCCTGTCATCACTCAGGGGCACCTTCCTCATAGGGTATTGGTGGAGAACCGTCCCCTGGCGAGGGCAGGGTCTAGGGATTGTCTCTACGTGTTGGGTGACATGGACACTAAGCGGAAGTGCCACTGAGGGGCTGTGCAGCTGAGCCTGAAGGCCGATCTCTAAGCCTGGCTGCCCTCACTTAGGGCAGGCCTTGAGCAGCTCAAGGGTGTTCTGGAGTCCTGCCTTCCCTGGGATGTGAAAGTAGAGTGTGGAACGAGAAGATCCCTAAGATCCCTTCCAGCTCTAGGCAGATTTTCATCTGGGATCATGGGTAATGCTGAAGTCTGGATAAAAATACTCCATGCCCACTGGCATTGTCAGTAACAGCAGTAACTCAGCAGCAAACATCCAGGGAAGACCAGTGGCTCAGCTTGGCTCAAGCAATAGACCAGCAGCCTAGCTAGAGCTTTAACAGAAGCAGGAAATGATACAGCCACCAGGGGCTTGATAAGCTCCCCGCACATCCACACAGGAGAGATCAGAGAAGGCCCAAGCTAGTCACACAGCCCTAGCTGATAGAACCTGTGGGCACATGAAGAGGAAATGCCAGAGGGCCCAGTAGAAAGTAAAAGCCAGGGCAGATTTCAAAACTGCTGAAATGTTTTAATATGTAGCCCCCACGCGCGCGTGCATACACACACACACACACACCAACTTATCAGCAGAAGATAGATGCCTTGCTGGCTCAAGATACATCTGCCTAAAGCATTGGCTGACCATTAGGCACAAGGGTGGCCCCTATGAAGCTAGGCTTAAAAAATAAGAAGTTTTAAAAAGAAAAACTGAGCAGAGGCTCGGTGTGGTGGCTCAATTCCTGCACTTGGGGAGGCTGAGGCGGGTGGATCACTTGAGGTCAGGAGTTTGAGACCAGCCTGGCCAACATGGTGAAACCGTCTCTACTAAAAATAAATTAGCTGGGTGTGGTGGTGTGCGCCTGTAATCCCAGCTGCTTGGGAGGCTAAGGCAGGAGAATCGCTTGAACCCGGGAGGTAGAGGTTGCAGTGAGCCAAGATCGTGCCACTGCACTCCAGCCTGGGTGACAGAATGAGATTCTGTCTCAAAAAACAAACAAATAAAAACAACTGGGCAGAAACTTAAACACACATACACACACACACATTTACAGAATTAAAGGGTCAGGTAGGACAACCTTGGGCCCTTATTTAAAAAAAAAAAAAAAAAAAAAGAATTGGCCAGGCATGGTGGCTCACACCTATGATCCCCAGCAATTTGGGAGGCCAGGGTGGGCGGTTCGCTTGAGTCCAAGAGTTTAAGACCAGCCTGGACAACATGACAAAACTCCATCTCTACAAAAAATGCAAAAAAAAAAAAAAACTAGCCAGGTGTGGTGGCACACGCTTGTCGTCCCAGCAACTTGGGAGGCTGAGGTGGAAGGATGACCTGAGCCCAGGCAGGTAGAGGCTGCAGTGAACCATGATCACGCCACTGCACTCCAACCTGGGTGACAGAGCAAGACCCTGTCTCAAAACAAAACATAAAAAAGCACATTCTGAATAAAATTCTGAAACATGCTGCAACATGGATGAACTGTGAAGACATTATGCTAAGTGAAATAAGCCAGACACAAAAACAGATATTGTTTGATTCCACTTATATGTGGTATCTGAAATTATCAAATTCACAGAGACAGAAAATAAAACAGTGATTACCAGGGGTTGTGGGGAGAGGAATTTGGGGATTACTGTTTTCGTTTTTAGAGACAGGGTCTCGCTCTATTGCCCAGGCTGGAGTACAGTGGTATGATCATAGCTCACTACAGCCTCAAACTCCTGGGCTCAAGCAGTCCTCCCACCTCAGCCTCCTGAATAGCTGGGACTACAGGTGCAAGCCACTATACCCAGCTAATTTAAAAAAAAATTTTTTTTTTTTTTTTTTTTTTTGTAGAGACAGGGCCTCACTGTGTTGCCCAAGCTGATCTTGAACTCCTGGGCTCAAGCGATCTTCCTTCTTCAGCCTCCCAAAGCACTGGAATTATAGGCATGAGCCACTGTAGCAGCTGGGAGTTATTGTTGTTGAATGAGTACAGAGTTTCAGTATGGGATGATGAAATGTTCTGGAGGTGGATGGTGGTGATGGTTGCACAACAATGTGAATGTCCTTAATGTCACTGAACTATACACTTAGAAACTGTTAAAATGGTAAATCATATATTTATCCCAGTTTTTGAAAAGGAAATTCTGAAAAGTTGACCAGAGGGACTACACAGATTTGGGAAGACAGAAGAATCAGTGCATGTGAAATCGTAGAGTAATAGAATTATCCAATGTGAAGAACAGAGAGGAAAAAAGAGTGAAAAATGAATAGACCCTCAGACTCCTGTGCAGCAACAGTGCGTTTACCAACATATGTGTACTGGGGGTGCCAGAAGAGAGAGAAATGGAAAAACTATCTGAAGAAATAGTGGCCGAAAAATTCCCAAATTTGATGGAAAACATGAATCTGCAGATCCAAGAAGCTCAATAAACCCCAAGTAGGATAAACAAAGATACTTACACCTAGATACCTCATGGCCAAACTGTTGAAAGACAAAGAAAAATCTTAAAGGAAGCTAGAGAAGAACAAGTTATCACTTACAGAAGAATAACAAAATAAATCACAGCTGCCTTCTAATCAGAAACAATGGACCCCAGGAGGCAGTGGGGCAGTATTGTCAGAGTGCCACAAGAAGAAAAAAAAATGCTGTCAAACAAGAATCCTATATCCAGCAACACTGTCCTTAAAACAAGTACAGGTGAAATAAAGACACTCCACAAAAAAAGAGAATTCATTGTTAGCAGACCAGCTTTATAAGAAATACTAAAAGCAATAGTTGAGGCTGAAAAGAAATAATTCCAGATAGTAATTCAAATCTACTCAAAGAAATGAAAAGGTAAACAGTACCTAGGTAAATATAAAAAACTGTGTTCTCTTTAACTTCATTAAAAGACATAAAGTTGCATTAAACAATAAGTATACCACTGTATTTTGGGGTTTATAGCATATAGAACCGTAATATGTATGACAGTCACACAAAGAAGGGGGTAAAAATGAAACAACATGAAAACCAAGTCTATGTGTTGCCAGCATTAAGGTAATATTAATCTCAAGTATAGTGTTATATAACCTCTAGAACAACCACTAAGAAAGTAACTTTATTTATTTAGAGATGGAGTCTTGCTCTGTCATCCAGACTGGAGTGCAATGATGCAATCTCGGCTCATTGCAACCTCCGCGTCCCGGGTTCAAGCAGTTCTCCTGCCTCAGCCTCCTGAGTAGCTGGGATTATAGGCGCCCACCACCATGCCCGGCTAATTTTTGTATTTTTGGTAGAGACAGGGTCTCACCATGTTGGCCAGGCTGCTCTCAAACTCCTGACCTCAGGTGATGCACCTGCCTCGGCCTCCCAAAGTGCTGGGATTAGAGGCATGAGCCACCGCACCCAGCTGAAAATAACTTTAAAATGCATAGTAAGGCTGGCAGCAGTGGCTCACACCTCTAATCCCAGCACTTTGGGAGGCTGAGGTGGGAGGATCACATGAGTCCAGGAGTTTGAGACCAGGCTGGGCAATACAGTGAGACACTATCTCTACAAAAAATTTTTTTAAAATTGGCCAGGCATGGTGGCACATGCCTCTAGTTCCAGCTACTTGAGAGGCTGAGGCAGGAGGAGCACTGGCTCAGGAGGTTGAGGTTGCAGTGAGCTGAGATCGCACCACTGCACTCTAGCCTGGGCAACAGAGCAAGACCCTGTCTCAACAACAAAAGGCAAAGGGCTTAAACCCATTTTTTCAAAGATGATTTATGAATGGTCAAGAAGCATATAAAAACATGCTCAGCATCATTAATTGTTGGGGAAATGTATATTAAAACCGCAACGACACAACACTTCATACCCATTAGGACGTCTGCTATAAAAAACAAACAGAAAATAACATGTTGCAGACGATGTGGAAAAATTAGAACCCTTGTGCACTGTTGGCAGGAATAGAAAATGGTGTAGCTGCTATGCAAAAATGGTTCCTCAAAAAATTAAAAGTAGGGCCGGGTGTGGTGGCTCACACCTGTAATCCCAACACTTTGAGAGGCTAAGGTGCCCAGGAGTTCGAGACCAGCTTGGGCAACACAGTGAGACCCTCATCTGTATAAAAAATTAAAAAATAAAAAATTAGCTGGGTGATGGCACGTGGCTGTAGTCCCAGCTACTTGGGCAGCTGAGGTGAGAGGACTGCTTGAGTCTGGGCAACACAGCGAGACTCTGCCTCAAAAAAAAACAAAAACGAAACGAAAATGAAAAATAGGAGGCTGAGGTGGGAGGACTGCTTAAGCCCAGGAGTTTGAAGTTGCAGTGAGCTATGATCAAGCCACTACGCTCTAGCCTGGGCAACAGAGTGAGACCCTGTCTCAAAAAAAAAAGCACTACGTATGATCAAGCAATCTCACTTCTGGGCAGATATCCAAAAGAATTGAAAGCAGGGCCTTGAATATATATTTGCACACCCATGTTCACAGCAGCATTATTCACAATAGCCAAGAGGTGAAAGCCACCCAAATGTCCATCAAAGAATAAATTGATAAACAAAATGTGGTCTATACTTACAATGGAATATTACAACGGCCTTAAAAAGGAAAGCAATCCAATCACATGCTAGAACAGGAATAAACCTTGAGGACATTCTGTTAAGTGGAATAAGCCAGTTGCAAAAAGACAAATACTGTAGGATTCCACTTATATGAGGTATTTAAAGTAGTCGAATTTTGCTGGGTGCAGTGGCTCATGCCTGTAATCCCAGCACTTTGGGAGGCCAAGGTGGGTGGATCACTTGTGGTCAAGAGATTGAGACCAGCCTGGCCAACATGGTGAAACCCCATCTCTACTAAAAATACAAATGTTAGCTGAGCATGGTGGTGCATGCCTGTAATCCCAGCTACTCGGGAAGCTGAGGCAGGAGAATCGCTTGAACCCGGGACGTGGAGGTTGCAGTGAGCCGAGATCGCATCACCGCACTCCAGTCTGGTGACAGAAACTCTGTCTCAAAAAAATAAATAAATAAAAAATAAAGTAGTCAAATTCATAGAAACTGAAAGAATGGTGGTTGCCAGGGGTTGGAGTGAGGGGTAAACTGGGAATTGTTAAATGGGTATAAAGTTTCAGTTTTGTGGGGTAAGAATTTCTGGAAATCTGTTGCAGGACAATGTAAATATACTTAACACTATTGCATTGTACACTTAAACATGGTTAAGATGGTAAGTTTTATGTTTTCTTAGCCACAATTTAACATGTATGTATGTAAATATATATATATTAAAAACAACACTGGGGCTGGGTGTGGTGGCACACATCTGTAACCCCAGCATTCTTGAAGCCAGAAGTTTGAGACCAGCCTGAGCAACAAAGTGAGACCCAGTCTCCAGAAAAATTAAAAAAAAAAAAATAGCCAGGCGTGGTGGCATACACCTGTAGTCCCAGCTACTCAGGAGGATCTCTTGAGCCCAGGAGTTCAAGGCTGCAGTGAGCTGTAATCGCATCACTGCTCTCCAGCCTGCAGGATAGGGTAAGACCTTGTCTCTAAAAAACACAAAAGCAAGCAGTAAAGGAAAAACAAATGAACCTTATTAATAATTACATTAAATTTGAAAGGACTAAACACTCCAATCAAAAGATAGACTGTCAGATTAGGTGAAAAAATCTAGGCTGGGTGTGGTGGCTCTTGCCTGTAATCCCAGCACTTTGGGAGGCTGAGACAGGCAGATTGCTTGAGTCCAGGAGTTTGAGACCAGCCTGGGCAACATAGGGAGACCTCGTCTCTGCAAAAAATTAAAATACAAAAAATTAGCCAGGCATGGTGGCATGCACCTGTAGTCCCAGCTACTCGGGAGGCTGAGGAGGGACAATCACCCAAGCCCTGGAGGCTGAGGCTGCAGTGAGCCTAAATCACACCACTGCACTCTAGCCTGAGTGACAGAGTGAGACCCTGACTCAAAAATAATAGTTAAAATTTTAAAAAAACAAACAAAATGCCTGTTACTCCTGCCTCAGCCTCCCGAGTAGCTGGAACTACAGGTGTGTACCACCATACCTGGCTAATTTTTTTAATTTTGTGGAGGCTGGGTCTTAAGTCTTTAAGAAAAACACTTTAGATTCAAAGACACAAGTGGGTAAAGGTATAAAAACACCATCTACTATGCAAACAGTAACCATAAGGGTTGGAGTGGCTACATTAATATCAATATCAATATCTATATCTATCTATATGTATATATATAATGTCATTAGAGACAAAAATAAACATTTATTATGCTAAAAGAATCAGTTTGTCAGGAAGCTATAACAATTATAAATGTATACATGTTTAACAACAGAGCCCCAAAATACAGAAAGCAAAAATTGACAGAATAAAAAGGAGAAATAGACAACAGGTCTGGATCTGGATCAATAAACTTCCACCCCAAAAAAACAGAGAAGAAAAAAGAGGAGAATAAACTAAACCCAAAGCAAGAAGAATAAGGGAAAACATAAAGGTCAGAGTGGAAACTAGTGAAAGAGAAAACAGTAAACAACAGAGAAAAGTCAATAGAAACTTAAAGTTAGCTCTTTGAAAAAAATCAGGCTGGGCCCAGTGGCTCACACTTGTAATCCCAGCACTTTGGGAGGCCGAGGTGGGTGGATCACGAGGTCAAGAGATCGAGACCATCCTGGCCAACATGGTGAAACCCCGTCTCTACTAAAAATAGAAAAATTAGCTAGGCATGTTGGTGGGCGCCTGTAATCCCAGCTACTCGGGAGGCTAAGGCAGGAGAATCACTTGAACCCGGGAGGCGGAGGTTGCAATGAGCCGAGATCGCACCACTGTATTCCAGCCTGGGGACAGAGTAAGACTCCATCTAAAAAAAAAAAAAAAAAGAAAAGAAAAGAAAAAAACAATAAAATTGACAAGAAGAAAAAGAGAAACAACACAATTTTCCAAAATCAGGAATCAAAGAGGGGACATTGCTAGTGGCTCTACCAAAATTAAGATTATAAAGAAATATTATGAGCAACTTTATGCCAAGAAATTAGACTTAGGTAAAATGAACACATTCCTAGAAAGACACAAATTTACCAAAACTGACTTGAGAAGAAACACACAATCCAAATAGACCTATAACAAATAAAGAAATTAGTCACTAAAAATCCTCCCACAGGCCAGGCACGGTGGTTCACACCTGTAATCCCAGCACATTGGGAGGCTGAGGTGGGGGAATCACCTGAGGTCAGGAGTTCAAGACCAGCCTGGCCAACATGGTGAATCCCCGTCTCTGCTAAAAATACAAAAATTAGCCAGGTGTGTTGGTGCACAACAGTAATCCCAGTTACTTGGGAGGCTCAGGCGGGAGAATGGCTTAAACCCGGGAGGCGGAGGTTGTGATGAGCCGAGATCATGCCACTGCAATCCAGCCTGGGCAAGAAAGTGAGACTCAGTCTTAAAAAAAAAAAAAAAATTCCCACAAAGTAAAGCCCCAGTCCCAGAAAGCTTCACTGGTAAATGCTCTGTCAAATATTTAAAGAAGAAATAACAGCCAGGTGCAGTGGCTCACGCCTGTAATCCCAGCACTTTGGGAGGCCAAGGAGGGCGGATCACGAGGTTAGGAGTTCGAGACCAGCCTGGCCAACAAGGGGAAACCCTGTCTCTACAAAAAATACAAAAATTAGCCGGGTGTGGTGGTGGGTGCCTGTAATCCCAGCTACTTGGGAGACTGAGGCAGGAGAATTGCTTGAACCCGGGAGGTGGAGGTTGTAGTGAGCTGAGATCACGCCACTGCACTCCAGCCTGGGTGACAGAGCAAGACTTCATCTTGGAAAAAAAAAAAAAAAAAAAAGAAATAATACTGGTCCTTCTCAAACTCTCTTAGAAAACAGAAGGAACACTTTCCAACTCATTCTACAAGGCCAGTATTATCTGATACCAAAGCCAAAGACATCACAAGAAAACTACAGGCCAGTATCCCTTGTGAACACAGGATGCAAAAATCCTTAGCAAATATTAACTAACTGGGCCAGGTACAGTGGCGTGCATGTAGTCCCAGCTATTTGGGCAGCTGAGGCAGGAGGACTGTTTGAGCCCAGGATTTTGAGGCTGTAGTATGCCATGAGCATATCCTTAAATAGCCACTGCACCCCAGCCTGGGCAACGTGGCAAGACTCCATCTCTTTAAAAAAAGAATTAGCAAACTGAATACAGCAAGACACACCCACACTTTTTTTTTTTTTTTTTTGAGATGAGGTTCTCACTCTGTCATCCAGGCTGGAGTGCAGTGGCATGATCACAGCTCACTGCAACCTCCACCCCCAGGTTCAAACAATCCTCCCACTTAAGCCTCCCACCATCTGGGTGCGCACCACCACACCCAGCTAATTTTTGTATTTTTCAGTAGATATGGGGTTTCACCATGTTGGTCAGGCTGGTCTCGAACTCCTGACCTCAAGTGATCCACCCATCTTGGCCTCTCAAAGTGCTGGGATTATAGGCGTGAGCCACTGTGCCTATCCTAGCAATATATAAGTATATAAGTATATATATATATTTATATTATATATAAATTTTATTTCTTCTAAAAAAAAAAAACAGGATACGTGTGCAGAATGTGCAGGTTTGTTACATAGGTATACCTGTGCCATGGTGGTTTGCTGCACCTATTGACCTGCCCTCTAAATTCCCTCCTCTCGACCCCCTCCACCTCCCAGCAGGCCCTGGTGTGTGTCGTTCCCCTGGGTCCATGTGTTCTCATTGTTCAACTCCCACTTATGAGTGAGAACATGTGGTGTTTGATTTCCTGTTCCTGGGTTAGTTTGCTGAGGATGATGGTTTCCAGCTTCATCCACGTCCCTGCAAAGGACATAATCTCATTCCTTCTTATGGCTGCATAGTATTCCATGCAACATTTTTTGTTTTTTAGTTTCACAACTTTAATCCCAGCACTATGGGAGGCTGAGGAGGGAGGATTGCTCAAGCCCAGGACTTCGAGACCAGCCTGGGCAACATAGTGAGACCCTGTCTCTACAAAAAAAATTGTAAAAAGTAGCCAGGTGTGGGCCAGGCATGATGGCTCATGCCTGTAATTCCAGCATTTTGGGAGGCCCAGGCAGGCAGAACACATGAGGCTAGGAGTTTGAGACCAGAGGGGCCAATATGTTGAAACCCTGTCTCTACCAAAAAATACAAAAATTAGCTGGGCGTGGAGCCACATGCCCGTAGTCTCAGCTACTTGGGAGACTGAAGCAGGAGAATCACTTGAACCTGGGAGGCAGAGGTTGCAGTGAGCCAAGATCATGCCACCACACTCCAGCCTGGGCAACAGAGCAAGACTGTCTCAAAAAAAAAAAAAGAAAAGAAAATTAGCCAGGTGTGGTGGCACACACATGTGGTCCTAGCTACCCAAGAGGCTAAGGTGGGAGGATCGCTTGAGCTCGGGAAGTTGAGGCTGCAGTGAGCCATGATCGCACCACTGCATTCCACCCAAGAGACCCTGTCTCAAAAGAAAAAAAAGTATTCACCATAGCTAGGTGGGATTTGTCCCATGAGTACAAAGTTAGTTTAACACCCAGAAATCAATTAATGTAGCACACCATCTTAATAGAGTAAAAGACAAAAACCACATGACCCTCTCGGTAGACACATAAAAAGCATTTGGAAATACAATACCCATTCCAGATAAAAATTATCAACAAACTATCAATAGAAAGAAATCTCCGCCGGGCGCAGTGCTCATGCCTGTAATCCCAGCACTTTGAGAGGCCGAGGCGGGTGGATCAGTTGAGGTCAGGAGTTTGAAACCAGCCTGGCCAACATGGCAAAACCCCGTCTCTACTAAAAGTAAATACAAAAAAATTAGCCGGGTGTGGTGGCACGTGCCTGTAATGCCAGCTGCTTGAGAGGCAGAGGCAGGAGAATTGCTTGAACCTGGGAGGCAGAGGTTGCGGTGAGCGGAGATTGTGCCACCACACTCCAGCCTGGGCGACGTGAGACACTGTCTCAAAAAAAATAGAAATAAATTTCCAAAACCTGAGAAAGGGCGTCTGTGAAAAACCTCAAGTAACTTCATGTTTGATGGTGAAAGACTGAATGCTTTTCTCTCTAAGATGGAACAAGGCAAAAATATCTGCTCTTGCTACTTCTCAGCATTGCACTGGAGGTGCTGGCCAATGCAATAGGCTACATGAAAATTAAAGGTTTATAGATTGGAAAGAAGAGATTAAAACTCATTATTCACAAATGGCATGATCCTATATGAGGAATCCATTTTTAAAAACTAGAACTAATAAATGCATTCAGCAAAGTCACTGGCTACAATATTAATTTAAAAACTCAATAATAGTATTTTTGTACACTAGCAAGAAGAAATCTAAAAATGAAATTAAAATAATTTCATTGACAATAGCATCAAAACCAATAAAATACATAGGAATAATTTTGCAAAAGAAATAGACATGTACCCTGAAATTATAAAACACTGCTGAGAGAAATTAAATAAAAACAATTGAAGAGATATTCCATGTTCATGGATTAGAAGACTCAATGTTGTTGGGATGGTAGTTCTCCCCAAATTGATCTATAGAGTCAGTGTAATCCCATCAAAATTCCAGCAGACATTTTTCTAGAGATTAACAAATTTAGGCCGGGAACAGTGGCTCATGCGTGTAATCCCAGCACTTTGAGAGTCTGAGGCGGGAGTATCACTTGAGCCCAGAAGTTCAGCATCAGCCTGGCCAAAATAAGGAGATCCTGTCTCTACAAAAAATAAAAAAAATTAGCTGGGTGTGGTGGCATGTGCCTGCAGTCCCAGCTACTCAGGAGGCTGAGGTGGGAGGATGGCTTGAGCTCAGGAGGTTGAGGTTGCAGTGAGCTGTGATTACACCACTGCACTCCAGCCTGGGTGAAAGAGAAAGATCCTGTCTCAGGCAGAGCCACCGCGCCCGGCCATGTATCCTAAAATTTATATGGAAATGCAAAGGACCCAGAATACTCTAAACAATTTTGATAAAAATTTGGAAGACTTAAACTACCTGATTTTAAAATGTTCACAGATATAAACACAAGCAAATAGAATGGAATATAATTGACAGTCTTGAAATAAATCCTAGCATTTAGGGTCAATTGATTTTCCACAAAGGAGTCAAGACAATTCAATGGCGGAAAGGCTAGCCTTTTCAACAAATGGTGCCAAGACGTTCGGATATCCATACACAAAGTTATATTTTTAGACTCTTACACCATGGACAAAAATTTACCCCAAATATATTACAGACTTAAATATATAAGCTACAACTATAAAACATCCACAAGAAGACATGTAGGAGAAAATTTTTGTGACCTTGGATTTGGAAAAGATTTCTTAGATATGACATAATCCATAAAAGAAAAAAAGAAATTGATAAATTAGGCTTCATCAAAATTAAAACCTTTTGTGCTCCAGAAGACACCATTAAGAAAATGAAGACGGCCGGGTGCAGTGGCTCACGCCTGTAATCCCAGCTCTTTGGGAGGTCAAGGCGGGTGGATCACGAGATCAAGACCATCCTGGCCAACATGGTGAAACCCGGTCTCTACTAAAAATACAAAATTAGTTGGGTGTGGTGGCGGAGGCCTGTAGTCCCAGCTACTTGGGACACTGAGGCAGGAGAATAGCTTGAACCCGGGAGGTGGAGACTGCAGTGAGCTGAGATCGTGCCACTGCACTCCAGCCTGGCAACAGAGCGAGACTCCATCTCAAAAAAAAAAAAAAAAAAAAAAAAAAAGAAAGAAAGAAAAAAGAAAATGAAGACAAGCCAGAGACTGGGAAAAAATATTTGCAGACCATATATCTGATAAGGGACTTGAATCCAGGATATATAAAGAATCCTTACAAGGCAACAAGGCAATTCAATTTAAATTAGGCCAAAAGATGTGAATAGATGTCTCACCAAAGAAGATGATACATGAATAATGAACACACGAGAAGATGTTCAACATCATTCGTCACTAGGGAAACAAATTAAAGCCACAATGGGAGTCCACTATTTGCCAGAAAGGCTATAATTGGAAGACAGACAATTACAAGTGTTGGCACGGATGTGGAGAAACCGGAGCCCGCACACTTTGCTGGTGTAAATATAAAGTGATACAGGTACTTTGGAAAACAGTTTAACAACTTCTGAAAAAGCTAAACATAAGCTTTCATTCTCAGCAATTCCATGCCTAGGTATCTGCCCAAGGGAAATGAAAACATCTTTCACAAAGGCTTGTGATTGCTCCTATCAGCTTCATATATAATCGCCCAAATCTGGAAACAATCCAAATGTTCATGAATAGGCACGTGGATAAACAAAATGTGGTATATCTACACAATGGAAGACTAGTCAGCAATCAAAAGGAATGTACTGATATATGCTACAATAAAGATATAAACACCTCATGCCAAGCGAAAGAAGCCAGACACAAACACTCCAGATTGTATGATTCTTTTTAAATGAAATGTTCAGAAAAGAAGGCAAATTACCTGGGGCTGGGAGCAGGGAGTTCCGGCAAAGCTAGAGGAACTTGTGGGGTGATAAGAATGTCCTAAACATGGGCCGTGTTAGTGGCAGCACAACTCCACAGATGTAGCAAAAACCATGGAATTGTACATTTACAACAGGTGAGTTTTATGGTATGTAAATTCTACCTCAATAACAACACTGTAGAAAAAAAATGGAGACTGGGCATGGTGGCTCATGCCTATAATCTCAGCACTTTGGGAGGCCAAAGCGGGTGGATCACCTGAGGTCAGGAGTTGGAGACCAGCCTGGGCAACATGGCAAAACTCTGTCTCTACTAAAAATACAAAAATTAGCTGGGCGTGGTGGCGTACACCTGTAATCCTGGCTTCTCAGGAGGTTGAGGCAGGAGAATCGCTTGAACTAGGGAGGTGGAGGTTGCAGTGAGCAGAAATCATACCACTGCACTCCAGCCTGGGTGACGGAGCGAGACTGTCTCAAATAATAACAACCACCACCATCACGGGGTAGAGGCTACACAGACCTTACCCCGCAGCCTGCCCTCCTGCCCTGCAGCTGTTTCCACAAACGCCTCCTCCTCCTTCCATCCCCAGCTGCTCTAGCTGCTTGCCAGTTTCTTTTCAGCTCCAGCCTGGCTGGTTCAATGGTCACCCTCCTATCTGTCCTCACACGGGACCCAGCCCCTCCTCAGGATCAGCAGCTGCGGCCATCAGCTGTCCTCGCCCAGCTCCTCCAGAACAGCTTGTTAAAAGGGATCCACCTGGGGCTGAGTTCCTCCAGTTGGTCCCGGTGAGCTCTCATGTAAGAGTAATGAAGTTTAAACTTCTCTTTAGCAGCTAAGCACGGAAATTGACCCTGGCACCTTGCTAAGCTAATCGAGTTACAAAACGAATCCTTTAGGATCAAATTCATTACAACAGCCGCATCTATGACCCATTTTATTATAACCTTTTCTCAAAATCTGCTCTGGTCCGCCACCCTCTGATCTTGCCCAACCAAGCCCTAGTTAGCCTGTGTCTGAGGACGCCTGGCGGGCCCGGCGGGATGCTGTGGAAGGTGAGGGCTTCCAGTCACCTGTAAGCAACCTCGGTCGTACGTGCCCAAGGCTCAACTCCTGCAATCTATTTCTGTGACCTCAGGTCCCAGCAGAGCTCTGATTTCAAGCCACAGCCCTGGCCCAGGCCCAGACTGTGTTTATGACTCAGCATCCAATAGGCATGTAAACAAGATTACATCACAGATTTTCCCTGGCCCATACCTCCCGGTCCAGACTCTGGCTGAAGAGGGACATTGGAGCTTGGCCCTCAAGGAGCTAGCTCCACAGAGTCACCGCCAGCCATGAGGGAACTTGTCACCTAGCCCTCCTCTCACCTGCACAGGCTCAAATCAACCAGGAGCAGGGCTCCCAATGGGTGAGCTTTATGCAAACACCCGGGGTGGGGTTCCTGGCCACCAACCTCTGCACGTGGTGCTGCCTGGAGGGAAGGTTCCGGGACTCTGGAATGGACTTCTGCCCAGTAGGAGTGGCGAACTTGTGGCTCTCACGGCTTTGCGTTATTTGTTACAGATACACCTCCACTACTTTACACACTATTAGAAAGTTGAGTACCCCAAATCACTTTTAGGCACATGCAGAAATGCAATTTTAGGAGGCAGAAACTACTCAACTCCAGCAATGCATCTAGACTCTACCCTAAAATATCTGCATATTAAACTACCAAGGACAGTTAAGCTTTCAAAGGGAGAAGATCAAAGTGCTGTCATCTTTTAATTTAATCCTTTTGTTGCATCAATGATCTTAAGAGGGATGAGAGAGATCAAAATAAAAATGGAAACAAACTGTATCTTTGTGGCTGTTGTGTTTTAGTCTTTTTTTTTTTTCTCAATTTGGGCCACAAAATAGGTCAGCTCCATTACTGATCAGCCTTCCCACAAATATTTAAAACAAATTGAATTGCATACCCAATACCCATCACAATTACACCAGGCACAATAACTAAATTAGCAATTCAACAAAATAATTGGAAATGCGATTCTCTCTATTCCACCAGTCTCCCTCGAGGGTTGAGCGGATCTATGGGGGAAAGCTCAGCTTTCCTAATTCTGCAGCTAATTAGAGACACACTTGTAAATGAAGTTGTTTGTCTTAAAGTTGAAATTCTCTTCTGGGGGTGGGGGAGAGGCAAGGAGAGATGAGAAAGTCCTTCCGCTCCGGAGCAAGTGTATATAAACAGGTATAAAAACCCGTGCCATACCTGCAATTAATAAAGCATCACTATTTTACCTTCACTTATCTGGTAATGGACGACTTTGGAAGAACCAGCCTGGTTGACAGCCTCGTAAGCGGCGCACATTTCTGATGGCACTTGCGACCAGTCACTGTGGGCTGCCGTTTTGGGAGGGGGCGGAAGTGCCAGGACAGCAGGAGCGGTCAGTGGTGGCCAGTGTGTGCTGCCGGCTCCCACGTGGCCCCCCTCGGTTTGGGACAGGAGAACCAAAGGCTCACCCTAAAAGGAAGCAAGGCAGAGAGAGGCTCCCCCGCCCAACAGACCCTCCCCTCCTGTGGACCGCCGTCAGCAGCCGAACGTGGGCCCCCCTGGCTCGGGCCACCCCACCAGCCAGAGTTGCAAATCTACCTCGGCCCACTTGCTCAGGCCACTCTTGGAGAAGCAATCCTGAGGTTTCAATTAGGCTGTCCTTGGCCTCTTTTTGTTCCTTCAGGAAGGAAAATCTCTGTTTAATTATATACCCAAGAACTAGGACTTAAAGCCGGCCCCTCTCATCCTTCTCCTGGAGGATGGAGACGTGATCCGAAAATGCAAACTCTCCCCAGGGCTCCAGAGGCTTGAGGAGCCTGTCACGGGGGCTTACTTCCCAGGCCAGGCCCCTCTCCCTGCCCTGCCCGGCAGGAGCCTCCCGGACACACACACCTGCGGCCCGAGCACTCCCGGGAACAAAGCCCTGGCCTTACCAGCAAGGTGAGCAGATGAAACGGTGGCCCCACAGCCCGGGGAAGCCTCCAATTCCAAGATCCTCGTGGAACATCACGGCACCTCGGTGGGGGGTGCGGAGGGACAGGAGCCTGCGAAAACGCTGATAAGTGAATTCAAAGCACCTGCTCCTTTTTGCTTATCTCCTCAAACAATATGAACTCAGAGTTATCACATTTAAAGTGCTCTGTATTTGCCTTACATTTAGCTCTTAAAACCAAGTGTAGTGTGCTACAACTTTAAAGGACACAAGAGTCAAACTGGAAAATAATTTTATGGCATCAGGGATTCAGCTCCGAGCTCAGTCCCTCAGGAGGAGATGAGACTGAGTCAGCCTCCCGGGCTCCCCGGACCACCCTGGACACCAAGGCAGAAAACCGCCCACTTCCCCACGCCCTCCACCTACCCCAGGTCTCAGGGCCAAGAAATCAGTGGAGACAGGTCACACCACCAGCCCCAGCTCAGGTCTAGAACAGGGCCTTCCACCCAGCCTGCTGGGGTGGGCACAGGTGTGTGAAGACACTGAGACCCTCAGCCCGGGTACAGCTGGAGCTCCTGCCACCCCAGCTGCTGACCATTTGCCTCATCTTTAACTTTAGCACTCGCAGTGCCTTGCAAAATGTTGGAAAATAGTCATACAGATCTGAACTAATACATTAGCTGCTAGCCATCCTGCAAGTGCACACGTGGCTGGTGGCTACCATGCGGGATAGCACAGAACAGCCGGATTACATTCCCATCATCCTAGAAAGTTCTATCGGACAGCTCTGGTCTAGATGCTCCGGACCACTCCTAGAATTAGAACAGGCATCCCCTGAAGCCCCCAGGCCTCCCCACAGGAGAAAGGACGGTGCTGGCCATGCAGGCAAAGGAACCAAAACTTGAGTCACACTTGCTGGGGAAAGGCAGAAATTGCAGAGCAGCAGGCTAATTGCTTTGTGCTCTGTACCAGCACACCTGCATACTAATGCATCTGCGTTCCCGCAGGCGGTCTCTCAGAGCCAGACTTTGAAGGCCCAGGATGTAAGGGGCCTTGAGCACCCGGGCTATCACCCTCCCTTGAGGCTGCGCTTTCACCTTGGAGAGCCAGAACCTTGGGAAAGTAAGTGATGCTAAACCTGAAAATGCATCCAGAGCCTGAGCTTCCAGGAGTTCCAGCCAAGATTAAGAGCAACTGCAGCGGGGGCAGCAGTTTTTGATGAGACCCAAGTCTAGAGAACCCTATGGAAGAAAAGAGGAGGTCAACAGAAACCACCTAGAGACTGGGTCACCTGCCAAAAGAGCCCCTTGCTAAGCCTCCCCCAGTGCCTGTCACACAGTAGGAGGTCAAGAAATACCTGAAGGAATGGACTTGAACAGCATTCTCACACCGCACTAACCCCCGTCTGCGATGCTGCTTTTACTTAGAAACAGCGGCTTCAGAATGGGAAAGTCCTTAGCAGCCATGAACTGACCCTCAGATCACTAATAAGGACCCCGAGGGAAGTGACTTCCTCAAGGTCAGACCCCAGCAGACTTGATTTCTAGTCCACGATTCTCTCCATGACTCCAGCCTTCAATCACACGTGTCCTCTACTCAAACATCACACAAGCCAAAGCCAGCACTAGCAATGTGTTCTTAAGTCCCTCTTAGAACCTGGTAGCACGGGAGGGGCAGATCGCAGAAAAGAGAAGCGGCCAGCTGCCGGTGCCAGGAACCTGCCTGCCCAGCACACATGGAGCTCATTTCCAACCCAGTCGTAGAGAGGCAGATGTGGGGGAGGGGTGAGCAGGAGTCTTCATGTGTTACCGTCCGGATGCCTATTGAGATCCTTATATTCTTTTTCTACCCGATCAGTGATGTGCAGCTGTTGCTTTTTTTTTTTTCCACGTTCTTTAAAATTTTCTTTCCTGAGAACATGGTGTCCTTGACCTCAACAAATGAACTCCAAGAACCCGGAACCAGGGGAAATAAATGGAGTAAACTTCTCAGGAATATAAATGCAGTTGAGGCAACGATCCTATTGGCAGACCCCACATGATGGGCAAGAAAGGCACCGTAAAGGAAATCTATAGATCTACGAGAAAAACAAAAGTTAGATAAGGTGCACTCAGGCTGCATTTACAACCTTCCTCCCATCCACACACGAGGAGCGGATAATGAGGACTTCATCGATAGAACTGTTGGACAAATTGAATCCACACGAATCAGCAGGGTGATGTGCAGCCTGGACTTGAGAGAATTAGTTAATGAACTTACCAAATTTCTGGCAATTATTTTTTAAATGTTATGAAGAAAGAGAAAAGAAAGTAAAAGAAGTAAACTTAAAAGGAGAATGGTTCTCTTCACGAAGGCAAGCTTTATTTAATTTCTAGTACAATGCCCCGATACACATGCACATACATACATTTATTATTATTTTTTGAGATAGGGTCTCACTCTGTTGCCCAGGCTGGAGTGCAGTGGCACAATCATGCTCACTGTAGCCCTGACCTCCTGGGCTCAAGTGATCCTCCCACCTCAGCCTCCTGAGTAGCTGGGACTACAGGTGCACACCATCAATTAGCTCAAACCTGGCTAATTTTTTTCTATTTTTTGTAGAGAGGGGGGTCTCACTTTGTTGCCCAGGCTGATCTCGAGGTCGAACTCCTGGACTCAAGTGATCCTCCCACCTTAGCCTCCCAAAAGTGTTGAGATTACAGGCATGAGCTGCTGTGCCCAGCCACATACATAAAAATTAAAAACACAGGAGGCCGAGGCAGGCGGATCACCTGAGGTCAGGAGTTCAAGGACAGCCTGGCCAACGTGGTAAAACCCCATCTCTACTAAAAATACAAAATTAGTCAGGCGTGGTGGCGCATGCCTGTAATTCCATCTACTCGGGAGGCTGAGGCACGAGAATCACTTGAACCTGGGAAGTGGAGGTTGCAGTGAGCCAAGATCACGCCACTGCAGCCTGGGCAACAGAGTGAGACTCTGACTCAAAACAATAACAACAACAAAAAAGTAAAAACACAAACTGAGGTGCAGGAAACAAAGTTCATTCATTTTAGGCCAGGCTCACTGTTGTGTCTGTGTTTATTAAACACGGGCAACAGAACAGCAAGGATAGAAAGTGGCACGGTTCTGATGTCACCAGAGGGGCAGGCAGTGGCCCAGGCATAAAACACCCATGCTTTTGCACCCAGCCTTGGGCCCTTCCCTGACACCCTTCACCTCCACCCACCTGCACAGTTGTGCTGAGGCACGCACCTACCTCATTTGTGCGTCTGGATCCGGGGAGACGTGGATCTTGGCATTAACACATTCCATGTACAGAGTGACTGCTTCATTCCTGGGGAATGGTACAAACCTTTATGACCAACATCATATTTGGATTCATTCTAAGCCTCAAACTCTGCTCTCTTTGGATTAAATGGTAAGACTGAGAGAGGCAGTCACGTTGGAGGGGTTTTAGCAATGCATGTGGAGAGCAGGAAATCAACTTCTAAAAAGGAAACTGCATCCCTAAGCTGGCAATGCAGAGTCAGTTGCTGGAGTGAGCGGGGGGGCTGGCTTTCCCGTGTCTTCTCACACGCCCAGGGGTTCCAAATGATGTTCAATAGGGAGCCCTAGCCAGCATTCCTGGAGAGAAATGGCTGCACACCAAAAGTCTAGAGGACAAGGAAAACCTGCCTGGGAGACCCCAGGGTGAAGGCTCCGAAAGTAGCAAGAGCATGAAAACAAGAGGGGCACGTGGAGAGCAGATTATATGCGATCCAGCAGCCAGGAAAAAATACGGGCGCCTGGGAGGGAGACGATGGTGTCACTTTCTGTTTATCCACCATCTTTCATTGGAGCATCATTTCAAAGCACATTATAGGAAGCAGCTCTTTAATCCTCCCAGAGGAGCATGATGATTTGAAGGGGTCCCTGGGGAGCAAGAAATAAATCCCAGGATCAAATTCCAGGGCTAGTGTCCTCCTGGCTCCTCCACGCCCTGTGTTACAGATGGCCTGGCCTAGGCAAGTGGGGGTGGACGAGGGCCCTGACGCCACCACGATGTTCCAAGAGCCCTAAAAACACACAGACTCTTTCACTTGATTCCTTTTACTCCTAAAGATATACACCAAGGAAAACAAAAGTCTCAAAAACCACAATAAACAAGCTTGATGCACAAATATTCTCCTCTACTATTATCCTGTATATTAAGAGCAAAAACCTAGAAACAATGTAAATGTCCCCAAACAGGGGATTTGGTGAAATATTGATACGGGCCCCAAATGGAATGACTAGTTAGTAATGAAAGTGTGACATCTGCGAAAACATGGAAATCATCTGACTGAGCTATTAAAATGCAGATCACTGTGCACCATGCTTCTCAGCTGGCATACATGTGTGCAGGGGGGTGGCAGACATGGCTGCATGAGGATTTTGTTTTTAAGGATAAGTAAAAAATATCAAACAGTCTAGAAGTAAAAACCAAGTCTTCCCCTGCAAACTGCTCCCTGGCTCCTCCCCTGCTGAGAATCACCAGGGCTATTCTGTATGATTGTTTCTAGACACAGAAGAGGACCCCAAATTACTAAAGATGACAAGTGGGGCCGGGTGTGGTGGCGCACGCCTGTAATCCCAGCACTTTGGGAGGCCGAGGTGGGCAGATCACTTGAGTTCAGGAGTTCGAGACCAGCCTGGGCAACATGGCAAAACCCCGTCCATACAAAAAACACAAAAACTAGCCAGCATGGTGGTGCGTGCCTGTGGCCCCAGCTACTCAGGAGGCTGAGGTGGAAGGATTACCTGAGCCCAGGAGGTCAAAGCTGCAGTGAGGCGAGATTGCACCACTGCACTCCAGCCTGGGTGACAGAGCAAGAACCTGTCTCAAAAATAAATAAGACAAAAAGCCAGCCTTAGCATTTCCTCTACCCTGAAGGGAGGCCCTCTGCCCTCTTTCCCAGATCTCTGGTGCACACCTGGGCAGGGTGGAGCTGTGGCTGCAGCCACGTTTCAGCGTGACCAGCTCACCGCCTTGCCGTACTGGTGAGATCTTTAAGGTCTATGGTTTATGAGTGTCTCGTGTGAAGCAGTCAGCTGGGCAAAAATAAAATAAACGCAAACTCCACACAAAAGAGAGGAATGCTTCAGTCAACACTGAAAAAGGGCTCTGGATTGAAACTCTTGATAACTGTTCTCAACTCATTTGAAAGTCAGCATTAGCTACCAAAATGTAAAGTATTAGTTTTATTAAAATGCAAATCAATCAACTAATCTTTCTAGTAACAGTTGAATTGCAGTATCCGTGTCAATTAAAATAGTTTCCAATTTATTCTTGGCTGGAAGGAGGGTGACCTTCTGAATTTTAAATGCAAAGCCTCCCTTCAGTGAAAGTTCTGTCAGTTCCTTCTTTCTCAGCTCTCATTTTTAACTCATTTTAATTAAACTTGCTGGACTCCAAATATTTTGAAGGGCATGTTTAAATCTTTTTCTTCATCAGAGTAACGATGACAAAGGTTCTGTTTAGGAAACTCGGGTTGGCGTCAGGCTCATAGAAACCTCAGTACTAAGAGGTCATTTCCTTGCCGTCCTACCAAGCATCATCCAGAACCCTCACGGCTAGATGGACAACGTTGGATGTTCTGTATTTTAAAAGGGGATCATTTTGAAAGCAGTGAATGTGCGGGAACTCTCCTATTTCGGTTGAGTTTTTTGGTAACTGGAGACACATTGAAAAGTAAACATTTCCCTGACAGTCAAGCCAAAGAGGTGATTGTAGAGACAAGAAAAGCCACTGCATACCAAGGTCCAATTAATATGAGATGGAAAAACCCTCCTCCCTCCTATCTGCCCCATCCTGAGCTCAGCAGTTTCATTTATGTTAAAACTCAACTGTGATGCAGATGACGTCAGGCCTCGCTTCTTCTGCAGTCCAGCCGAAGGCACTGTGCGGCTGTCCCTGACACCAAGGCAATGATATAGAGGATTCCTGGGGACAAAAATCTGTCCCTTGGTTTTGACATTTCAAAGCAATATCAAAACTCAACTTTGAAAGCAAGTAGTTAGGGCCAGGCGCAGTGGCTTACGCCTGTAATCCCAGCACTTTGGGAGGCTGAGGCCAGCAGATCACTTGAGGTCAGGAGTTCGAGACTAGCCTGGCCAACATGGTAAAACCCCATCTCTACTAAAAATACAAAAATTAGCCAGGCATGGTGGCACGAGCCTATAATCCCAGCTACTTGGAAGACTAAGGCATGAGAGACTCGCTTGAACCCGGGAGGTGGAAGTTACAGTGAGCCAGGATTGTACCACTGCACTCCAGCTTGGGTGACAGAGCAAAACTCTGTCTCAAAAAACAAACAAACAAGTAGTTATAGTAACTACAACTCAACTCAGTTGCCTGGATCCAAAATGCCTTCTCTAATCCCATAGCTCTAAATAAAGAGCTGGGCAAAGGACCTATGAGATGCTCAGGCCAGCATGCTGGCCACCCATATGCGCACATTACTTATGCAAGATAATCTTCACTGCATATTGACCACAGCAAGCCAATAAATTCCCCTTATGGGGATTTAATTTCCAGCTTTTGACCTTTGGATGAAAAACAAGTGAATTGTCTCCTGCCAGATTTACACCAGAGCTAATATCAATAGTGATTTAGGAATGGTGAGCATGGAAAAGGACTCTGGAAGAATCTTTATAGGTGAAAAGAGGAGACAAAAAAAGTCAAACAACCGTGTATTTGTGACAACAGGCAAATGCCTCCAAATTACAAAGTCCCCTAGGTTTTTGGGGGAGTCTCTGCTCCTCAGAGCTGTGATAAACCACTAAACATTATCCACTCAGCAGCATCCTGGCCAGGTGTGGTGGCACACACCTGTAGTCCCAGCTACCTGAGAGGCTGAGGTGGGAGGGGATTGCTTGAGCCTGGGAGGTAGAGGCTGCAGCGAGCTATGATCACAGATCACACCACTGCACTCGAGCCTGGGAGACAGAGCAAGACCCTGTCTCTCACATACACACAAAAGAAAACCCTTTTAAATTTATTTTTTTAAACTGCTCCTTGCAGAGCAGGGGTACCCCCACAGGCAGAGTGTGCCCAGAGTAGCTGAAACCTTTTTTTAAAAAAATTAAAAGAAAGAAGCATCCTATCCCAGCATCATTCCTTTTAAGTGTTTTTTGTTTGTTTGTTTGTTTTTTTCCAGAAGGAGTCTCACTCTGTCACCCAGGCTGGAGTGCAGTGGCGTGATCTTGGCTCACGGCAACCTCCACCTCCCGGGTTGAAGCGATTCTCCTGCCTTAGCCTCCCAAGTAGCTGGGATTACAGGCACATGCCACTACACCCGGCTGATTTTTGTATTTTTAGTGGAGACTGGGTTTCACCATGTTGGCCAGGCTGGTCTCAACCTCAAGTGATCCACCCACCTCGGCCTCCCAAAGTGCTGGGATTACAGGCATGAGCAGAAGCGCCTGGTCTTAAGTGTTTTTAAAATTAATAGTTTAAATTGACAAACATAATTGTATCCACCTATAAGGTATAATGTGATGTCTTGATAGTGTATATACAACGTAGAACGATTAAATCAAGCCTGTCCATGTATCCATCACCTCACTTATCATTTTTTATGGTGAAACATTTGAAATTTACTGAGTTACTCTGAAAAATACATTATTGACTATAGTCACCCTGCTGTATAACAGATCTCAAAACTTCCTCCTCTGGCTGGGAACGGTGGGTCAAGCCTGTAATCCCAGCACTTTGGGAGACCGAGGTGGGCGGATCACTTGAGGTCAGGAGTTCGAAGCTAGCCTGGGCAATATGGTGAAACCCCATCTCTACTAAAAAAAAAAAAAAAAAATCAGCTGGGCGTGTTGGCAGGGGCCTGTAATCCCAGCTACTTGGGAGGCTGAGTCAGAAGAACTGCTTGAATCTGGGAGGCGGAGGTTGCAGTGAGCCAAGATTGTGCCACTGCACTCCATCTCTAAATAAATAAATAAATAAATAAATACATACATAAACAAATACTTCCTCTGACGTGAAACTGTAGTCTTTGACCAACATGTCGCATTCCCTGCTCCCCCACCCCCCTCAGCCTCCGGTAACCACCATTCTACTCTTTAGTTCCATGAGTTGGCCTTTTGTAGATTCCACGTATAATTGAGATCAGGGGGTCTCTGTCCTTCTGTGCTTGAGTCATTTCACTCGGCATAATGTCTTCCAGTTCAACCACATTGTCGCGAGTGTCAGAATTTCCTTCTTTCTAAGGCTGAATACCCCTTATCCATGTAAGAAACCCAAAAGCAAGAAAACAAATAACCCATTTCAAAAATGGGCAAAGAATCTGAACAGATATTTCTCAAAAGAAGACATACAAATGGCCAACAGGCTTATTAAAAAATTATCAGCCCCACTAATCATTAGGGAAATGCACAGAAAAACCACAACGAGGCCGGGCGTGGTGGCTCATGCCTGTATTCCCAGCATTTTGGGAGTACGAGGTGGGCAGATCACAAGGTCAGCAGTTCAAGACCAGCCTGGCCAATATGGTGAAACCCCGTCTCTACTAAAAATACAAAAATTAGCTGGGCATGGTGGCGAGCACCTGTAATCCCAGCTACTCAGGAGGCTGAGGCAGGAGAATTGCTTGAACCTGGGAGGTGGAGGTTGCAGTGAGCCGAGATTGTGCCGCTACACTGCAGCTCGGGAGACAGAGCAAGACTCAGTCTCAAAAAAAAAAAAAAAAAAAAAAAAGATAAAAGAAAAAAAAAACCACAATGAGACATCACCTCAGACCTGTTATAATGGCTACTATCAAAAAGATGAACCCCTAAAATGTATACAACTATTATATGGCAATAAAAACTTTTTTTAAAAAAGATGAAAGTTAACAAGTGTTGGTAAAGACGCGGAAAAGGGAGCTCTGGCACGCTGCCGGGGTGAACGTGGACTGGTACAGCCATTATGGAAAACTGTAAGGAGTTACTAAAAAAACTAAAAATTCAACTATCCTACGATCAAGCAATCCCATTTCTGGGTATATATACAGATCAACGGACATTACTGTGTTGAAGGGACACCTGCACTCCCACGTTCATTTCACCCACAACAGCCACGCTATGCAAACAATCTACATGTCCGCCAGGGTGAGTGGGTCAAGGAAACGTCAAGTCTGACATTGTATGAGGAGGCCACTGGACTAGAAAAAAAAAAGCTCAGTAAATGTGTCATCCACTAGAACCAAACCAGACTGACTCTCAGCCTCTTAAGAAATCACAAGCGGTGGTGGCGGTAACAATGCTCTTTATTTGTGGCGTTTAAAGGCGGGGTTGGGCGGGACAGCGCCCTTGCGTGTATTAGGCACAGGTTCGGAACGCAGCATCTTTCCAGGGGCTTCCCTACTAGCTCAGCCCCATAAAGTCACTGGTTTCCTCCATCTGGACCAGCAGCCGCACCAGCCAAGGCGCCCACTGGGTGTCGGAGGTGGGCGATGTCAATCCCCGTGGCCTTCGTCGGGAGGGTGGAGCTGGCCAAAAAGAGAGCGGTACAGTTCTGTCCTAAAAGACAAACACAGCAAACTGGTTAACACACTGGTTCACTATTCAAGGTTAAAAAGGAACGCAGAAGCTGGAAAATACCCCATTCTGTTTCTTCTGTTGAAAACACAGCCATGTAATTAAAAATGCACCCCACAGCTCTTACTCACAAATACAACAGAAGGAAGAAACCCAATCAAACAGTAAAATATGTAAATGGTCCAGTGCGGCTGGACACCCGTCTCCAGGGAATGAGTGTTCTGTAAGTTTGCCCTTTGCAGACAGGCTCTTCAAGTAAGAAAACAAGATTGAATATTTTAATAGGATGTAGGAGACCGCCATCCGATGAGGAGGATTCAATCAGACATGGGATGTAGGGGGATATAATTTAGTTTTCATACATTTTCTTGGACTTGGCAGTACTTGAAAAACAATGAAAATGAGCCAGCAACACGATTCCAATTACTATCATCTGTGCAGTTGTTCAGGAAGAGAACCAAGCTTCTTCCACACTCCCCAGCTGCCCTGTCTCTATTCTCAGTCTAATAAATAATATGATTGGCTAATTTATTTCTAAAGTTGGGTTTTGACATTAAAACAATAACATGCCAGGGTCTTGGGCCCCTAAAAAGAAAAGTAAATGACCACTTTCAAACTCTTTTAAATGCAACATACACACAAACATCGGCCAAAGCCATGTGTCAAGGCCTGGAAAACCTAAAAGGGGTGTGGGTGGGGCAGGGATCTTTCCTATCGTTGAGACAGAAGCTCCAGAACACTTTCCCCTGTGGATACAGAGCAGATCCTCCCTGCAGAGACATGAGGGACCCATGAGGTTCCAAGCAGGCAAGACCCGTGTGAGGACGTCCCTGTCATCAGGGAGGTGGGCGTGTAGCACGTGGCCGCAGAGGCAGCCATCCATGTCCACGCCCTGCAGAAGGCCCAGCCGGTAGCCCTCACAGAGACAGGGCAGGCGCACACAGGGCTGAGGTCATGGGCCAGGAGCCCCAGAAGAAATCTACACCTGCTCGGATATTCTCAAGATGGAACTCAAATTCCAGCCTGCCGTCTTGTTTTAAAAGTGCTCTCATCATCTGAGGGTCAGCATCGGCACATCAGACTTTAAAAGCAAAACCAAAAAACCCCACCTTTCAAACAGCAAGGCTTCAACACAAAAAACTACTGGTCTTTTTTTGAAGTCACCCTACTATAGTTATGGATAGGAATAAAGGTACTACAATTAGGAAATCCAACAAAAGGAATAGAGTATCAAAGCTTTAAAAAAGTCAAAAGAAAAACATCTTAAGGAAGAACTACAGAAGCCACAAATGTAAGCTAGCCTTATCATGTTGGGGACCGCGGGAGGGACAGGCAGTGAAAGTGCAGGCCAGAAAACAACAGGCCTCCAATTTTATTACAGGAATTTTATCCCAAGAATGTGCTGGTGCCTTCACCCTGAACTACCCAGCAGACCCCTAGGCCACAGACAAAGGACACAGCTTCCCCCTTGGCTCCACCCATCTCTTCTGCTCTTCTGTTACACACATCCATGTGACTAGCCTCAATCAGCCCAGACGAAGCCTGCCAAGGTGGACGGCAGCCCCAGACCAAATGCAAACCCACGGCTTCCAAATCAGCAGCTCCGTCACACGGATACTTCGGTGCCCAGGGCAGGCTCCACTTCATCACACCATGGCCTGCCTATTTGCCAGTAAAGACAAGTCTCTCTAGCTGTTTCCACACAAAAAATTAAATGGCGTGAAAGGGAGAGTTGCCATAACAAAAGGACAGTGTGACTTTAGGACAACAACGTCTGATGAGAAAGAAATGCAGAGGCGCGAGGCTAGCCCTTCACATCATACCCTTTCCAGCCTCGCCGCGCTTGCCTGCACCAGACCCCATCATTACCACTGAGCAAATGCTTCCACTCTGCGCGCAATATCAGTGCAACGCCTGGGCCGAAGGCAGCAGTTACTGTCCGCAGCAGGGTTCACGTGTCAGGAGCAGAGAGTGAAATGCTGAAACCCATGTTTTCATAGAACATCATTTCACACTCAGGTGGGCAAAGCTGACAAACATATGCAGCTGTTCATGGCAAAGCAACCTGGGAAGCTGAGTGGTCTGGGTTCTTAAAATATTTTCAGAGAGAGAGAATATCAATAGGGGATTATTTCAATCTAAAAGTCCCCAAGCAATTTCAACTTTTACATCTTCCTCACCCACTATCACCAGCTGGTGACCGTTTTTACCTTCAAAGCATCTCAAACTTCACAGCTCCTCCAGGCTTCCACTAGGTCAGATCTCACCGTTTCTCATGAAGCACACAGCAACAACCTCCTGGCTGACTCTTCCACTCCCTTCTCTGAGACAGACAAAGCAGACCCTCCCTGGGGCCCAGGAGCAGCATGGGGATGAAGATCCCCGCCCCACACGCCCCCCACCAGCCACCCCCACTGTAGATTCCAGCGGTTCAGCTTGGCCTCAGCCCTTCCTCTTTCCAGGTCCTGGCTTTGGCTCCTGCCCTGAGCAGCTGGGTGGTACAGGGAGGCACAGCCCTTCCTCCCTCTTTACTAGGTTGGAGAAGGTAGGGTTGCACATTTTTATAACGTTTTTCACAGTAAGTTTAAATAGTTACAAAATATATAATGACCAGGATGTTGTGAAAATTAACTTTTGTAATGCCTGCAATGGAACCTACATGCCATAATGATTTGATACTCATCGTTCATTCAAGTAACACATAAACTATTTTTTTTTGAGATGGAGTCTCGCTCTGTCGCCAGGCTGGAGTGCAGTGGCGCAATCTCGGCTCACTGCAACCTCCGCCTCCCGGGTTCAATCGATTCTCCTGCCTCAGCCTTCCAAGTAATTGGGACTGCAGGTGCGCACCACCACGCCCGGCTAATTTTTTATTTTTAGTAGAGACGGGGTTTTACCATGTTGGCCAGGATGGTCTCCATCTCTTGACCTCATGATCTGCCCGTCTTGGCCTCCCAAAGTGCTGGGATTACAGGCGTGGGCCACACATAAACTTTTTAACTTGGACATTTTATAGCACCTTTTTCTTTTTAAATTTTATTTCCACCTGACTTTTCCCTACAGAGTTTTGTCCTAATATAATGGTTTCATGCTTGAATGTCTTTTATCAATCACCCTTATCATACTTCTTGGCCACATTAGTCTGTAAATAAAAGCACTTTTGAAATTTTTAAAATTCAAAAAATTGAAATGAAAATATTTTAATTGTTTGACATTATAAGGCTCTAAGTAGTTTAAAAATGTTCCTCTGGATTATTATTAGGATATAATCAATATATAATAATATGATATAATATATCCTAATTTTAGTGAAAATTTAGTATTCATACATGTGTAAAATGTTATTAGAAATGCATCCCTTAATGATATGGATGAGGCTTTTCCCTCCATTTGTTCATGGATCCATGGAGGAATATTATTTATTGCCAGAATGAAGGAGGGTTCAGCATCAATTCTACTCCTATTTTTTTGTTTTTTGTAGACATAAGCACTGAGAAATGTTGTCATATAAACAAGCAGATAGGAATGACAGAGTTCTGGCATAGCAATGCCACTTGATTCTTTTTGCTCTTTCTGAATTATACAGCACACACAAAAAATCGCACAGTGACTCGTCCCCAAACATTAGTCCTAACGGTCAACCAACTGCCAACTCAATTCAACTCGTGTTCTCCAGCGATTCTGCTGGAAGTGAAGACCCAGAAACCACCCGGCCTGCACAGGGCTTGTCCTCTAGTCCTTAGGCGTTTGCTTTCTCAATCTCTGTACCCATATTTCCAGCTGTCCTTGGGTTTGAGGCCCTGGAGGTTTTCCTGTGGCAGCCCGAGGTCCATGTCACTTTAAGGAGGGGCTCGAGGGAGGCTTTTCAAGGCCAGAGAAGGACGAGGGTAAAAGGACAACCTAGCCCTCCAGCACAGGCCTGCTCTGGGGCAGACAGCTTTAGGAAAGAGCGTACGTCTGAAGACTGACTCCTTGACTATCTGTGTCTACCTTCCCCTTGGAAAGTCTCTGCATACCCCAGTGTGAAGACTGAGCCACAGGGTGCACTGAGCTCTTCCTCCCTCAAACCTAGGCAGGTGTCTAGGTGCTTAGGGAAAGGCAAAGACATCTGAAAAGAAACAAAACATGTCCACAGCCCTTACCCCATCCCAAGAAAAACTGCAAGTAAAGACGAGGCTACAAAAAGGTGCCACTGGACAGAGGGCCAGACCGCCTTCCACTGCATAAACATTTCCCCCCGGCTGCATCTTCCTAACTGGGATTTAGCCATGTGGAGAAGCTAAACTATCAATCCTCCAGGTTAACCTTGTTCCATCAGATTCTCCAGGGTAAGTGTGTAGTTTCATACCTGAGGTCCCCTTAAGGCTATGCATAATCAACTTTTTAAAAAAACACATAATTCCTGCTCCCCATCACATTAAGAATCAAGATGCAAATCACTGATCTGTAATACCCCCACCCCCCAGCACACACACACTCATGGTCAGTGGGAGTGTCCACTGTAGACAATGCGTTCATGCTGGTATCATGCAGGGGAGCAGCCTGCGGAGTAATTAACAGGACTTGGACCTGAGGTAGAAGGTCGATAGCAGGGGCTCTTCCTTGAATTAAAATTTAACTTACCCTTTATTGCAAACTACAAAAGCAAGTAATGAGCACTAACATTTTTATTTCTTTTAAACTGTCATTAAGCTGTAGAGGGGATAATTACCTATCTCTAGTGCAGTAAGGTTTTATAACCCTTAGTGAGGCATTTTCTAATTTAATATTTTTACTATATTATCTTAAAACCTGTTTCTAGAAAAAAAAATGATCATGGATTAGCCGCCATTTTCCATAAAGACAGAATGTGCGTGTGTGTGTGTGTGTGTGTGTGTGTGTGTGTGTCTGTCTGTCTGTCTGTCTGTCTTAGGATTCGGCTTATTTATTATGTGATTCTTCTGAAGAGACTTAAAGTATGCACATTGTAGCTAGCTGTGAACTGCAATCACTTGAGTGGCAGGTAAGGTTTTAAAAGCTCTGAGTGAAATGGGGGTGTATGTGTATGAGAATGCAGCCCCTCACCGATGTGTGGACCCAAATATGTTCCTTTCAGTTCCACATGTGCACTCACCCCACCACAATACAGATCACTGTCTTTCACGATGTCACTTGGGCAAACAGTACAAAGGAGCATATTAAACCTGCAAATAATCTGTGTGGGGCTTTCAATTTGCTAGGTCAGTAGCTTGCAGCACTGGGGATTCTGAAGGAATTGTACCATCCACTCTACAGAAAACCACACTCCTCCTACACTGGCCCTGGAACCCCCAGGCCTCCAAGACATCCCTGAGCTGTACCTACCCACAAAGACAGGTGGACAGCAGAGAGAACACAGCCATTCCACTGCTCCCCGAAAAAGCCTGTGCAGCCTCCCAAAGCGCATCATGGTCTCCGAGCAAGTATTATGTGCCAGTCTTCCAAAGGAGCTGGCGGAGACAATGCTGCTGCTTTCCAGACGAAAAGTGACTCATAGGCCAGGTATGGTGGCTCATGTAATCCCAGCACTTTGGGAGGTTGAGGTGGGAAGACCACTTGAGCCCAGGAGTTTGAGACCAGCCTGAGCAACACAGTGAGACCCTGTCTCTATTAAAAATAAATAAATACATAAAATGATACACATAATTTGCCTTTGACTAATTAAAAATTGTTCATTTGTTGCTTCTTAGGAGTGGGGGGTCTCCCTAAATACATAAGACACATCCCAGAATGTCATGGCCCTTCCTTCCTTTCTAATCCTCTACCTCTCCCACACTGCACACAAAAGTGCTGTAGCATTTGCTTCTGCCTTAACTCAATCCCATACATACATTGCAGAATCAAGGGAAAAGAAGAAAGCACACGGCAGGCAAGTCGGACAAAGGGTTCCAATCATAGCAGCACTCACGGCTAGCAGGGTCTGGATCCGATCTGAAACCCTACAAGTAGAGTCTGCCCAGATATGGTCAGTCAGCACAGAGATTCACACACACGCCTGCTCTGCACAGACCAGCGCGGTCACCAATGACAGATGTGTGCTTTTAAAATTATTGGTGATGTACTGATGCTGCCTTTTTTCACGTTTGTCTTTGAAAACAATTTGCTTAGTGTGGTGGAAGCTTAAACATGTACTAGATGTATATGATTCCTGGCCTCAAAACCTAACATACTACAGGTATAATCAATTAATTAAAAATATTTGAATGCTTATTTGAACTTTGTTAGATTTTGTGGAGGTTCACAAAGACATGAAAGGCACAGCAGAAGCTAGATCGGGAAGGTGAATACATGCAGTAAGTGTGTCTCAGACAAACCACTCCATTTGGGGAGACACACAAACATTCTTCCTCCTGCTGAACCCAATTCTGTCATTTTAGGACTTACAGCCATGGGCTCTTGTCCCTCTAAAGCCAGAGAGAAGTAAGGCTGACTACTATTCCCTGTGGCAGCACTTCAACTATTTGATGTCTTCTTCTAACTAAATCTGTTCTTTTCCGGGTTCAGCGGCCTCAGTTGCCTCCATTCCTCCTGTGACCGAGTCTGCTTGCCATCCTGACTGCACTCCTATGAGCCCTCCATTTGCCAAAGCTCCAAAAGCAAGGTCTCCAGAACCCGCAGCCCTCGTGAGCCCAAAGCAGGTGGAGCAGGACTCCATCTCTCCTGCACTCTGAACACATACTTCTCTCTCTGTCTTCCCAAGGCCTCCACTCTCTTCTGTTCTATCTATCAGTATGCCCAGGGCCTCCCAAATGTCTGCGGAAAAAGATGTCTTGCCAATTATCACTTGGCACATGCTAACGGCACCAAACAAAGGGATCCTTCTCCAATAAAGCACGTGCCTCCATTCTGATTGCCAGAAACCAAAGTAGGCCAAAGGGCAAAGGCTACTCACTCCTCCATTTTCCTCTTAAAAATGTCTACAGACCACAGGACAGCAGCTTTCCCTTTTTTTTTTTTTTTTTGAGACGGAGTCTCGCTCTGTCACCCAGGCTGGAGTGCAGTGGCGCCATCTCGGCTTGCTGCAAGCTCCGCCTCCCAGGTTCACGCCATTCTCCTGCCTCAGCTTCCCGAGTACCTGGGACTACAGGTGCCCGCCACCACGCCTGGCTAACTTTTTTTTGTATTTTTAGTACACACAGGGTTTCACTGTGTTAGCCAGGATGGTCTCGATCTCCTGACCTCGTGATCTGCCCGCCTCGGCCTCCCAAAGTGCTGGGATTACAGGCGTGAGCCACCGCGCCCGGCTTGGACAGCAGCTTTCTTTTCTTATATACTTAGAGAAACCAGCTTAATAGAAATCTTGAATAGTTAAATAGAACAAGGCGAATGCTTTTATATGGCATAGAGCATGGTATCACAAATGCAGAGGGGCTGGAAGGTGCTGTCAGAGTTGGTTCTGACTGGCTCAGGTCCTTACTGGGTCTAGGACCTTAGGTAAATTACTTAGCCCCCTGAATCTTAGCTTCCTCATCAGTAAGATGGTGACAATATCTTCCTTAAACATACTGTTTTTACAGCACTAAGCAAAGTCCGCATTGCATAAATGGCATCGTCATCTATGATCATGAGAAATGGAATGAGACAGAGCAACATGCTGAGGACCTGTGTGCATGCATTACAGTTGCTCCCAACCAACACGAGGGACTAAATGGCACCCTCCTTTCATCATTCCTTTGCTTTCCCCGACCCAAATTCATCCTACTCGGTATCAGTGACTTTACAAATGAGAGAAAGATATTTGAGAAGTGTCTCTATGACCTAAAAGGAGAAACATACTGATCCAAATGGCAGGCAATCGCCCTGTGCTCTTTGGGGCTGTGTGGTAGGGGCAGCCCTATGTATGTCACGGGAATGGGCTCAGACACAGGTGACATGCATTAGAACTTAGCTCCTCAAGGCTGGGCGCAGTGGCTCACACCTGTAATCCCAGAACTTTGGGAGGCCAAGGTGGGCGGATCACCTGAGGTTAGGGGTTTGAGACCAGCATGGCCAACATGGAGAAACCTCGTCTCTACTAAAAATACAAAAAATAGCTGGGCGTGGTGGTGTGTGCCTGTAATCCCAGGTACTTGGGAGGCTGAGCCGGGAAAATCACTTGAACCTGGGAGGCGGAGGTTGCAGTGAGCCGAGATTGTGCCATTGCACTCCAGCCTGGGCAAAAGAGTGAGACTCCATCTAAAAAAAAAAAAAAAAAAAAAAAAAAGAAAAGAAAAACTTAGCTCCCCAAGAAGGCTGGATTGCTGGGAAAGTAATCCAAGTAAAAAGACACAGTGCTGATAAGGAGTTAGTATTTAGTCAGAATGACACAAAAATCACTATAGTAGAAAACTTAGGATTTCTGAATACGGCCAAAAAGTCGGTACTTACTCTCCCTCACTCTCCTCTTAACATCCCCCAACAACCCAAGGAGGATCACAGGCTTCTCTCCTGAAATCTCATCATAATTCCATACCAAAAAACAAACCAAAACTGAACAACAACAAAAACCCCCATAAAAAAACCACAAAGCAGAAGAAAGGAGGTAAAGGGGAAAGAAAGCAGTCTTCTTTCAGCTAAGACTTATTTCTTAACAGGATCAACTTAGCAAAATAAGAATGACTCAGAGACACCCCTTATCTATCACTAATTACCTAAATCTAGATACAAGGCAAATCATGTCCAATCCGACACTAGCTGAAACTCTTCACAAGGTTCCAAAACAACAAAACCGCAGCCGCCCGAATCTGCCACAAGGTGGCAGTACACGACTCGTTTCCAAGTGGACCCAGCCACCAGTCAGCGGAGCCCATAAATTACCCCGTGTGTCTGCTCTCATCACCATCCTCCCCAGTGCTTGAAGGAGACTCTAGAAGGTCTGTTCCAATTCGTTCTTTTGGTCAGGTCAGAACTAGGTCCTTCAAACCTCTGGAAAAGCTTTTAGCCCTACAGCTCTAAATTACACATGGTGACACACGGCCTCTGGCCTGTCCCCTAAAGATCAGACAGACTCAAGATTTATAAATGTTCCAAGAAGCAGGTTCAGGCCCCAAACAAAGGAACTGAGAGGCTGGGGAACAGGGAGGAGAGGGGAGAGGGATGGGGGCGAGAAGGGGACTGCACGTGGACAGGTTTTCTTCTCACTTGTGCTTCCTCCTTACTCAAGCCAGTCACAAATCCCCTGCACTTTAACAAAGGAAGAAAAATACTCAAAACTTCCACCATCCCTACTACTAGCTTCAAATCTTCCACATGATTTTAAAGAAAAATAATTTACCTTAGCGGACTTGCAAAAAAGCAGAGGGGTGGGGGAGGAGCCACTCTTCAGACAAAAGGGGCGCCGCTCCTTCCACGCATTAATATTCCATATTCCCGGGATGATGTCCACTTTCACAGTTTGACTGTTTTATAACAGATTTGATGTGAGAGAAGACAAATGGCCTCACAAAGGAAAGACGACAAATCATCACACTGCTTTTAGCAGGGTTTCTCTTTATTTTTATTTATTTTTATTCCGGACCTGGGATGCAGAGCTCTCTGCCTTGCTGGAGATGTTTAATATTAACGTCAAGCCACCACGGTCCCCGCAATAGAGTTGGCCAGTGTTGTGTTTACGGTTTTGTGACTGCTGGCTTCAGGAAGATGAAGCTCCTTGTTCAAACAGCAGCCCCTCTAACAGCTCCTGTTAAAAGCTAGGGGATGCTTCACTGCTTAGACGTGAATCACTTCCCCCAGCCGCACAGAAGGTGAGACTGACATTCCAGTTACATTTGTATCCGTATCAGGATGCTGCCCAACAACCCAGGGCGTGTGTGCATGCGTGTGTGTGTGTGTGTGTGTGTGTGTGTGTGTGTGTGTGTTGGGGGAGCACAGGATGCATCGCTCAGCTCTAGCTTAACTTCAACACGCAGGAATTAGTGAGGGTATTCAATGTCAACCCATAGAGTTTTGGCAAGGCACTCTGCTATTACTTCTGGTAATAAGTTGGAGGATTTCTTTTGCTTAGAAATCGGGTACCAATCAAAACGCACAAGAAGTAACTAGTAAGTGAGCAAATGCAAAGTGCCAGCTCTGCAATGCGAGTCAGGGGACACAGAGGAACCGCTGGGGCCTGGGGAGCAAGCCCTTCCAGCTGCTGGCCAGCTGCCCTACCCGGAAGTCTCCCCCCGAGCGTTCAAGGAGCATGTGTTCTCCTGGCTCTCCTCTGCCTTCCTTCTCCCAGGTTCTGCTCTTGGCTTCCTCTCTTCTTTTGACACCCTCCCCTGGTGATCCTACACACACTCTAATGGTCTAATGGTCTCCTCCGCGTGAAGGACCCCAGAGCCCGAGTCCCCGCTCCCCTGCCCTCCCCCTAAACTCATCTCCTGCCTTGCAAGGCTCTTCTGACACCCAAGCTACCATTTCTCCTAACAATGGCAGCAAATTCTTTTTTATTCACATCCCACACAACTGTTTAATGGCAGTGAGCTGTAAGACAAAATTACAGATATCGATACCACATTTTCTGATGAAAAAATAAAATCCAGTCTGAGATGGGGCTCTTGTTCAGACTGTATGCCTATTAATTGATTAAAAAAAAAAGGCTGCTCTCAATCTGTCCATAATTTTTTGGTTTTTAATAGTATCCTTCAAAGAACTTCCTTCCTGCCTCTGCAAATCAGAAATTCAGCAAAAGGAGCATCTGTCCTAAACACCTGCCAGGTGAGCTTTCCCCAGCAGCACTGAGCAGGCCTGCAACAGGGGGCCTGCAACAGGGCATCTCTCCCACTCGTTTCACCAGCTAGTCTCTGAGGTCAGCAGTTTGATTACCTCAGCCAGTTATACGATTGGCTCTAAAAAGCCTGACTGCTAAGTGCAAAGTGAGCAGTTTGCATTTCTTCCCCTGAACCTGAAGAGTCTGTCTGGCTGTACAGTTGTGTTTCCCCCTGTAGGACCGAGCTGTGGAAGAGAAGGCAGAGTGCTGCCAAGTGTGTGTATGAGAAAATGTGTATTGATTTCTTCTTTCTTATAGGGGAGGACAAAGCATTGAAGAACAATTGCTCGTCTTTGCAGCATTTCACATTCCATACAAGAGACAAAAGGCCCAACCCCCACTACCCTCTGAGAAGCAGAAAGGGGAACGGAACAGGACTGTGTCTCCTGGGTGTCGGCAGCCACGAGTGCTGCTGCAGGTCAGCTACTGAGACTCCAAACACCCTGGGGCCCATGGCTGCTCACCTGTCTCTCATCAAGTAATTTCCCTTCTGGGCTGATGTTTCCTCATCTATATTGTAGAAGAAAGGCCTTCAGTCTTATTTACCACGTAAGTGGAGGTGCCCAGGGGGTCAAAGAATTAATGTTTATAAAGTGTTCTGCTCCCCAGGGAGACAGTGGTAAAGCATAGGGTGTGGTTATGGCTCATTCAGGACCTCATTTCTGAGGGTGGCTGGTGAGAGCTTCCCATGACCAGGTGCTGCCAGCAACTTGAACTCCAAGTCTAACGAGGTAAGGTCCTCGATCTAAATATCCTTTCTTAGCTTGACACTTAATACCAACACTAAAAATAACAAAGCAGCCAGGCCTTTATGCTTTGTTAATGCACTTACAGAATCCATTCCAGAACTGTTTTCTTCTTAAAGAAAAATCCTGAAAGCAGAGTCCAGAACACTGACCGAAAGCTATAAATCACTACAGAGCCCTGCTGGGGTTCTTCATGCTCCATAGTAACTGCATGGTGAGTATCTCTAACTCAAGTATCTGAAATCTGAAATGCTCCGAAATCTAAAACTTTTTGAGCACCGACACGAACTATGCTGTAAGAAAATGCTCACTGGAGCACTTCAGATTTCAGATTTTCAGATTAGGCATGCTCAACGGGGATAATACAAATATTTCCAAATCCAAGAAAATCTGAAATACGAAATTCCTCTGGACGCAAGAATTCGATAGGTGACACTTGACCTGTAATAATTTATAGGAAGGCCATCAGAACCAAACCTGGTTTAAATAGCACAGAAAACCTATAGTATATAGTATATAGCAGGAGAAACCTATAGTATATAGTATATAGCAGGAGAAAACCTATAGTGTATACAAAGTTTAGGGTCTTGGAAGTGATGGACATGTAAGAGTGTTCTTGAGAGAGCCTTTCCCAGGGTTCAATCCTAAGTAAAAATGACCCCAAAAACCCTCTAAGCAAAGGGTGGGGAATCAGAAGTCCCAGAGGAGAACCTTTCATTCTGGGTCTTTTCCAACATTGCCATGAGCTAAGAACAAAATAAGGAGCCGGCCCTCAAGCGGTGCAATGGTTTAGCATGGAGACCTAACCTATGAATAATTAGGAAACAACCTGGTGGTAGATGCTATACATAATATGGATCTATACAAAGTGACATGGAAGCAGAGGAAAGTATATTAAAGAAGTGAGATGATTTGGAGAGATTTCAGCAAAAGAGGCAAGAAACTCATCTTCATCTTATAGGACAGTTGCAAAAATAATCTTGTAAACAGCAAACTGTAAACAAACATACAAGCTGGGGGCCTTTAAAAGCATCTCAGACAGGAAGCCTCTACCCAACTTTTTTTGGGGTTTGCACAGAAATGGCTATGTCTGTATTGCATGCTGAGGGACAGTGGCGTAATACACAGATGTGAAAACACAAAGTTTGTTTATTTAAATAATTATCTGTTAGGGGTTACATTTAAAATAGTCCTTCTCAGAAATTAAAAAATTAAAAAGAACATTTTATTCTCAAGAATCCAGTGAACAAGAGGCCTGTTTTCACTATGTAAAAGAAAGAAACCATGGCCCATAAAGAAGGCTTCCCAGGGTGGCACTGCATACGAGCGAGGGCATAAGGTGCTCAGGAATACTGAGTCAGCGCCGAGCTCAGAGGAGGCCGACAATAACTGGAAAAAGACCTTAAGTGAAGTGTTTTGCAAATACTACAATTGAAATTAAAATATATTATTCCAAATATATGAACATAAAATCTCGATAATACCAAATACAAGATTACAGTACACACAGGCATACTTCTTTGACTTTTAAGTTAACATACTTAGCAAGAAAAAAGCCCCCAATAAGTGTGTCTGTGAACTGTTATACAGTTAACAGTTTAACTGTTTGGGAGGAACAAACAGAATGGGTTCAAAGAAGAAAGCTCAGTGGGGGTGGAGAATCTGAAGTCTCCCTAGAAAGGCTGGTGACCTCATGACTGAATATTTCAACAGGAAACAACAGTGAGACGGGGGTGGGAGATGCTGCAGGCTATGAGCAGAATGAACAGACATGCAGAATAGGGAGTGTGTCCCAGGGATTGCAGGTGTCTGCTCTGGACAGCACATGGGGTGAAATAGGCGATAAGGAGAGAAAAGTAGCAAGGCAACAAGTCATCGATGGCCTTGACTGGCAGGCTTGAGAGTCTGGGTTTTATGCTAGAGGCAAAGAGTAGCATGTGATATTGGAGGAAGGTGAATCTGGCAATGAAACAGAACTGATGAGAATACAGACTATTGGTTAATATGCCGTTAGTGTAATAGTCGATGTGGGAATTAAAAAAAAAAAAATTTGCCAGGCGCGGTGGCTCACACCTGTAATCCCAGCACTTTGGGAGGCCGAGGTGGGCAGATCATGAGGTCAAGAGATCGAGACCATCCTGGCTAACACAGTGAAACCCCATCTCTACTAAAAATACAAAAAATTAGCCAGGCGTGGTAGTGGGTGCCTGTAGTTCCAGCTACTCGGGAAGCTGAGGCAGAAGAATGGCGTGAACCCGGGAGGAGGAGCTTGCAATGAGCCGAGATGGTACCACTGCACTCCAGCCTGGGTGACAGAGCAAGACTCCGTCTCAAAAAGAAAAAAAAAAAAAAAAGAAAGAAAAAATTAAAAGGCCAGGTGCAGTGGTGGCTCATGTCTGTAATCCTAGCACTTTGGGAGGCCAAGGTGGGAGGACTGCTTGAGTCCAGGAGTTCAAGACCAGCTGGGGCAACACAGCAAGACCCCGTCTCTACAGGAAAAAAAAAAAAAAAAAGCTGGGTGTGGTAGTGTGTGCCTGTAGTCCCAGCTACTTGGGAGGCTGCAGCAGGAGAATCACTAGAGCACAGGAGTTCGAGGCTGCAGTGAGCTATAATTGGGCTACTGTACTCCAGCCTGGGCAACAGAGTAAAACCTTGTCTTTTGTTAAAAAAAGAAAAAAACAAAAAAAAAGACCTGGACTCAAAAAAAGAGGCAGTAGAAATAAAAAGTGAAGATCATTGAATAATATATTAAAAT